>NC_000023.11:76401935-76704966 GCF_000001405.40 Homo sapiens | reverse complement strand
TTTTTCTATTTATGTGAAAATTTTCTTTGGTGATTTCATAGGGATTGCATTCAATCTGTAGATCGCTTTGGGTAGTATGGCCATGTTAATAATATTAATTCTTCTAATTCATGTACATAGAATGACTTTCCATTTGTTTGTGTCCTCTTCAATTTATTTCACCTATGTTTTAAAATTTTTATTGTAGAAATATTTCACCTTTTTTTTAACCTTATTCCTAGGCATTTTATTATTTTTGTAGCTGTCCCTTTTAGGGACTGGTTTCATGAAATCTTTTCAGCTGATTTATTATTGTTATGTAAATGCACTACTGACTTTTGTATGTTGATTCTCTATCCTGCCACTTCAGTGAATTTGTGTATTAGTTCTAAGGGAATTTGGGTGGAGTCTTTAGGTTTTTCTACTTATAAGATCAAGTCATCTTCAAAGAGAAACCTTTTGACTTTCTCTTTCCCAATTTGAATGTCATTTATTTACTTCTCTTACCTAATTGCTTTGGCTAGGACTTCCAGTACTATGTAGAATAAGACTAGTGAAAGTGAGCATAGTTGCCCAGTTCTTAGGGGAAACACATTCAGGTTTTCCCCATTCATTATGATGTTTGCTGTGTGTTTATCATATATGGTCATTATTGTGATGAGGTATGTTATGGTTATTATTGTGATGATGTATGCTCTTTCTACAACTAATTTAACAAGAGTTTTTATCATGAAGCATAGTTCAGTTTTATTTTTTATTATTTTTAATTTTTGTGGGTACACAGTAGGTGTATATATTTATGGGGTACTTAAGACGTTTTGATACAGGCATGCAATGTGAAATAAGCACATCACGGAGAATGGGGTATTCATCACCTCAATCATTTTCCTTTGAATTACAAACAATCCAATTGTAATCTTTAAGTTATTTTTAAATGTACAATTAAGTTATAATTTACTATAGTCACTCGGTTGTGCTATCAAACAGTAGGTCTTATTCATTCATTCTAACCAACTTTTTTTGTACCCATTAACCATCCCCACTTTTCCTCAGCCCCTCCACTACACTTGCCAGCTTCTGGTAACGATTCTTCTACTCTCTATGCCCACTAATTCATTTTTTTAAATTTAGATTCCATAACTAAGTGTGAACATATGATGTTCGTCTTTCTCTTCCTGGCATATTTCACTTAACATAATGATCTCCAGTTTCATCCATATTGTTGCAAATAACTGTATGTCACCTTTTTATGGCTAAATAGTACTCCATCGTGTATATGCACCATATTTTCTTTATCCATTTGCCTGTTGATGGACACTTAAGTTGCTTCCAAATCTTAGTTATTGTACATAGTGCTGCAACAAACATAGGAGTGCAGACATCTCTTTGATACACTAATGTCCTTTATTTTGGGTGTGACCCAGCATCAGAATTGCTGGGTCATATGTTATTTCAATTTGTAATTTTTGAGGAGTCCATAAACTGTTCTATATAGTGGTTGTACTAATATACATTTCCACTGACAGTGTGCAAGTGTTCCCTTTTCTCCACATCTTATCCAGCCCTTGTTATTGCCTATCTGTTGAATATAAGCCATTTTAACTGGAGTAAGACAATATGTCATTGTAGTTTTGATTCGTATTTCTCTGACAATCAATGATGTTGAGCACCTTTTCATATGCTTGTTTCGATTTATATGTCTTCTTTTGAGACATACTCAAATCACTCGCCCATTTTTAAAAATCAGATTATTAAACTCTTTTCCATAAAGTTGTTTGAGCTTTTTATATATTCTGGTTATTAATCCCTTGCCAGATGGCTGGTTTGCAAATAGTTTTTTTTTAATTCAGTGGGTTGTCTTTTTACTTTGTTGTTTCTATTCTTTCCTGTGCAGAAATTGATGAACTTGATGTGATCCTATTTGTCCATCTTTGCTTTGGTTGCTTGTGTTTGTGAGGTACAGCTCAAGAAATCTTTGCCCAGACCAATGTCCTGGAGGTTTTTCCTAATGTTTTCTTGAAGTAGTTTCATAGTTTGAAGTCTTAGATTTAAGTCTTTAAACCACTTTGATTTGATTTTTGTATATGGTGCTGAAAGAGAGGGGTCAAGTTTTATTTATCTGCATGTGGATATCCAGTTTCCCCAGCATCATTTATTGAAGAGACTGTCTGTAGTGTATGTTATTTGCACCTTTGTTTAAAATGAGTTCACTGTACGTGAGTGAATTCATTTCTGGGTTCTCTATTCTCTTCCATTGGTCTATGTGTCTGTTTTTATGCCAATACTGTACTATTTTGGTTACTAGAGCTGTGTAGCATAATTTGAAGTCAGGTAGTGTGATTCATCCAGTTTTGTTCTTTCTGATTAGGATAACTTTTGCTACTCTGGGTCTTTTGTGGTTTTGTATATATTTTAGAATTACTTTTTCTATTTCTGTGAAGAATGCCATTGGTATTTTGATAGGGATTGCACTGAATATGGAGGCTGCTTTGGGTAGAATGGACATTTTAACAATATTGATTCTTTCAATCTGTGAACATGGACTATTTTTCTATATTTGGTATTCAATTTCTGTCATCAATGTTTTATAGTTTTTATTATAGAGGTCTTTCACTTCTTTAGTTAATTGCTAGGTATTTAATGTTATGTGTAGCTATTGTATTTGGGATTACTTTTTGAATTTCTTATTTAGATTGTTCGTTGTTTGCATATAGAAGTACTGATTTTTATATGGTGGTTTTGTTTCCTGCAACTTTACTGAATTTGTTTATTGGTTCTAATAGTTTTTTTTTTGTAGTCTTAAGGTTTCTCCAAATATGAGCTATATCATCTGCAAACAAGGATAATTGGACTTCTTTTTTTCCAATTTGGATGTCTTTTATATCTTTCTCTTGTCTAATTGCTCTAGCTAGGACTTCCAGTACAATGCTGAATAACAGTGGTGACAGTGGGCATCCTTGTCATTTTTTAGGAAAGGCTTTCTTTCAGTTTTTCCTTATTCAGTATGATACTAATTGTGGGTTTGTTGTATAGGGTTCTGTTATGCTGAGGTATGTTTCTTTTATCTCCAGTATTTTGAGGGTTTTTCTCATGAAGAAAAGTTATGTTATTTCAGCATTAATTGAAATGATCATATGGCTTTTATCCTTCACTCTGTTGGTATGATGTATCACATTATTTCTATGTTGAACCACCATTGTATCCCATGGATAAACCCAACTTGGATAATGGATGACCTTTCTAAGTATTGTTGAATGCAATTTGCTAGTATTTTGTTGAGGATTTTTGCATAAATATTGATTAGAGATATTGGCCTGTTGTTTTCTCTTTTTTTGATGTATCTTTGTCTGGTTTTGGAATCTGGGTAACAATGGCCTCATGGAATGAGTTTGGAAGTATTCCTTCTTCCTCTATTCTTTTGGGAGAGGTTGAGTAGGGTTGGTATTAGTTCTTCTTTAAGTGTTTGGTAGAATTCAACAGTGAAGCTTTAGGGTCCTGGGCTTTTCTCAACTGGGGGAATTTTATCATGGCTTCGATTTTGTTACTTGTTATTGATATGTTAAGGTTCTGAATTTCTCCCTGGTTCAACTTTGGTAAGTTTTATGTGCCTAGAAATTTGTCCATTTCTTCTAGATTTTCCAATTTATTAGAACATAGTTGCTCAGTAGCTACTAATAATTTTTTGAATTTCTGTGGTATCAGTTGTAACGTCTCCTTCTTCTTTTCTGATTTTATTTATTTTTATCTCCTTTTTTATTAGTCAGTCTATGTAACATTTTGTCAATTTTGTTTAACTTTCCAAAAAATAACTTTTCATTTCATTGATCTTTTGTATTGTTGTCTTCATTTCAATTTAATTACTTTCAGCTCTGATCTTTATTACTACTTTTCTTCTACTAATTTTGGTTTTGATTTGCTCTTGCATTTCTAGTTCTTTAAGATGCATTGTTAAATTGTTTATTTGAATGTTTTCCTCTTTTTTCTTGTAGGCACTTATAGCTATAAACTTCCATCTTAGTACTGCTTTTGGTGTATCTCATAAGTTTTGGAATTTTGTGTTTCCATTAGCATATGTTTCAAGAAATTTTTCAGTTTCTGTCTTAATTTCATCATTGATCCACATGTCATTCAGGAGCATATTGTTTAATTTCCATGTATTTGTATAGTTTCCAAA
Source organism: Homo sapiens (assembly GCF_000001405.40). Taxonomy (NCBI): domain Eukaryota; kingdom Metazoa; phylum Chordata; class Mammalia; order Primates; family Hominidae; genus Homo; species Homo sapiens. The sequence goes on along the minus strand of NC_000023.11, from coordinate 76,700,813 downwards.
ATGTCTCTTGTTATTAATATCTAGTTTTAGTTCCTTGTAGTAAGAGAAGATATTTGATATTATTTCAGTTTTTGAATATTTTTAGACTTGTTTTGTGATCTAACATATAGTCTATTCTTGAGAATAATTTATGTGCTGAAAAAAAGAATGTGTATTTTGCAGCCGTTGGATAAAATGTTCTGTAAATGTCTATTAGATCCATTTAATTTATAGTTAAGACTAAGTCTGATGTTTCTTTATTGATTTTCTGTCTGGAAGTTGTGTCCAATGCTGACAGTTGGGTGTTGAAGTCTCCAGCTATTATTGTATTGGGGCTTCTCTCTCTCTTTATCTCTAATAGTATTTCCTTTATATATCTCTGATAAAAGAAATACTTCAGTTCAATTAAATGTAAAGGAGTTTAATTGAGCAATGGATGATTCACAAATCGGTCAGCCTTCTGAGCCACAGTAGGCTCAGAGACTGCAGTGGAGCCACATGATGGAAGAAGATTTATGGATAGAAAAAGGAAAGTGACATACAGAAAATGGAAGTGAGGTACAGAAACAGCTGGATTGGTTACAGCTTGGCTTTTGCCTTATCTGAACAAGGTTCAAACAGTTGGCTACATTGATTGGCCAAAACTCGCTGACTGGCACAAGTGTAGACTACTGTCTGTTTACACCTCCACTTGTTATAGTTCACAATGTGCAAAAATACCTTTAGGCTGAACCTAACTATGTAAGGAGGTGGTTTTAGGCTAAATCTGATTTAACATCTTGTAGCTCCGGTGTCAGGTGTTTATATATTTAAAATTGTTGTATGCCTTTGCTGAACTGACACCTTTTTCATTATATACTGACCTTCCTGTCTCTTCTTATAGTTTTCATCTTAACATCTATTTTCCCTGATATAAGTAAAGCAACTTCTGCTCCTTTTTGGTTTCCATTGGCTTGGAATATTGTTTCCATTCATTTATTTTCAGTCTGTTTGTCTTCCTAGGTGAAATGTGTTCCGTTTTTTTATTTTTGTAGGCAACAGATCAATGGGTCTTTTTTTTATTCCAGCTAATCAATATCTTTCAGTTTGAGTGGTTAGCCCATTTACATTCAATGTTATTATTAAGTAAGGACTTACTCCTGCCATTTTGTTATTTGTTTTCTTTTTTTATGGTCATCTCTTTCTTCTTTCTTTCTTTCTTATCTTCTTTTAGTAGAGGTGATTTTCTCTGATGACATGATTTAGTTTCTTGCTTTTTATTTTTTGTGTCTCCATTGTATGCTTTTTGGTTTGAGGTTACAATGAAGCTTGCAAATACTACCTTACAATCCATTATTTTAACCTGATAACAACTTGAAATTGTTTGCATAAACAAACAAGCAAAAAAAATTAATAAAAACTCTATGCTTTAACTTTCTACCCTCAGTTTTTATCTTTTTTTGTTTCTAGTCATATCTTAATGTACTATGTCTTGAAAAGTTGTTGTAGTTATTACTTTGATTCTTTTCTTTCGTCTTTCTACTTTGGATAAGAGTAGTTTACACACGACAGTTACAGTGTTATGATATTCTGTGTTTTTCTGTGTACCTACCATTACCAGTGAGTTTTCTACCTTCAGGTAATTTCTTATTGCTCATTAATCTCCTTTTCCCTCTGACCGAATGACTCTCTTTATCATTTCTTTTAGGACAGGACTGGTGTTAACAAAATCCTTCAGTTTTCATTTGTCTGACAATGTCTTTATTTCTCTTTCTCATTTGAATAATATATTTGCTAGACATACCATTCTAAGGTAATAGTTTTGTTTCCTTCAGCACTTTAAATATGTCATGCCATTCTTGTCTGTCCTGTAAGGTTCCCACTGAAAAGTTTGCTGCCAGATGTATTGGAGCTCTATTGTGTGTTACTTGTTTCTTTTCTCTTGCTGCTTTTAGAAATCTTTCTTTATCCTTGACCTTTCAGAGATTGATTATTAAAAGCCCTGAGGGAGTCTTTCTTGGGTTAAACCTGCTTGGTGTTCTGTAACCTTTTTTTTTTTTTTTCCTTGAGTATTGATATCTTTCTCCAGGTTTGGAAAGTTCTTTGTTATTATTCTTTAAAATAAACTTTCTACCCCTATGTCTTTCTCTACCTCCATTTTAAAGCCAATAACTCTAAGGCCAAAAAATTTTCCTTTTGAGGCTATATTCTAAATCCTGTAGTCATGTTTCATTGTTTTTTAAGTATTTATTCTTTTTCATGTGTATCCTTAAGTAGCCTGTTTCCAAGCTCATTATATACTTAAATTCTGGGATACATGTGCAGAATGTGCAGGTTTGTTATGTAGGTATACACATGCCATGGTTGTTTCTTGCACCCATGAACCTGTCATCTACATTAGGTATTTCTTCTAATGCTATTCCTCCTCTAGCTCCCCCCACCCCCGACAGGCCCCGGTGTGTGATGTTCCCCTCCCTGTGTCCATGTGTTCTGATTGTTCAACTCCTTATTTCTTTTTTTTGCTTTGAACAATTCTGCTATTTAAGGACTTTGGTGTATTTTTCAGTATGCCACTTGCATTTTCCAGCTCTAAAATTTCTGCTTGGTTATCTTTAATTATTTCAACCTCTGTTAAATTTATCTGATAGAATTGTAAATTCCTTGTTTTTGATATCTTAAATTTCTTTGATTTTCCTCAACACAGCTATTTTGTACTTCCTGTTTGAAAAATCACATATCTCTTTCTCCAGGATAAGTCCCTGGTGCTTTAAGTATTCATTTGGTGAGATAATGTTTTCCTGGATGTTGTTGATGTCAGTAGATGCTCATCAGTATCCAGGCATTGAAGAGTTAGGTATTTATTGTGGCCTTCACTGTCTGGGCTTATTTGTACTCATCCTTCTTGGGAAGGCTTTCCAGATATTTCAAAGAACTTGGGTGTTGTGATCTAAGCAGTATCTGCTTTAGGGGGTGCTCCAAGCCCAATAACATTGTGGTTCTTGCAGACTCCCAGAGGTATCACCTTGATGGTCTTGGAAAAACTCTAGGGGATTTCTCTGGATTACCAGATGAGGACTCTTATTTTCTTCTCTTACTTTCTTCAAACCAAAAGAATTTCTGTCTCTGTTCTGAGCCACCTAAATCTGGGATGAAGTGACACAAGCCTCTCTGTGACCACAATCACTATGATTGTACTGGGTCAGACCTGAAGCCAGAACAGCACTGGGTCTCACCCAAGGCCTGCTGTAAGCGCTTTCTTGCTAATGCCTATGTTTTCTCTAGGCCCTGGGGCTCTAGAATCAACCAGTGGCAAAACCAGCCAGGCTTGTGTTCTTCCCTCCAGAGTTGTGAGGTCCCCCAAGCTCCAGGTGGGTTCAGAGCTTTTATACAAGATTCAGGGACTAGAGTAAAAAACCTTAGAAATCCACTTTGTGTTCTATTGTACTGTGGCTGAGCTGTCAGTCAAATCACAGGATGCAGCCTTTCCCACTCTTCCCTCCCCTTTCCAAAGGCAGAGACGCCTCACCCCATAGTTACCACCACCCCAGGCCATGAAGAGTACTGCCAGACTACTGCTTATGTTCCCTTATCCCCAAGGTCTCTTAAGTCAGCTTGTTGTAAATGCTGACTGACTTGAGACTCACCCACAAGGCAGAGGGCTCCCCTCTGGCCTAGGGCATGTCCAGAAATACTGTCCAAGGGCCGAGTTCTAAAACCGGGGATCCAAAGATGTTGCTTGTTGCTCTACCACCTGGTGGTCTTGCTAGAGCCTAAGTTGCAAGACAAAGTCCCCTTTACTTTTTCCTATACTTTTCTCAAGCAGAAATTTTGCCCTGTAGCCACCACAGCTGGTAATCATTGAGTGTCACTTGAAGCCAGCAAGTCTCAGAGGCTTACTGAAGGCCCTTGACATAGTACTTGGCTATGTTGCTGCCGGTTATTCAGGGACTAAAGACTTTTCAGTTAACAGGTGATGAATGTTGCCAGGGCTGGGTTATTTCCTCCAAAGAAGTGTGCTTCCTTCTGGCCCACTGTTTATCTGGAATTGTTTCCTGGGATCTGGGGACTAAAACAGGAGCCTCAGCACTCTCTTATCAGTGCCATATCTGGCTGCAGCTGAGCTGATAGCCAAGATGAAGGCAAAGATTACCCCATTCTTCCCTCTCCTCTCCTCAAGTGGAAGGAAGGGGTCTTTTTTGTAGCTGTGAGCTGTGCACCCTGGATTTAGGGGAGGGGTAATGCCAGCACTCTCTTAACCACATTAACTGATGTCTCAGTAGGTTATGTGTCCCTCCAGTCCACTTTCTCTAGGCCTAGTTCAGCAATATGACTCACCGAAGAGTTGCAGTCCTTATAGCCCAGATTGTCTTTCAAGTTCATTTAGAGACACAGAGCACTGTAGTCCATAATAATGAGGTTTGTGAAAACTCAAGTTTGGTCTGCTGGGATTCGTAATTCTCCTCTGGCTAGGGTTGGTTTAAATGCTCTCTCCATGGGTGGGTGTCAGCTAAGTTTAGTCTGGATTTGTTTTCTCCTCTAACAAGACAGGACTGAGTTCAGTGCCTCACACTTGCTGTGTTCTCCCTCCCTCAGCATTCAGTGATGATCTCTGCACCAAGCCACTGCTGCATGGGGTGTGGGAGAGAGAGGTGGAATTTGTAACTTAACACTTTTTTTTCTATCTCTTTAGTGCCTTTTTCAGTGATACAAAGACAAAACAAGGTACTGTGAGGGCTCACCTGATTTTTGTTTCTTAGGGAAGTTACTTTTTTCTGTGCAGATATTTGTTAAAATTGTATGCCAGCAGGGGGAACGATCAATGGAGCTTTTCATCCCACCATCTAACTCCCCCTTTCTCCATTGTTGAGTATTATCAAATACTTTTTTGGTGTCTATTGAGATAATCTTATAATTTTTGTCTTTAATTTTGTTGATGTGATGTATCACATTAAATTGTATATGTTGAACCATCCTTGCATTCCTGGAATAAATCATACTTGATCATATTGTATTATCTTTCTGATGTATTGTTGAATTCAATTTGCTAGTATTTTGCTGACAACCTTTGCATTTATTTTCATCAGGGATATGTAGTTTTCTTTTTTTATTGTGCTCTTGTCTAATTTTAATATCAGGATAAGGCTAGCCTTATAGATTGAGTTACAAAGAATTCCCTCCTCTTCAAGTTTTTGAAATAGTTTGAGTAGAATAGCTGTTAGTTCTTTTTTCAAAGTTTGGTAGAATATAACATTAAAGTCAGTCCTGAGTATAGTTTTCTCTTGTTATTGGGACACATTTTGTTACTGTTTCAATTGGATTACTCATTACTGGTCTATTCCATTTTCTATTTCTTTATAGTTTAATCTTGATAGATTATATGTATCCAGGAATGTATTCATTTCATCTAGGTTTTCTAATTTGTAGAGTAAAATTAGTATATTTCTTAAGAGCCCTAGGATTTTTGGAATAGTGAATGACCATTGGCTTCAATTTAAAGTCACCAGCTGCTTTAGCTCCTAACAAGAGTCAGTCTGTTTTGTTACAGCTTTGAAGACTGGAATTGAGTTGTCTCCAGTTGTGAATGTCCTGGCATCTTCTTCCAATAGAAGGCAGTTTTCTTTAAATTGACAGGGTTGTTTAGTGTATCCACCTTCTTCAATGATCTTAGCTAGATATTCTGGATACCTTGCTGTAGCTTCCACATCAGCACTTGTTGCTTCACCTTTCACTTTCATGTTATGGAGATGGCCTCTTCCTTTAAATCTAATAAACCAACCTCTGCTAGTTTCAAAGTTTTCTTCTGCAGCTTTCTTAACACTCACCACCTTCACAGAGTTGAAGAGAGTTAGGGCCTTGCTCTGGTTTAGGCTTTGTTTTAAGGGAATGTTGTGACTTGTTTGATCTTCTATCCAGACCAGTAAAGCTTAATTCTTGTTAGCAATAAGACTGTTTTACTTTCGTATCATTCTTGTGTTCACTGGAGTAGCATTTTAAATTTATTTTAAGACTTTTTCTTCTGTATTCACACCTTGGTTAACTGTTTGGCTCAAAAAGCCTAGTTTGGCTTTTCTCACCTTTCGATGAGGTTACTTTCAGTAAGCTGATTAGTCTCAGTAAATGTAATTATTTCTAGCTTTTGATTTAAAATGATAAAGGTATGACTCTTTCACATGAACACTTAGAGGCCATTTTAGGGTTACTAGCTGATTTAATTTAAATATTGTTGTGTCTCAGCAAATAGAGAAGCCTGAGGAATAGAGAGAGAGATGGAGGAATGACTGGTCAGTGGAGCAGTCAGAACACACACAAAATGTATTAAGTTCGCCATCTTATATGAGCGTGGTTCATAGCACCTCAAAACAACTACAACAGTCTGGGCATGGTGACTCGCACCTGTAACCCCAGCTCTTTGGCAGGCCAAGGAGGGTGTATCATCTGAGGTCAGGATTTTGTGATCAGCCTAGCCAACATGGTGAAACCTCATCTCTACTAATAATACAAAAATTAGCCAATCATGATGGGGGTCACCTGTAATACCAGCTACTCAGGAAGCTGAGACAGGAGAATTGCTTGAGCTCAGGAGGCAGAGTTTGCAGTCAGCTGAGATCACGCAACTGCACTCCAGCCTGGGAGAGAGAACAAGACTCTGCCTGAAAAGAAAAAAAAAAAATTACAACAGTAACAGCAAAGATCACTGGTTACAGATTACCACAACAGACACAATAATAATGAAAAAGTTGGAAATATTTTGAGAATTACCAAATTGTAGCAAAGAAACAATAAGCGAATACATGGTGTTGTAAAAATGACAATGATAGACTTTCTTGGTACATGGTTGCCACAAACCTGAAAGCAATATTTGTGAATTGCAATAAAGTGAAAAGCAATAAAATGATGTATGCATGTATCTCATTATTTAAGGTGACCCTCATCATCAAAAATTCTTTGGTTCTGGAGGATAGGTTTTCTTGGCTAGGAGAAGAGTAATTTTGTTTAAAAATATGTGCAAGGTTGCCAATTCCATGGATTTGGACCATTTTAGAAAGGCACAATTTTATCACAGCCCTGGGTAAACCAATTTCAAAAATTCACAGCTAGTTTGTTTCAGAATAGATCATAATTGAGAGAAAAAATGATCAAAATTTTTGTGCTCAGGAAAAGCTCTACAGGAATTTCTTCTCTTCCTTAAATGGGTGAGTTGTGGAGACTAAATGATAAAATACCTCACAGATTGGCATTCTCCAATTAGGTGGATACTTGGGTCAACCAGTCTTTCTTTTTCCAGGGATGCATTTTGCCTGAAATTCAAGTAAGAAAGCACTCAGTTTACTTAGTTTATAGAAATATTATTTATATATTATTTAAAATAATAATGTTTTATAAGCAATCTATGTTGGTATTATTTAAAATACCAACGTTTTGTAAGCAATCCCAATTAACTGATGATTCATTTATACGGTAGATAATTCCACAGGCATTAAATGATATAATTAAAAGTTTTAAATTATAAAATCTTTTTAACAATTTTAGAAGAATATGTAAACATGCTTATGAGATATAAACAATACAAAATCAGATAATTAAATTATGTGTACAATGTGATCACAATTATATCAAAATGTACACAAAGAAAACTCACTGGAGAGATTGCTTTAGATTTTTAACAGTAGTGCTCTCTCTTGTTTATGGGATAAATGATGATGTTATTTTTGTCTTTAACATTTTCTGTTTTTCAAATTTTATATAATGATTGGTGTATATTTTACAGCTATAGAAAAGTTATTAAAAAGAAAAAATCATGAAGAAAAGAAACAGAAAGTAGATCATGGAATCTGTCTGATCTTCTTTTCCTATGTAATCAAGAAAGCCTGGACAGAGAATTATTAGTGGTAAGTTCTGGAAAATCTCCCTTAGATGCAAATCCCAGATGAAAAATACTCTTATCAAGTGAAATATACTTGTTTCAACTGTAGGTGTTTTTCAAAAACAAAAGGTGGGAGAAAGAGATGGCTCTATCAGTGGAGCAATACTGCCACCAAAAGAAAAATATTGAAAAAATCTCCATGACAAGAGAAAGAAAAAGAGAGCAAGAGAAGAGTAGAAGAGAAAATTGGGAGGTTTCATACGTAGACTACCTGATTTTCTGCTTTAGCTGACGTCACTCATCAGTGATCATAAAGGAACCAGTCTTACCCCTTAGTTGTCACTAATAAAATAGGTATGGCTGGTCCAGTCTTGAGCCATTTAAGAGGTTGGAAGGAGGCAGATCTCTGAGTGGCTGGGAGTTCTCACTAGAGAAATTAAAAGTCCGTATGTCAAAGGGATGGGATGATGGGATTTGCTAAACAAGCAGATTAGAATCAAGATCTCTTGGGGAGGTTGCAGAACACTGAGTTGTCTAATTGTATTTCCTGGAGTGCTAGGGTTTCAGCAAAAGTGGCACAGAAAACTCCTACATTTCAATAGTGTCTCTTTTTTGTGTATTGAATATGTACATGCAATTTTGTTTGAAGAATAAAGCAATACCAAAACCAGTAGCCTAGAGTGCCATCTAGTTTTTTCTGCTTGATTTTTATATGTTTACAGGGTCATAACAAATGGGAAGTTCAATTTGGTTTATGGGACTAGGACTGGAGCATTCATCTGCTTCACTTGCTCCTTTCCCCATAATTAGATTAAATCAGGAAGTCCCTAGGTTCATTCACTTTTTGGAATACACTATACATTTTGGGGTACTCTGGAAGTAAAAGATGGGTTCCAGTTATGACGTTAGCACTTCCCATAGCACCACTGGGAATTCAAAGCTCACTTCGCTATGTACTCTGATTTCTCACCTGAGGTTGTTGTGACAAGTCATAAAAGGTATAATAAAGAGGAAAGTACTGAGTATTTTAAGCAGTGGAATGACATGATAAAGATTCTATTTTTATGTAATTAAATATTTCTAAATACTACCTGCATAAATGAAACATTTAAAAATAGTAGTTCAATTCTGAAAAAATTTTAAATAATGAGGGACAGTCCTACCAAATATTGAAACATAAATCCATGGTAATTAAAATAATATAAGTACAGAAATAGTCTGACAGAACACTGGGACAGAGTGCATTAGCTCATTTTCACACTGCTATACAGATACTACCTGAGACTGGATAATTTTCAAATCAAGTAGTTTTAATTGACTCTCAGTATGGCACGGCTGTGGAGGCCTCAGGAAACTTACAATTATGGCAAAAGGCAAAGCAGAAGCATGCATCTTCTTCACAAGGTGGCAGGAGAGAGAGAGAGGGAACTAAGGGGAAGTGCCACACTTTAAAACCATCAGATCTCATGAGAACTCCCTCACTATCATGAGAACAGCATGGGGAAAACTGCCCCCGTGATCCAATTACATTCCATCAGGTCCCCCCCTTGACACATGGGGATTACAATTCAAAATGAGATTTGGATGGGGACAGAAGAGCCAAACCATATAACAGGTTTAAAACAGGTCCAAGTTTATGTAATTTAATATATAACACAGGAAATATTTTAAATTATTAGGTAAAGGATAGACTAACAATTTATTGATATTGAAACAATGAGCTGGCCACTAGAAATACATTAATTTACCAAATAGTTAAATATTTTAAATGTACAAAATGAAACTCCAGAGGTATTAAAAATAAATATTGATAAGGATTTTAAAAATCATGGTTTGGGGAAAGATTTTTTCCTAAATATGGCATAAAAGCCACAAACTGTAGTAAAAATGATTGACAGATTTGCCTATATAAATACTGTAAAACTTCTTAAAAGCCCATAATGAATAACAAGAATTATAAAATATAATAAACAAAATTAAAATGTATACAAAACACTGAAAATTGTAACATATACAACAAACAGTGGTGAATATATCTAGTATAAAATATCTATTGCTAATTAATTAAATAACAGATGAACATCCCTGTATCATTTAGCTTACATTAAATTGTACTAGAGTAAAAAAAATTGCCTAAAAATACCTGTAGTTTACAACCACAAATGTTTATTTACATCTCAGGTTACATGTCTCTATCAGATCAGCTGTGGTCCTGCTGTCTGTCATCTTCACTTTAAAACTCTAGGTGAGAAAACAGCCTCTATCTAGGACATTACTAATCTTATGGCAGAGAAAAGTTGGTGAATTATAAAAGTTTTCTTAAACCTTTCTCCTAAGTGCCATATTTCATGTCCAAATGCATTCCATTGACCATGGTAGTCACATAGCCAAGTCTGATGTCTGTGAGACAAGAATATAAGCCCATTCTAGGGAGGATCCCCATTGAGAAGAATACCAAGTATTTTAAACAATAATACAATTTATATAAACTCTATAGAAAAATATAAAAAGAACACAATTGTCAATACTTTTTTAAAAGCTGAATTTCATCACACAAATGCAAATTAAAATAATTATCACCTGTCATATTGAAGCTAAGGCAAAAAAATTTTTTTTAATTGATAACTGTTTAGTGTGAGTGAGAATGAAGGGAAATGAACATTGTTATGCACTGGTTTTAGGAGTATAAATTGTTTAAGCATTTTAGGAGAATAATTTGATAGTACCTACAAAAGTTTTAAATATTCAAAGACTATGCATCAACAATTCTACTTCGCAGAATCTCTCCTACATACTTGTCTCCTAGAATCTTGTGCAACTTACTAATAACAGATATGATGATAGTCTAATTTTCATTTCTCTCATGTTATCTGTCCCTGTCCCCTACTTTGGAATTTTTATTTTTACCAGTTCCTCCTTATTCTTGTTCTAAAATTTTGTTGAGATGCACGATGTTGCGGGGTCTTTTCCTATTTACTCCAGTCACCACTCTAAAGGCCATTTCAATTTGAACCATTTCAGCAATGAGAAACCTTATATAACCTTATATAATTTCTTGATAGTTTTCTTTGCCTTATTCTTTTCTTCTCTCCTGTCTTGAACTCCTGTAAGTTGGATGTTGTGCATCTTGAATTGTTTCTCAATATCTCATGTATTTATTGTCACAATCTTCCTCTTTGTTCTAGATTTCCTCATATTTATCTTCCAATTTTTCTTTTTCTTTTTTTTCCTTTTTCTTTTTTGATGGAGTCTCACTCTGTCACCCAGGCTGGAGTGCAGTGGCATGATCTTGGCTCACTGCAACCTCCACCTCCCAGGTTCAAGCAATTCTCCTGCCTCAGCCTCCCAAGCAGCTGGGACTACAAGCATGTGTCACCACGTCAAGCTAATTTTTGTATTTTTAGTAGAGATGGGGTTTCACCATATTGGCCAGGCTGGTCTCAAACTCCTGACCTCGTGATCCACCTGCCTCGGCCTCCCAAAGTGCTGGGATTACAGGAGAGAGCCATCATACCCAGCCCCAATTTTTCTTTAATACTAGTGTAAATCATGTTGTTTATTGATTTTTCAACCTATACACATAGCAAGGAATATTTTATTATGATTTTGGATCATTACACAACTATAAAATTAAAGACACAGCTGACAGAAGGTGATAGGAGGAAATTGGTGGAGAAAAGTGAAAGAAAATATAGGAATACTGTTAGCTTCTTTTTATTAAGCTGAGCAATCTGAATTTTCTGATATCCAACCATTTTTCAACTAAAATTAGGAGTTTCATATTGTTCAACAAAATGCATAATGGGCAGATGAGAGATACTTTTAAATACAGATGGAACAAGATGAACTAAAATAATATAATTAAAATTTTGAAGAGTGAGTGTGACTTAAATTCTCACTTTTCTTGCAAAAGAGTAAATAAGTGACATCTTAAGCTAATAAACCAAGAAATTCCAAAATAAGTAAATTACTTAGAGTTAAGGAAGTTACTACCCCAAGAATAGAAACAGACATATTTAAATGTTGAGGAATAAAGGAGAAAACAGGCATTCAGGATAGTTTATTATGAGCCCTTGTGAACAATGGAATTTTATTATTTGTGTGTGTGTGTGTGTGTGTGTTACACACACATATTACTTTGATAAAAATAAAATAAAATAAAATAAATTTCTTTATTGGAAGCCAGACACTGTCAGATTGGGCAAAACAAACAAACAAAATATAAACCCCCAAACATAGCTGTTTATAAGAAATGTACCTAAAAAAATGGCATAAATTGGAAAAAAATAAGGATGTAAAAGTATATACCAGGCGTATGTAGCAACCTGAATTTTAGACAAAATAGAATTCATGGTAAAATTATTAGACAATAGAAATGAATTAACGTGGCTTTTTTCCCTCTAAGATGACAGATTAGAGGCTTTGTTGTTGCATCTCATTTACTTGGAAATAGCAAAATTGTGTGTAGAGATTAATGCTGTGGACTTTTATCCAAGAAGAAACACAGGAGCTCAATATAAAAACAAAGGAAACTTCAGATATTTTGAAAAACATGGCAGGCAGCAGACCATGCCATGGGTCTGGCAGAAAACTGGGAGTGACTCCCCAGTGCACAAGAAGGGCAGGAAATGTCTCTCTGACACATATTTCCACTGGAGAGCCAGGCAATCCAGGCCACAGGGGAGCTCTTTGACCCTACCCAGTACTGAATCTGACTTGAGGAGCAGTGGGGAGACTGTGAGAAGGAGTGGCAGTGGGAAGTCTTTTGCACATGTTTCCAGACCCTAGCACAAATAAAGCATGATCATTCCTGATTCTTTTTTTTTTTTTTTTTTTTTTTGAGACGGAGTCTCGCTCTGTCGCCCAGGCCGGACTGCGGACTGCAGTGGCGCAATCTCGGCTCACTGCAAGCTCCGCTTCCCGGGTTCACGCCATTCTCCTGCCTCAGCCTCCCGAGTAGCTGAGACTACAGGCGCCCGCCACCGCGCCAGGCTAATTTTTTGTATTTTTAGTAGAGACGGGGTTTCACCTTGTTAGCCAGGATGGTCTCGATCTCCTGACCTCATGATCCACCCGCCTCGGCCTCCCAAAGTGCTGGGATTACAGGCGTGAGCCACCGCGCCCGGCCGATCATTCCTGATTCTAACTCACAGTGGGCTGCATGGGAACCTCCCAAACAGCACAAGCAGCAGTCATTGGTTTGGAGAGTCTCTGGACTGAGATTTGAGATTTAGTCTTGAGTTGGGGAAGAACCCCCAGAATCAGACTTCAGAGGTGAGTGTGGCATGAGATGGAGCCACAGGCACAGGAGTTGGGCAACCCCCCTTCGTAGGACTGGACTGAAAGGGGTGTGGTTTGGGAGCCATGGATTTTGTGCTGGGCAAGGAGTTTTGTGGCCTGGGGCACTTCTCTGGTCTGAAGACAGACTGCTTGTAACTTAGATAACTGTTTTAGCTTTCTGCCAGCGGCAAGGCATAATAGGGGGCTCCACCAGATTGATAGTATGGGAATGAATCAGGTTTCACTATTGCCTGCTAGGTTATGGAGCATGAGCTGCCCTTCTTTCCCTGTGTGGGCTCTTTGGCATTGCAGATGTTGCACCTGTCCTCCCTGGAACATAGCACCGGCAGCCTGAGAACTATCTTCTGACTACTGTCAGGGCTAGTGCTTGCACTTGATGTCAGGAAGCCTGAATTTGGGCTTTCTTGGCCCAGCCCCATCTCACAGCTAATCACACAGCCCATTATAGCATCTACACAGCCCATTACAACATCTGTTGACACAATTGCACAGTAATCAGAAAGGAAACAGGCATTTTGTGACCTCTGCTATCATCATTGCCCACACCACACCAGATACGCAGGAAGACTTGAGCCTACTTATCCACCTGGTAAATTACTACTACAACTAACATTTGAGAAAGCCACCACAGTAAGTTATGTACAATTGAGGAAATCATAGAGAGGCTAGGAAAGTCCCCTGCCACTCCCACCAGGGCTGTTGTCTGTGCCTGATATTAGCATACCTGTGGGCAGGCCAGCCCAACCCAGCTCTGCCCAGCTGTGACCCCTTCTGAAGCTGAGCACAAAGCCCAGGCCACTGTGTGTTCTACAGAACAGCCCATTGCTTGAGACATTAGAGAGCTTCTTTCTGGAAAAAAAAAAAAAAGTCAAGCATAAACCCTACTGCTTGCTACCACCACAGCTAGCTATTGCCTGCCAGTGCCACTTACTGCCATGGGGTCAAACTGCACAATCTAATACAAAATCTGCTAATGTAAGTGCACAGAGCTTGGAAACAAGAAGAGCTTATGCAGACCTCTGCCACCTCAGCTCTCCAGGATGCCATGAGCATGCTTACATGTCCAGTATACCACTAGTACAAACAGCACTTGAGAAATCCACCACACTAGGCAGTCTGTAACAAAGGAATTTATACAAAGTCTTTGCCACTGAGACCATTCAGAACTAAAGCCAAACAAGCCCACTCAACATATATTATAGTCACATTTCAAAGGAAAATATTAAAAAGTCCTGACCAAATGAAAGTATATTAAAAAATAAAAAGACATGACAATTTCTCCAGATGAGAAGGAATAAGAATAATAATTCTGGAAGTATAAAATAAAAGAGCTGTGTGAGGCCCCCAAAGGATCAAAATACCTCTGTAGCAGTGGATCATAACAAAAATGCAATTTTAAATACCAGAAAACGAATTCAAAATATTGATATTAAAGAAGCTCAGTGAAATGCAAGAAAAATATGAAAACAAATACAAAGTAATCAGAAAATTAATTAATTAATTTAGGATATGAATGAGAAATTTACCAAAGGGATATATATTTAGAAAAACAAAATAGAACTTTTGGAAATAAAAATGTATGTAAAGAAAATCCAGAGGAAATAGATGAATCTCTGAAAATGTACAACTTTCCAAGATTGAACTAAGAAAAAGTGGAAATTTTGAACAGACCAGTAACAAATAGTGATATTTATCCAGTAATAAAATACCTTTAAACGAAAAAAATCCCAGGCAAGACAGATGCACAGTCAAATTCTACCAGACATGCAAAGAAGAACTGATGCCAATCGTTCTGAAATCATTCCAAAAAATGGGGAAGGATGACATCCTTCCTCACTCATCTACTACAGCAGCATGATCTAGATACCAAGGCCAGATGAGCACACAATAAAAAGAGGAAAACTACAGATCAATATTTATGATGAACATAGATGCAAAAATTCCCTACAAAATACTAGCAAGCAAAATTCAATAGCACATCAAAAAGATAATACATCATGATCAAGTGGATTTTATTCAAGGAATGCAAGGATGGTTTAACATATGCAAATAAATAAGTGTGATTTACCACATAAACAAAATTAATAACAAGTAAGGCTAAGGTCATGTCAATAGGTATAGACAAATAATTTTATTCAGCCTTTCTTTATCATAAAAACCCTCAACAAACTAGGCATAGAAGGAACATACCTCAAAAAAAAAAAGCCATGTATAAAAAACCTGGAGACAATATCATATTGAATGGGGAAAAGTTGAAATCATACCTCTTAAGAACTGAAAAAAAACCCAAGAATGCCAAATTTCCCCACTCCTATTCAACATAGTATTGGAAGCCTTAGACAAAGCAATCAGGCAAAAGACAGAAATAAAATGTATCCAAATTGAAAAGAAGGAAGTAAAATTATTCCTGTTTAACAATGATATAATTGTATACCTAGAATACCCTAAAGACCTCACTAAAAGACTCCTAGATTTGACCACTGAATTCAGTAAAGTTTCAGGAATCAAAATCTGTGTTCAAAAATCAGCAGCATTTCTATGCAACAATAATGATCAATACAAGAACCAAATTAATAGGTTAATACCATCTACAATGGCTACAAAAAATAAGATACCTAGGAATATATTTAACAAAACAAGTAAAAGATCTCTGCCAGAAACTATAAGACACTGATTAAAGAAATTGCAGAAGATACAAACAAATGTAATACATTCCATGTTCATGGATTGGAGAAAAAAATCACTAAGATTACCATACTGCTCAAAGCAATTTACAGATTCAATAAAATTCCTATCAGAATACCAACATCATTTTTAACATGATTTGAAAAATGATCCTAAAATTCACATGGAACAACAACAACAAAAAGCCTGAATAGCCAAAACAATCTTAAGCAAAAAGAACAAAGCTGGAAGCATCACATTACCTGACATCAAATTATACTACAACACTATAGTAATGAAAACACCATGATACTCGTATAAAAATAAAGATATAGATTTAAAAAACAGGATAGATAATGAAGAAATAAAGTGACATACCTACAACCAACTGATGTTTCACAAATTCAACAAAAACATGCACTGGGAACACCCTCTTCAATAATTGGTGCTGGGAAAATTGGATTGCCATGTGCAGAAGAATAAAACTGGACCACTATTCCTCACCATATACAAAAATTAACTCAAGATTGATTAAAGACTTAAATATAAGACTTGAAACTATAATAATACTCAAAAATAATCTGGTAAAAGTTCTTCCGGACATGGGCTCTGACAAAAAATTCATGACTAAGATCTCAAAAGCAAATGCAACAAAAAATAGAAAAATGAGACAATGAAACTAAAAAGCTTTTGCATAGCAAGAGAAATAATCAACAATATGAAGAGATAATCTGCAGGATGGGAGAAAATATCTTTAAACTATGCATCTGATGAAGAGCCAGCATCCGGAATCTATGAGGAACTCAAGCAAATCAACAACAACAAAAAGCCCCACTAAAAAGTAGGTAAAAGACACTAATAGACATTTTGAAAAAGACATGTAAATGGCCAAGAAGCATATGAAAAAATGCTCCACGTTACTAATTTTCAGGGAAATGCAAATTAAAACCACAATGAGGTACCATCTTATACTAGTCATAATGGCTATTATTAAAAAGTCAATATATAACAGATGTTGGCAAGGATATGGAGAAAAGGAGACCCTTTTACACTGTTAGTGTGAATTTATATTAGTACAGTCTCTTTGGAAAACAGAAAAGATATTTCTCAAACAACTAAAAACACAACTATCATTTGATCCACTAATCCCACTACTCGGTATTTACCCAAAGAAAAAGAAATTAAAAAGATAGCTAGATTCATGTGTTTACCACAACGCTATATAAAATATCAAGGACATGGAAAAAAACTTAAGTGTCCGTCAACAAAATATTGGATAAAAAATATTATATATATATCATATATATCCTATATGTATAGATCGCATATATGATCATATAGATCATATAGATCACATATATGATCATATAGATCACATATATGATCATATAGATCATATAGATCACATATATGATCATATAGATCACATATATGATCATATAGATCACATATATGATCATATAGATCACATAGATCATATATATGATCATATATATATATGGCATGGAACCCTACTCAACCATAAAAAATAATGAAATAATCTACTTTGCAGTAACATGAGTAGTACTGGGGACCATTACCTTAAGTAAAATAACTCAGAAACAGAAAGTCAACTACCACATGTTCTTAAGTGTAAGTGGAAGCTAAATAATTTGTACACATGGACATAGAGAGTGGAATAATAGTCATTGGAAACTTGAAAAGATGGAAAAATGGGTGTGGGTGAGAAATGATAAATTGCTTAATGGGTACAATATACACAATTTGGGTGATGACTACACCAAAAGCCCAGACTTCACCACTATGCCATATATCCATGTAAAAAAAAAACTGTAGTTGTATCTAAATCTATTTTAAAACCAAATAGATATGCATTATATTGTCCAGGAGGAAGATATGGTAATAGTTACCATCCTCTATCCACCCAACATGATTTCAAAATATAAAAAACAAAACTGCAAGAAATGTTAGGTGGAACCAGCAAATTTACAATCATAGTGGAGTATTTATTTATTTTTTAAATTACACTTTAAATTCTGGGATACATGTGCAGAACGGGCAGCCTTGCTACATAGGTACACACATGCTATGGTGGTTTGCTGCACCCATCAACCCATCATCTGCATTAGATATTTCTCCTAATGCTATCCCTCCCCTAGATCACCACCCCTACACAGGCCGTGGTGTGTGATGTTCCTCTCCTTCTGTCTATGTTTTCTCATTGTTCAACTTCCACTTATGAGTGAGAATATGTGGTATCTGGTTTTCTGTTACTGTGTTAGTTTGCTGAGAATGATGGTTTCCAGCTTCATCCATGTCCCTGCAAAGGGCATGAACTCATCCTTTTTTATGGCTGCATAGCATTCCATGGCATATATGTGCCACATCTTCTTAATCCAGTCTATCATTGATGGGCATTTGGGTTGGTTCCAAGTCTTTGCTGTTGTGAATTTTGCTGTAATAAACATACATGTGCATGTGTCTTTATAGTAGAATGATTTATAATCCTTTGGGTATACACCCAATATTGGGATTGCTGGGTCAAATGGTATTTCTGGGTATAGATCCTTGAGGAATTGTTACACTGTCTTCCACAATGGTTGAACTAATTTACACTCCCACCAACAGTGTAAAAGCGTTTCTATTTCTCCATAGTGGAGTCTTTAATACATCTCTTTTCGAAATAGACATCTCAAAAGCACACAAAAAGTAAAACTATAGGGTATTTGAATACCAACAAACTGGTTTGAGAAGGTAAAGTGTATAAAACATTATATCTAACAGAGAATTAGCCATAAAGAATACATCTTTAATTTTCCTGCTTTCAAGAAAACAAAACAAAACAAAACAAAAGGTTTTCTTGGTCTCAGAGAAAACAAAAGAGCTGCCAGGGTCATGCAAGCAGTTAATGTACAAATTCCGATTCCTGGTATAGGTGGCTTCATATGCCCGTCCCTGTTTCCACTCATAGAACAAAGTTGCTGTAGAATTTTCAACTGAAGAGAAAGTGGAAAAAAGGAGAGTGTGAGCTTATACAGCACACTACCTTTCTCTCTTTTCTACTTTGGTTTGGAGGATTATTATGTGCAATTAAGTGTGAAGTAGGAAAAATGATACACATAGGGGTATATGTGGGCAAGGCAAGGACTTATACTTCCCAAGCAAAAGATATATGGCTTAAAACACATTCAAAATACCACTGATTATAGTAACCCCAAAATTTGTTTTAACATGTTTGTTGTCACTATCATTTCTCAGATCACATCCTCATAGCTGTCAGGGATTAGACACTGTAGATAGTTCTAGTTAAGGTGAGCAAAGGGAGTTCTTGTTTAGGAAGCCCATCTTGGTATACAGAGCAAAACAACACAAGTAGAGATGGGCAAGAACTCACTATCTCCATTCCAAGGAACTACCCCAAATCAAAATCCGTGTTTTTATGCCTCCTTCTTTCCAACTGTTGTCCTATGTTTTGGAGTCTAGAGTGACTACTCTTACAATGAAAGCATGTTCTTCAAATTAGAACTTCATCACTGTTTTCAACAAATATTTGATATGCAATTGTTCAGATTCACAAAAAATACATTCACAACGTCACAGGAAATTTGAATTTAATTTTCGTTAGCAAAATAAAAATGGGTTGGTAGTTTATGTGAGTATAATTTTACTAATATGCCTTTGAATGGTGGTAAAAATGTTTTTATATTGTTGAATTTGTTTATTTTTTATATCCAGTATAACAAGCTTTGACTTTTTATTCACTTATTTTGTAGGTTTTATTTTACATTCAGGGGTAAATGTGCAGGTTTGTTATATAGGTAAATTGTATGTCATGGGAGGTTGGTGTACGTATTATTTTGCCACACAGGTAATAAGGATAATACCCAATAGGTAGATTTTTTTTTATCTTCACCTTCCTCCCTTCTTCCACGTACAAGTAGGTCCAGTTTCTGTTGTTTCCTTTTTTGTGTCCACAGTCATCAATATTTATCTACCACTAAAAAGCGAGAACATGTGATTTTCTCTTCCTCTATGTTCGATTAGGATAAAGACATCCAACTCCAACAATGTTGCTGCAAAGGACATGATCTCATTCTTTATTATGACTGTGTAGTATTCCATGTTGAATATGTACCACATTTTTAAGTCCAGTTGGTTTTGAGCATTTAGGTTGATTCCATGACTTCAATATTGTGGATAGTGCTGCAATAAACATACGTGTACATGTGTCTTTATGATAAAATGGTTTCTATTCATTTGGATATATACCCTGTAATGGGACTGCTAGGTCAAATGGTAATTCTGACGTGATTTCTTTGAGAAATTGCTAGCATTAGACTTCTGGTAGAATTTGGCTGTGAATCCATTTGGTTGGTCCTGTGCTTTTCCTTGTTGGTAGGCTTTTTATTACTGATACAATTTTGAAACTCATTACTGGTCTGTTCAAGAATACACTTCTCCTGATTCAATCTTGGAAGGTTGTAAGTGTCCAGAAATGTATCTATTTCTTCTAGATATTCTAGCTTTTGTGCATAGAAGTGTCTGTAGTAGTCCCTGAGGGTTTTTTTTGTTGTTGTTGTCGTATTTTCGTGGGGTCAGTTGTAATGTCCCTTTGTCATTTCTAACTGTATTTATTTGGATCTTTTCTCTCTTTTTTCTCTATTCATCTAGCTGGTGGTCTGTCATCAATTTTTTCAAAGGTCCAACTCCTGGATTTTTAAAAATCTTTTTTATTTATTTATTTTTTGCATCTTAATTCTCTTCAGTTCAGCTTCAATTTTGTTTCTTTCCCATCTTCTGCTAGTTTTGTGGTTGGTTTGCCATTGTTACTCTAGGTCCTCTATTTATGATGTTAGGTTGTTAACTGAGATCTTTCTAGCTTTTTCATGTGTGCATTTACAGCTATAAACTTCTCTCTTAATACTGTTTTAGCTGTATACTAGAGATTCTAATATTTTGTATACTTGTTCTCACTAGTTTCAAAGAACTTCAGGATTTTATTGTTTACCCAAAAGTCATGCAGAAGCAAGTTGCTTAATTTAAATGTAATTTTGTTTTTAAGTGATTCATTTTTTATTATTTCATATTTTTATTACACTGTGGTCTGTGACCATGGCTGGATTATTTATTTTTTTTAATTTCCAGAGGATTGTTTTATGTCCAATTGTGTGGTTGATTTTAGAGTATGTGCCATGTGCAGATGAGATGACTGTATATTCCTTATTTTGGGATGGAGAGTTCTGTAGATGTCTATTATGTAAATTTAGTCAAGTGTCCAGTTAAGGTCTTGAATATCTTCTTTAGTTATCTGCCTTGATGATCTAATACTGTCAGTAAGCTGTTGAAAGGTGTTGAAGTCTTCATCTATTATTGTGTAGTTATCTAAGTCTCTTCACAGGTGTCTAAAAATTTGCTTTATGAGTCTGGATGCTCTTGTTTAGGTACATGTATATTTAGGATAGTTAGATCTTCTTGTTGAAATTAGTCTTTTATTCTTTCTTTATTATTATTACTTTTTATTATACTTTAAGTTCTGGGATACATGTGCAGATCATGCAGGTTTCTTACATATGTATACATGTGCCATGGTGGTTTGCTGCACCCATCAACCTGTCATCTATATTATGTATTTCTCCTAATGCTATCCCTCCCCTAGACCACCACCCCCCAACAGACCACTGTGTGTGATGTTCTCCTCTCTGTGCCCATGTGTACTCATTGTTCAACTCCCACTTATAAGTGAGAACATGCAGTGTTTTGTTTGCTGTTCTTGTGTTAGTTTGCTTAGAATGATGGTTGCCAGCTTCATTCATATCCCTGCAAAGGACATGAACTCATGCTTTTTGATGGCTGCGTAGTATTCCATGGTGTATATGAGCCACATTTTCTTTATCTAGTCTATCATTGAAAGGCATTTTGGTTGATTCCAAGTCTTTGCTATTGTAAATAGTGCTGCAGTAAACATACATGTGCATGTGTCTTTATAGTAGAATGATTTATAATCCTTTAGGTATATACCCAGTAATGGGATTCCTGGGTCAAATGGTATTTCTGGATCTAGAAAATTGAATAATTGCCACACTGTCTTCCACAGTGGTTGAACTAATTTACATTTCCACCAACAGTGTAAAAGCTTTCCTAGTTCTCCACATCCTCTCCAGCATCTGAAGTTTTCCAACTTTTTAAAGATCACCATTGTAACTGGCATGAGATGGTATCTAATTGTGGTTATGTTTTGCATTTCTCTAATGAACAGTATGATGAGCTTCTTTTTACATGTTTTTTGGCCAGATAAATATCTTCTTTTGAGAAGTGTCTGTTCATATTATTTGCCCACTTTTGGATGGGGTTGTTTTATCTTGTAAATTTGTTTAAGTTTCTTGTAGATTCTGGATATTATCCCTTTGTCTGATGGATAGATTGCAAAATTATACTCTGATTCTGTATGTTGCCTGTTCAATCTCATGATAGTTTCTTTTTCTGTGCAGAAGCTCTTCAGTTTAATTAGATCCCCTTGTCAATTTTAGCTTTTGTTGCCATTGCTTTTTCTGTTTTAGTCATGAAGTCTTTTCCCGTGCCTATGTCCTGAAAGGTATTGCCTAGGTTTTCTTCTAGGGTTTTTATGGTTTTAGGTCTTATGTTTAAATCTTTAATAAATTTTGAGTTAATTTTTGTATAAGGTTTAAACAATGGGTCCAGTTTTAGTTTTCTTCCTATGGCTAGCCAGTTTTTCCAACACTGTTTATTAAATAGGGAATCATTTCCCCATTGTTTGTTTTTGTCAGGTTTGTCAAAGATCAGGTAGTTGTAGATGTGTGACGTTATTTCTGAGGCCTCTGTTTTGTTCCATTGGTCTATACACCTGTTTTGGTACTAGTACCATGCTGTTTTGGTTACTGTAGCCTTGTAGTATCGACTGAAGTCAGGTAGCATGATGCCTCCAGCTTTGTACCTTTTGCTTAGGATTGCCTTGGCTATATGGGCTCTTTTTTTGTTCCACATGAAATTTATTTATTTATTTTTATTTATTTTATTTTTTATTATAATTTAAGTTTTAGGGTACATGTGCACAATGCAAAAGATAGTTACATATGTATACATGTGCCATGTTGGTGTGCTGCACCCAGTAACTCATCATTTAACATTAGGTATATCTCCAAACGCTATCCCCCCCTCCCCACCCCACAACAGGCCCTAGTGTGTGATGTGCCCCTTCCTGTGTCCATGGGTTCTCTTGTTCAATTCCCGCCTGTGAGTGAGAACATGCAGTGTTTGATTTTTTCTCCTTGCAATAGTTTGCTGAGAATGATGGTTTCCAACTTCACCCATGTCCCTAAAAAGGACATTAACTCATCATTTTTTATGGCTGCATAGTATTCCATGGTGTATATGTGCCACATTTTCTTAATCCAGTCTATCATTGTTGCACACTTGGGTTGGTTCCAAGTCTTTCCTATTGTGAATAGTGTTGAAATAAACATACGGGTGCATGTGTCTTTACAGCAACATGTTTTACAATCCTTTGGGTATATACCCAGTAATCAGATGGCTGGGTCAAATGGTATTTCTAGTTCTAGATCCCTGAGGAATCACCACACTGACTTCCACAATGGTTGAACTAGTTTACAGTCCCACCAACAGTGTAAAAGTGTTCCTATTTCTCCATATCCTCTCCAGCAACTGTTGTTTCCTGACTTTTTAATCATCGCCATTCTAACTGGTGTGAGATGGTATCTCATTGAGGTTTTGATTTGCATTTGTCTGATGGCCAGTGATGATTAGCATTTTTTCATGTTTTTTTGGCTGCATAAATGTCTTCTTTTGAGAAGTGTCTGTTCATATCCTTTGCCCACTTTTTGGTGGGGTTGTTTGTTTTGTTCTTATAAATTTGTTTGAGTTCATTGTAGATTCTGGATATTAGCCCTTTGTCAGATGAGTAGGTTGCAAAAACTTTCTCCCATTCTATAGGTTGCCTGTTCACTCTGAGGGTAGTTTCTTTTGCTGTGCAGAAGCTCTTTAGTTTAATTAGATCCCATTTGACAATTTTGGCTTTTGTTGCCATAGCTTTTGGTGTTTTAGACATGAAATCCTTGCCCATGCCAAGGTCCTGAATGGTATTGCCTAGGTTTTCTTCTAGGGTTTTTATGGTTTTAGGTCTAACATTTAAGTCTTTAATCCATCTTGAATTAATTTTTGTATAAGGTGTAAAGAAGGCATCCAGTTTCAGCTTTCTACATATGGGTGGTGAGTTTTCTCAGCACCATTTATTAAATAGGGAATCCTTTCCCCATTGCTTGTTTTTGTCAAATTTGTCAAAGATCAGATGGTTGTAGACATGCGGCATTATTTCTGAGGGCACTGTTCTGTTCCATTGGTCTGTATCTTAGTTTTGGAACCAGTACCATGCTGTTTTGGTTACTGTAGCCTTGTAGTATAGTTTGAAGTCAGGTAGTGTGATGCCTCCAGCTTTGTTCTTTTGGCTTAGGATTGACTTGGCAATGCAGGCTCTTTTTTGGTTCCATATGAACTTTTAAGTAGTTTTTCCAATTCTGTGAAGAAAGTCATTGGTAGCTTGATGGGGATGGCATTGAATCTATAAATTACCTTGGGCAGTATGGCCATTTTCATGATATTGATTCTTCCTACCCATGAGCATGGAATGTTCTTCCATTTGTTTGTATCCTCTTTTATTTCATTGAGCAGTGGTTCGTGGTTCTCCTTGAAGAGGTCCTTCACAGCCCTTGTAAGTTGGATTCCTAGGTATTTTATTCCCTTTGAAGCAATTGTGAATGGGAGTTCACTCATGATTTGGCTCTCTGTTTGTCTGTTATTGGTGTATAAGAATGCTTGTGATTTTTGTACATCGATTTTTTGTCCTGAGACTTTGCTGAAGTTGCCTATCAGCTTCAGGAGATTTTGGGCTGAGACAATGGGGTTTTCTAGATATACAATCATATCTTCTGGAAACAGGGACAATTGGACTTCCTCTTTTCCTAATTGAATACAATTTATTTCCTTCTGCTGCCTGATGGCCCTGGCCAGAACTTCCAACTTTATATTGAATAGGAGTGGTGAGAGAGGGCTTCCCTGTCTTGTGCCAGTTTTCAAAGGG
The DNA here is from genome assembly GCF_000001405.40 of Homo sapiens. Lineage (NCBI taxonomy): Eukaryota > Metazoa > Chordata > Mammalia > Primates > Hominidae > Homo > Homo sapiens. Next base: position 76,675,914 of record NC_000023.11, on the reverse strand, counting down.
AATGCTTCCAGTTTTTGCCCATTCAGTATGATATTATCTGTGGGTTTGTCATAGATAGCTCTTATTATTTTGAGATACATCCCATCAATTCCTAATTTATTGAGAGTTTTTAGTATGAAGTTCTGTTGAATCTTGTCAAAGGCCTTTTCTGCATGTATTGAGATAATCATGTGGTTTTTGTCTTTCGTTCTGTTTATATGCTGGATTACGTTTATTGATTTACATATGTTGAACCAGCCTTGCATCCCAGGGATGAAGCCCACTTGATCATGGTGGTTAAGCTTTTTGATATGCTTCTTTGCCATGGTTTCGAACTTCCTCCTTTAGCTCAGAGTAGTTTGATCGTCTGAAGCCTTCTTCTCTCAACTCGTCAAAGTCATTCTCTGTCCAGCTTTGTTCCATTGCTGGTGAGGAGCTGCGTTCCTTTGGAGGAGGAGATGCACTCTGATTTTTAGAGTTTCCGGTTTTTCTGCTCTGTTTTTTCCCATCTTTGTGGTTTATCTACCTTTGGTCTTTGATGATGGTGATGTTCAGGTGGGGTTTTGGTGTGGATGTCCTTTCTGTTTGTTAGTTTTCCTTCTAACATTTAGGACCCACAGCTGCAGCTCTGCTGGAGTTTGCCGGAGGTCCACTCCAGACCCTGTTTACCTGGGTATCAGCAGCAGAGGCTGCAGAACAGCGGATATTGTTGAACAGCAAATGTTGCTGCCTGATCGTTCCTCTGGAAGTTTTGTCTCAGTGGAGTACCCGGCTATGTGAGGTGTCAGTCGGCCCCTGCTTGGGGTGTCTCCCAGTTACGGTACTCAGAAGTCAGGGAACCACTTGAGGAGGCAATCTGTCCGTTCTCAGATCTCCAGCTGCATGCTGGGAGAACCACTATTCTCTTCAAATCTGTCAGACAGGGACATTTAAGTCTGCAGAGGTTTCTGCTGCCTTTTGTTTGGCAATGCCCTGCCCCCAGAGGTGGAGTCTACAGAGGCAGGCATGCCTCCTTGAGTTGCAGTGGGCTCCACCAAGTTCAAGCCTCCTGGCCACTTTGTTTACCTACTGAAGCCTTGGCAATGGCGGGCACCCCTCCCCCAGTCTGGCTGCCGCCTTGCAGTTTGATCTCAGGCTGCTGTGCTAGCAATGAGCGAGGTTCCATGGGTGTAGGACCCTCTGAGGATATAATCTCCTGGAGTGCCATTTGCTAAGACCATTGGAAAAGTGCAGTATTAGGGTGGGAGTGACCCGATGTTCCAGGTGCCATCTGTCACTGCTTTCTTCGACTAGGAAAGGGAATTCCCTGATCCCTTGTGCTTTCTGGGTGAGGCAATGCCTCGCCCTGCTTTGGCTCACACTTGGTGCACTGCACCCACTGTCCTGCACCCACTTTCCAACACTGCCCAGTGAGATGAACCTGGTACCTCAGTTGGAAATGCAGAAATCACCTGTCTTCTGTCGCTCACGCTGGGAGCTGTAGACTGGAGCTTTTCCTATTTGGCCATCTTGGCTCCACCCACCTCCATATGAAATTTAAAATATTTTTTTTTTCTAATTCTGTGAAGAAGGTCAGTGGTAACTTGATGGGGATAGCACTGAATCTATAAATTACTTTGGACATTATGGCCATTTTCACGATATTGATTCTATCCATGAGCATGGAATATTCTTCCATTTTTTTGTGTCCTCTCTTGTTTCCTTGAGGAGTGGTTTGTAGTTCTCCTTGAAGAGGTCATTCACATACCTTGTAAGTTGAATACCTAGGTATTTTATTCTCTTTGTAGCAATTGTGAATGGGAGTTGACTCATGATTAGGCCCTTTGTTTGTCTATTATTGGTGTATAGGAATGCTTGTGATTTTTGCACATTGATTTTGTATCCTGAGATTGCTGAAGTTGCTTATCAGCTTAAGGAGATTTTGGGCTGAGACGCTGGGGTTTTCTAAATATACAATCATGTCATTTGCAAACAGAGACAATTTGACTTCCTCTCTTCCTATGTGAATACTCTTTATTTCTTTGTCTGTCCTGATTGCCTTGAACAGAATTTCCAATATTATGTTCAACAGGAGTGATGAGAGAAGGCATGCTTGTCTTGTGCCTGTTTTCAAAGAAAATGATTCCAGCTTTTGCCCATTCAGTACGATATTGGCTGTGGGTTTGTCATAAGTACTTTTATTATTTTAAGGTATGTTCCATCAATACCTAGTTTATTTTTTTGTGATACGTTCCATCAATACTTCCAGGTTTGCCCATTCAGTATGATATTGGCTGTAGGTTTGTTGTAAATAGTTCTTATTATTTTGAGATACATTCCATCAATACCTTGTTTATTGAGAGTTTTCATTGTGAAGGAATGTTGAATTTTATTGAAGGTCTTTTCTGCATCTATTGAGAAAATCATGTGGATTTTGTCATTGATTCTGTTTATGTGATGGTTTATGTCTATTGATTTACGTATGTTGAAACAGCTTTGCAGCCCAAGGATGAAGCCAACTTGATCATGGTGGATAAGCTTTTTGATGTGCTGCTGAATTCAGTTTGCCAGTATTTTTTTGAGAATTTTCGCATCGTTGTTCATCAGGAATATTGGCTTGAAATTTTTTTGTGTGCTTCTCTTCCAGGTTTTAGTATCAGGATGATGTTGGTCTCATCAAATGATTTAGGGAGGAGTCCCTCTTTTTCTATTTTTTGGAATAGTTTCAGAAAAAATGGTACCAGCTCCTCTTTTTACCTCTGGTAGAATTCGGCTGTGAATCCATCTGGTCCTGGGTGTTTTTTGGTTCATAGGCTATTAATTATTGCCTCAATTTCCAAACTTGTTATTGGTCTATTCAGGGATTTGCCTTCTTTCTGGTTTAGTCTTTGGAGGGTGGATGTGTCCAGGAATTCATCCGTTTCTTCTAGATTGTCTAGTTTATTTGCATAATGGTGTTTATAGTGTTCTCTGATGGTGGTTTGTATTTCTGTAGGATCAGTGGTGATTGCTCCTTTTTCAATTTTTATTGTGTCTATTTGATTCTTCTCTCTTTTCTTCTTTATTAGTCTGGCTAGTGTTCTATATATTTTGTTAATCTTTTCAAAATCCAGCTCCTGGATTCATTGATTTTTGAAGGGTTTTTCATGTCTCTGTGTTCTTCAGTTCTGCAATGATCTTATTTTTTGCCTTCTGCTAGCTTTTGTATTTGTTTTCTCTTGTTTCTCTAGTTCTTTTCATTGTGTTATTAGGGTGTTGATTTTAGATCTTTCCCACTTTCTCCTGTGGGCTTTTAGTGCCATAAATTTTTCACTGCTTTAGCTGTGTCCCAGAGATTCTAGTACACTGTGTGTTTGTTCTCATTGGTTTCAAAGAACTTATTTATTTATGCCTTAATTTCATTATTTACCCAGTAGTCATTCAGGAGTAGGTTGTTTGGTTTCCATGTAGATGTGTAGTTTTGAGAGTTTCTTAATTCTGAGTTCCAATTTGATTGCACTGTGTCTGAGAGACTGTTAAAATTTCTGTTCTTTTGCATTTGCTGCAGTGTGTTTTACTTTCAATTATGCTTCATGAATTTCTCATGCTGTGATTTTCAGCTTTATCAGGACATTTATGTTCTTCTCTGAACTGGTTATTCTAGTTAGCAATTTCCTCTAATCTTTTTTCAAGTTCCTTTGCTTTCTTGCATTGGGTTAGTACATGCTCCTTTAGCTCAGAGGAGTTGGTTATTACCCACCTCTGAAGCCTACTTCTGTCAATTTGTCAAACTCATTTTCCATCCAGTTTTGTTCCCTTGCTGGTGAAGAGTTGTGATCCTTTGGTGAAGAGGCATTCTGGCTTTTGGAATGTTCAGCCTTTTTGAGCTGGTTTTTTCATGTCCTCTTGGATTTATCTACCTTTGGTCTTTGATGTTGGAGAACTTCGGAAGTGATTTATGTGTGGATTCCCTTTTTGTTGATGTTGATGCTATTGTTTTCTGTTTGTTAGTTTTCCTTTTAACAGTTAGGACCCTCTGCTGCTGGTGTGCTGCAGTTTGCTGTAGGCCCACTCCAGACCCTGTTTTCCTGGGTATCACCAGAGGAGGCTGTAGAACAGCAAAGATTGCAGCCTCTCCCTTCCTCTGGATGCTTAATCCCAGAGGGGCACCTGCCAGATGCCAGCTGGTGCTCTTCTGTTCGAGGTGTCTGTTGATCCCTGCTTGGAGATGACTCCCAGTGAGGAGGCATGGGGGTCAGGGACCAACATGAGAAGATAGTCTGTCCCTTAGCAGAGCTTGAAGGCTGTACTGGGAGATCCACTGCTCTCTTCAGAACGTTTAAGTCTACTGAAAGTTTAAGTCTACTGAAGCTGTGCCCACAGCCACCTCTTCCTGCAGGTGCTGTGTCCCAGGGAGGTGGGAGTTTTATCTATAAGCCCCTGACTGGGGCTGCTGCCTTTCTTTTGGAGATGCCCTGCCCAGAGAGGAGGAATCTGGAGAGGTAGTGTGGCTATAGTGGCTTTGCAGAGCTGTGGTGGGCTCCGCCCTGTTCGATCTTCCAGGTGGCTTTGTTTATATTGTGAGGGAAAAACGGCCTACTCAAACCTCAGTAATGGCAGATGCCCCTCCCCCCACCAAGCTCAAGCATCCCAGGTCAACTTCAGACTGCTGTGCTAGCAGCAAGGATTTCAAGCCAGTGGATCTTAGCTTGAAGGGCTCCATGGGCATGGGATCCGCTGAGCTAGACCCCTTGGCTCCCTGGCTTCAGCTCCCTTTCCAGGAGAGTGAATGGTTTTGTATTGCTGGTGTTCCTGGTGCCACTGGGTTATATAAAAAATAATCTCCTTCAGCTAGCTAGGTTTCTGCCCAAACAGCCACCCAGTTTGTGCTTGAAACCCAGGGCCCTCGTTGAGTAGGTACCCAAGGGAATCTCCTGGTCTGTGGCTTGAGAAGCCCATGGAAAAACCATAGTATCTGGGCCAGAATGCACCATTTTTCAGGGTACAATCCCTGACGGCTTCCCTTGTCTAGGGGAAAGAGTTTTCTGATCCCTTCCTCTTCCCAGGTGAGTTGATGCCCCACTCTGCTTCTGCTCACCCTCCATGGGCTGCACCCACTGTCTAACTAGTCCCAATGAGATGACCCATGTACCTCAGTAGGAAATGCAGAAATCATCTGCCTTCTGTGTTGATCTCACTGAGAGCTTCAGACCAGAGCTGTTCCTAGTTAGCCATCTTGTCTGGTAATCAAGTCCTTTACTTTTATGTAATGTGTTTTTTTGATCTTCATCATTTTAAAGTCTGTTTTTTTTTTTTTAAATAAGAATGATAACACCTGCTTTTTTCTGTTTTCCACTTGCTTGGAAGTTTTTTCTCCATCCCCTTACTTGGTGTCATTGCATGTGAGATAGATCTCTTGAAAACAACATACCATTGGGTCTTGCTTCTTTTTCTAACTTGCCACTCTGTTTCTTTTAATTGGATCATTTAACCTGTTTACACTTAAGGATAGTATTGATATGTGCAGATTTGTTCTTGTCATCATATTAGCTGGTGATTCTGCTGTTAATACTTGTGTTTGTATTTTGAAGTTCTTAAAGTGAATTTTTCAACTCCATCAGATCAGATTGGTTCTTTTTAAAAATGGCCCTTTTGTTTTTCATTTTCTGTATCATTTTATTGTATTACTTAGAATCCTTGAGTTGGGTTTCTACTTTCTCTTGAGTCTTGGTGACGTTAATTCCTTTACATATTCTAAATTCTACTTCTGTCATTTCATCTATTTCAGCCAGGTTAAGAAACATTGCTGGGGAATTTGTGTGATCATTTGGTGGTAAGAAAACACTCTGGCTTTTTAAATTGCCATAGTTCTTGCACTGATTCTTTCTCATTTTTGTGTGCTGCTGTTTATTCAGTCTTTGTTGTTGTGTTCCTTTGTATGAGTTTTTTTTTTTGCTTTTATCTTCTTTGATGCCATTGGGTGTTTAATTGCGGTGTAAAGGAGGGGAATTAAGTGAACTGGCTTTATTTATGGAATATTTTACAGGGTCATGGCTTACCTCTGCATTCTTGGGCTGCATACTTCAACTCTGTGGGGCTGTTATCAGGCCCCTGGATGTTCTTTGGCCCTTTGAATTTAGCAAACTGCAGTACTGGAGGGGCCAAGGAGTTCCCAGTTTCCACTGGCCACAATACTCTGATGGATAGTTCTGGCTAAAGTGTTCCCACAGGTAGTAGCTGGTGGATCCATGCTCATTCATATATTCCAGTAGCAGTAGCAGTGTGGCAGGCTGCATGCTCATCAGCTGGGTTGGGGTAGTGGTGGGCATGGTGGGACAGTCTCTGTGCAGACATTTGCAGCAGTAGCAATGATGGCATGGCAGGGGATTATGGATGCTGACATCTATGGCAGTGTCAGCATGAGAGAGGCACTGGTGTGTGTGAACCTCGTGTCCTTCATGTGCACATTCATGCTAGCAGTAGGGGTGGTGCAGAGTGGGTGCCTGGGCCACTGACATCCATGTGTGCATTTGCATAGCAGAGGTGTCAGCTTGGGCATGGAGGCTGACTAGCATAGGGCTGGTTGCCTCCTTGTTCATGTCCATGACACAGTTAACAACAGCACAGGGTGGTAGCTAAAAAAGTGGCTTTAAATAATATTGCATCCACATGGAAAAGAAAAAAACAAAGGTTTTTGCTGGTGATGAATGATATGATTTGGATATTTGCATCCTCAAAATTTCATGTTGAAATGTAACTCCCAGTGTTGGAGGTGGGGCCTGGTGATAAGTGTTTCAGGCATGGGGCTGGATTTCTTATGAATGTCTTGGTGCTGTGCTCATGTTAGTGAGTGAATGTGTTCACTTCAGAGCTGGTCATTTAAAGGATTCTGAATCTTTCTCCTTTCCCCCATGCTTACTGTATAACCATGTGACATGCCAGCTCCCAATTTGACTTTTGATTGTATGCTCCCTGAAGCCTTCACCAGAAGCAGATGCAGGCACTATTCTTCTTGGACAGCCTGCAGAGCTGTGAGCCAAATAAACCTCTTTTGTAAATAAATTGCCCAGCCTCAGGTATTTCTTTGTAGCAATACAAAACATAGTAACCCAGAAAATCGGTACTTAGAAGTGTTGTGCTATTACAAAGAAAGTTAAAAATGTAAAAGTAGTTTTGGAACTGGGTAACAGGCAAGGTTCAGAAGAGGTTGGAGGGTTCAGAAGAAGTCAGGGAGATGAGGGAATGTTGGAGCTTCTTAGAGACTGGTTAAGGGGTTCTGATTAAAAATGTTAATAAAAATATGAACAGTGAAGTCCAGGTTGATGAGTTCTCAGATGGAGATGAGGAGGTTCTTGTGAACCAAAGTAAAGGTCAGCCATGGCATGCCTTAGCATCAACTACAAACAATGGCTGTATTGTGTTCATGCCCTAAGGATCAATGGAAGTTGGAACCTAAGAATGACAATCTAAGGTATTTTGTGAAAGAAATTTCTAAGCAGCAAAGCATTCAAGATGTGGTCTGGCTGTTTCTAACATCCTATAGTCAGATCCAGGAGCAAATAAATGACTTAAAGTTGAAATTTATAACTAAAATGCAAACATAAAAGCTTGGAAAATTAAAAAGAAACCATCAAAGTTTGGAAAATTTGCAGCCTGACCATGTAGTTGAAAAAGAAAGAACATTTTATTATTATTGTTATTATTATTATTATCATTATTATTATTATACTTTAAGTTCTAGGGTACATGTGCACAATGTGCAGGTTAGTTACATATGTATACATGTGCCATGCTGGTGTGCTGCACCCATTAACTCTTCATTTAGCATTAGGTATATCTCCTAATGCTATCCCTCCACCCTCCCCCAACCCCACAACAGTCCCCAGAGTGTGATGTTCCCCTTCCTGTGTCCACGTGTTCTCATTGTTCAATTCTCATCTATGAGTGAGAACATGCAGTGTTTGGTTTTTTGTCCTTGCGATAGTTTACTGAGAATGATGATTTCCAATTTCATCCATGTCCCTACAAAGGACATGAACTCATCATTTTTTGTGGCTGCATAGTATTTCATGGTGTATATGTGTCACATTTTCTTAATCCAGTCTATCATTATTGGACATTTGGGTTGGTTCCAAGTCTTTGCTACTGTGAATAGTGCCACAATAAACATACGTGTGCATGTGTCTTTATAGCAGCATGATTTATAGTCCTTTGGGTATATATCCAGTAATGGGATGGCTGGGTCAAATGGTATTTCTAGTTCTAGATGCCTGAGGAATTGCCACACTGACTTCCACAATGATTGAACTAGTTTACAGTCCCACCAACAGTATAAAAATGTTCTTATTTCTCCACATCTTCTCCAGAACCTGTTGTTTGCTCACAAGAAAGAACATTTTTAAGAGAGGAATACAAACGGGCTGTGGAGCAATAACTTTCTAGAGAGATTCATGTGACTAAAATGGATAAAAGTGCTAATAGCCAAAACTATGGATAAAAGACCTTGAAGGCATTTTAGAAAACTTTTAGACAGCTCCTCCCATCACAGGCCAATAGGCCTAGAGTTAAAGAATAATACAGGCATGAAGCCCAACACCCTGAGGCTGCCTTGTACAGCCTCAGGACACTGGTTGGTGCATCCACGCCACTTCGGCTCTATCTGTGGCTCAAAGAACCACAGATAGAGCTCAGGCCACCATTCCAGAAAGAGCAAATTCAAGCGTTGGTGGTTTCCATGTACTGTTAAACCTGAAGTTGTACAGTATGCAAGAGTGAAGGAAGCTTGGTAGATTTCACCTAGATTTCAGAGGATGTGTTGGAAAGCCTGGGTGCACAGGAAGAAACACAGACAGCAGCAGGAGTGGAACCCTTGATCAGAGCCTCTATTAGGTCAGTGTAGAGGTGAAATGTGGAGTTGGAGGCCTCACAAAGAATCCCCATTGGGTCACTGCCTAATGGGGCTATGAGAAAGTGACAACCACCATCCAGATCACAGAATGGTAGAGCCAACAAAAACTTACACCCTGAGCCTGGAAAAGCTGCAAGCACTTAACTCCAACCTGTGAGAGTAGTCCCAGGGGCTGCATCCTGCAAAATCACAGGGGTAGGGCTGCCCAAGGCCTTGGGATTGCACCTCTTATATGAGTGTGCCCAGAATGCAGAATCTGGCATCACAAATTTTGCTGAGGCTTTAAGGCTTAATGTCCATCCTACTGGGTTTCAGATATTGTGGAGCCTGTTGCCCCTTTCCTTCGGCCAGTTTCTCTCTTTAGGAATTGGAATGTTTTCCCAATGCTTTTGCCACCATTGTATCTTGGATATAGATAACTTGTTTTTTATCTCACAGGATCATAAGTAGTAGAAGTATGACTTGAGCCTCAAATTAGACTTTTGACTTTTGAGTTAATGCTGGAACAAATTAAGACTTTGGTAAACTATTGGGAAGGGATTATTGTATTTCACAATGTGAGAAGAGTATGAAATCTGGGGTGGGAGAACAGTGGTAGATATGGTTAGGATATTTGCCCCCTCCAAATCTTATGTTAAACTGTCATCCCCAAGATGGCCGAATAGGAACAGCTCCGGTCTACAGCTCCCAGCATGAGCGACGCAGAAGACGGGTGATTTCTGCATTTCCATCTGAGGTACCATGTTCATCTAACTAGGGAGTGCCAGACAATGGTCACAGGACAGTGGGTGCAGCGCACTGTGCATGAACTGAAACATGGTGAGACAATGCCTCACTCAGGAAGTGCAAGTGGTCAGGGAGTTCCCTTTCCTAGTCAAAGAAAGGGGTGACAGACGGCACCAGGAAAATCGGGTCACTCCCACCCCAATACTGTGCTTTTCCGACGGGCTTACAAAACGGCTCACCAGGAGATTATATCCCACACGTGGCTTGGAGGGTCCTATGCCCACGGAGTCTTGCTGATTGCTAGCACAGCAGTCTGAGATCAAACTGCAGGGCTGCAGCGAGACTGGGGGAGGGGCGCCCCCATTGCCCAGGCTTGGTTACATAAACAAAGCATCCCGGAAGCTCGAACTGGGTGGAGCCCACCACACCTCAAGGAGGCCTGCCTGCCTGCCTCTGTAGGCTTCACCTCTGGGGGCAGGGCAAAGACAAACAAAAAGACAGCAGTAACCTCTGCAGACTTAAATGTCCCTGTCTGACAGATTTGAAGAGAGCAGTGGTTCTCCCAGCAGGCAGCTGGAGATCTGAGAACGGGCAGACTGCCTCCTCAAGTGGGTCTCTGAACCCTGATCCCCGAGCAGCATAACTGGGAGCTACACACCAGTAGGGGCAGACTGACACTTCACATGGCTGGGTACTCCTCTGAGACAAAACTTCCAGAGGAACGATCAGACAGCAGCATTCCCGGTTCACGAAAATCCACAGTTCTACAGCCACAGCTGCAGGTACCCAGGCAAACAGGGTCTGGAGTGGACCTCTAGCAAACTCCAACAGACCTGCAGCTGAGGGTTCTGTCTGTTAGAAGGAAAACTAACAAACAGAAATGACATCCACACCAAAAGCCCATCTGTACATCACCATCATCAAAGACCAAAAGTAGATAAAACCAGAAAGATGGGAAAAAAAAAAGCAGAAAAACTGCAAACTCTAAAAAGCAGAGCACCTCTCCTCCTCCAAAGGAACGCAGCTCCTCACTAGCAATGGAACAAAGGTGGACGGAGAATGACTTTGATGAGTTGAGAGAAGAAGGCTTCAGACGATCAAACTACCCCAAGCTACAGGAGGAAATTCAAACCAAAGGCAAAGAAGTTGAAAACTTTGAAAAAAAAATTTAGACGAATGTATAACTAGAATAACCAATAGAGAGAAGTGCTTAAAGGAGCTGATGGAGCTGAAAGCCAAGGCTCGAGAACTACGTGAAGAATGCAGAAGCCCCTGGAGCAGATGCGATCAACTAGAAGAAGGGGTATCAGTGATGGAAGATGAAATGAATGAAATGAAGCAAGAAGGGAAGTTTAGAGAAAAAAGAATAAAAAGAAATGAACAAAGCCTCCAAGAAATATGGGACTATGTGAAAAGACCAAATCTACGTCGGATTGGTGTACCTGAAAGTGATGGGGAGAATGGAACCAAGTTGGAAAACACTCTGAAGGATATTATCCAGGAGAACTTCCCCAATCTAGCAAGGCAGGCCAACATTCAGATTCAGGAAATACAGAGAACGCCACAAAGATACTCCTTGAGAAGAGCAATTCCAAGACACAAAATTGTCAGATTCACCAAAGTTGAAATGAAGGAAAAAATGTTAAGGGCAGCCAGAGAGAAAGGTCGGGTTACCCACAAAGGGAAGCCCATCAGACTAACAGTGGATCTCTCGGCAGAAACTCTACAAGCCAGAAGAGAGTGGGGGCCAATATTCAACATTCTTAAAGAAAAGAATTTTCAACCCAGAATTTCATATCCAGCCAAACTAAGCTTCATAAGTGAAGGAGAAATAAAATCCTTTACAGACAAGCAAATGCTGAGAGATTTGTCACCACCAAGCCTGCCCTAAAAGAGCTCCTGAAGGAAGCACTAAACATGGAAAGGAACAAAAGGCACCAGCCACTGCAAAATCATGCCAAATAGTAAAGACCATCGAGGCTAGGAAGAAACTGCATCAACTAATGAGCAAAATAACCGGCTAACATCATAATGACAGTATCAAATTCACACATAACAATATTAACTTTAAATGTAAATGGGCTAAATGCTCCAATTAAAAGACGCAGACTGGCAAATTGGATAAAGAGTCAATACCCATCAGTGTACTGTATTCAGGAAACCCATCTCACGTGCAGAGACACACATAGGCTCAAAATAAAGGGATGGAGGAAGATCTACTAAGCAAATAGAAAACAAAAAAAGGCAGGGGTTGCAATCCTAGTCTCGGATAAAATAGACTTTAAACCAACAAAGATCAAAAGAGACAAAGAAGGCCATTACATAATGGTAAAGGGATCAATTCAACAAGAAGAGCTAAGTATCCTAACTATATATGCACCCAATACAGGAGCACCCAGATTCATAAAGCAAGTCCTCAGTGACCTACAAAGAGACTTAGACTCCCACACATTAATAATGGGAGACCTTGACATCCCACTGTCAACATTACACAGATCAATGAGACAGAAAGTTAACAAGGACACCCAGGAATTGACTCAGCTCTGCACCAAGTGGACCTAATAGACATCTACAGAACTCTCCACCCCAAATCAACAGAATATACATTTTTTTCAGCACCACACCACTCCTATTCCAAAATTGACCACATCGTTGGAAGTAAAGCTCTCCTCAGCAAATGTAAAAGATCAGAAATTATAACAAACTGTCTCTCAGACCACAGTGAAATCGAACTAGAACTCAGGATTAAGAAACTCACTCAAAACCGCTCAACTACATGGAAATTGAACAACCTGCTCCTGAATGACTACTGGGTACATAACGAAATGAAGGCAGAAATAAAGATGTTCTTTGAAACCAACGAGAACAAAGACACAACACAACAGAATCTCTGGGACACATTCAAAGCAGTGTGTAAAGGAAAATTTGCAGCACTAAGTGCCCACAAGAGAAAGCAGGAAAGATCAAAAATTGACACCCTAACATTACAATTAAAAGAACTAGAAAAGAAAGAGCAAACATATTCAAAAGGTAGCAGAAGGCAAGAAATAACTAAAATCAGAGCAGAACTGAAGGAAATAGAGACACAAAAAAACCCTTCAAAAAATTAATGAATCCAGGAGATAGTTTTTTGAAAGGATCAACAAAATTGATAGACCGCTAGCAAGACTAATAAAGAAGAAAAGAGAGAAGAATCAAATGGACGCAATAAAAAAAGGTAAAGGGGATATAATCACTGATCCCACAGAAATACAAACTACAATCAGAGAATACTACAATCACCTCTGTGTAAGTAAACCAGAACATCTAGAAGAAATGGATAAATTCCTTGACACATACACCCTCCCAAGACTAAACCAGGAAGAAGTTGACTCTCTGAATAGACCAATAACAGGCTCTGAAATTGTGGCAATGATCAATAGCTTACCAACCAAAAAGAGTTCAGGACCAGATGGATTCACAGCCAAATTCTACCAGAGGTACAAGGAGGAACTGGTACCATTCCTTCTGAAACTATTCCAAACAATTGAAAAAGAGGGAATCCTCCCTAACTCATTTTATGAGGCCAGCATCATCCTGATACCAAAGCCGGGCAGAGACACAAGCAAAAAAGATAATTTTAGGCCAATATCCTTGATGAACACTGATGCAAAAATCCTCAATAAAATATTGGCAAACCAAATCCAGCAGCACGTCAAAAACCTTATCCACCATGATCAAGTGGGCTTGATCCCTGGAATGCAAGGCTGGTTCAACATACGCAAATCAATAAATGTAATCCAGCATATAAACAGAACCAAAGACAAAAACCACATGATTATCTCAATAGATGAAGAAAAGGCCTTTAACAAAATTCAACAACACTTCATGCTAAAAACTCTCAATAAATTAGGTATTGATGGGACGTATCTCAAAATAAGAGCTATCTATGACAAATCCACAGCCAATATCATACTGAATGGGCAAAAACTGGAAGCATTCCCTTTGAAAACTGGCACAAGACAGGGATGCCCTCTCTCACCACTCCTATTCAACATAGTGTTGGAGGTTCTGGCCAGGGCAATTAGGCAGGAGAAGGAAATAAATGGTATTCAATTAGGAAAAGAGGAAGTCAAATTGTCCCTGTTTGCAGATGACATGATAGTATATCTAGAAAACTCCATCGTCTCAGCCCAAAATCTCCTTCAGCTGATAAGCAACTTCAGCAAAGTCTCAGGATACAAAATCAATGTACAAATATCACAAGCATTCTTATACACCAATAACAGACAAACAGAGAGCCAAATCATGAGTGAACTCCCATTCGCCATTGCTTCAAAGAGAATAAAATACCTAGGAATCCAACTTACAAGGGACGTGAATGACCTATTCAAGGAGAAGTTCAAACCACTGCTCAATGAAATTAAAGAGGATACAAACAAATGGAAAAACATTCCATGCTCATGGGCAGGAAGAATCAATATCATGAAAATGGCCATACTGCCCAAGGTAATTTATAGATTCAATGCCATCCCCATGAAGCTACCAATAACTTTCTTCACAGAATTGGAAGAAACTACTTTAAAGTTCAAATGGAACCAAAAAAGGGCCTGAATCGCCAAGTCAACCCTAAGCCAAAAGAACAAAGCTGGAGGCATCACGCTACCTGACTTCAAACTATACTACAAGCCTACAGCAACCAAAACAGCATGGTACTGGTACCAAAACAGAGATATAGATCAATGGAACAGAGCAGAGTCCTCAGAAATAACACTGCATATCTACAACTATCTGATCTTTGACAAACCTGAGAAAAACAAGAAATGGGGAAAGATTCCCTATTTAATAAATGGTACTGGGAAAAAGGGCTAGCCATGTGGAGAAAGCTGAAACTGGATCCCTTCCTTACTCCTTATACCAAAATTAATTCAAGATGGATTAAAGACTTAAACGTTAGAGATAAAAGCATAAAAACTTTAGAAGAAAACCTAGGCATTACCATTCAGGACATAGGCACGGGCAAGGACTTCATGTCTAAAACACCAAAAGCAATCGCAACAAAAGCCAAAATTGACAAATGTGATCTGATTAAACTAAACAGCTTCTGCACAGCAAAAGAAACTACCTTCAGAGTGAACAGGCAACCTACAAAATGGGAGAAAATTTTCGCAACCTACTCATCTGACAAAGGGCTAATATCCAGAATCTACAATGAACTCAAACAAATTTACAAGAAAAAAACAAACAACCCCATCAAAAAGTGGGCAAAGGAGATGAACAGACACTTCTCAAAAGAAGACATTTATGTAGCCAAAAAACACATGAATAAATGCTCACCATCACTGGCCATCAGGGAGATGCAAATCAAATCCACAATTTGATAGCATCTCACACCAGTTAGAATGACAATCATTAAAAAGTCAGGAAACAACAGGTGCTGGAGAGGATGTGGAGAATAGGAACACATTTACACTGTTGGTGGGACTGTAAACTAGTTCAACCTTTTTGAAAGTCAGTGTGGCGATTCCTCAGGGATCTAGGACTAGAAATACCATTTGACCCAGCCATCCCATTACTGGGTACATACCCAAAGGACTATAAATCATGCTGCTATAAAGACACATGCACACGTATGTTTATTGCGGCATTATTCACAATAGCAAAGACTTGGAACCAACCCAAATGTCCAACAACGATAGATTGGATTAAGAAAATGTGGCACATAAACACTATGAAATACTATGCAGTCATAAAAAATGATGAGTTCATCTTTGTAGGGACATGGATGAAATTGGAAATCAGCATTCTCTGTAAACTATCGCAAGGACAAATAACCAAACACCGCATGTTCTCACTCATAGGTGGGAATTGAACAATGAGAACACATGGACACAGGAAGGGGAACATCACACTCTGGGGACTCTTGTGGGGTTGGGGGAGGGTGGAGGGATA
Organism: Homo sapiens; assembly: GCF_000001405.40. Classification (NCBI taxonomy): domain Eukaryota; kingdom Metazoa; phylum Chordata; class Mammalia; order Primates; family Hominidae; genus Homo; species Homo sapiens. The sequence goes on along the minus strand of NC_000023.11, from coordinate 76,660,412 downwards.
GCATTAGGAGATATACCTAATGCTAAATGAAGAGTTAATGGGTGCAGCACACCAGCATGGCACATGTATACATATGTAACTAACCTGCACATTGTGCAAATGTACCCTAAAACTTAAAGTATAATAATAATAAAATAAAATAAAATAAAAATGTTGTTATAGTTATTATTTTTGATTAGCTCATTATTTAATCTTTCTAGTTAGGATAGGAGTAGTTTACATAACACAGTTACAGTGTTATATTTTGAGTTTTTTTTAAATTTCTGTGTACTTACTATTAGCAGCAAGTTATGTACCCTCAGGTGATAATTTATTGCTCACTCATGTTTTTTTCTTTCTAATTGAAGTATTCCCTGTGACATTTCTGTTAGCCAGGTATGGTGTTGATAAGATCCCTTAGACTTTCTTTGTCTGGGAAGGTCTTTGTTTCTCCTTCATGTTTGAAGGATATTTTTGCTAGATATACTATTCTAGGGTAAATGTTTTTCCCTTTAGCACTTTAAAAATATCATGCCACTCTCTCCTGTCCCGAAAGGTTTCCACTGAAAAGTCTTAGGTCAGATGTATTGGAGTTCCATTTTATGTTATATGTCTCTTTTCCTGCTTTCAGGATCCTGTCTTTATTTTCGACCTTTGGTAGTTCAATTATTAAATGATTTGAGGCAGTCTTCGTTGGGTTAAATCTGCTTGGTGTTCTAGAAACTTCTTATATTTGAATATCAATATCTTTCTCCAGGTTTAGGACATTCTCTATTATTATATTTTTGAATAAACTTTCTACTCCCGTCTCTTTATCTCCTCTTTAAGACTAGCAACTCTTCTAACAACTCTTAGAATAACCCTTTTGCAGCTATTTTCTAGATCCTCTAGGCATGCTTCATTGTTTTTTATTCTTTTTTCTTTTGTTCCTCTGACTGTGCATTCTCAAATAGCCTGTCTTCAATCTCACTAATTCTTTCTTTGGCTTGATGAATTCTACTAATAAAGGACTATGATGCATTCTTCAGTATGCCAATTACATTTTTTTCAGTTCCAGAATTTCTGCTTGATTCTTTTAAATTATTTCAATTTATTTACTAAGTTTATCTGATAGAATTCTGCATTCCTTTTCTGTGTTATCTTGAATTTCTTTGAGGTTCCTCTACACAGCTACTTGGAATTCTTTGAAATGTAACATATCTCTGTTTCTCCAAGATTGGCCCCTTGTGCCTTATTTATTTCATTTGGTCAGGTCATGTTTTCCAGGTTGGTGTTGTTAGTAGATGTTCTTCAGTGTCCAGACATTGAAGAGTTAGGTATTTATTGTAGTCTTCACTGACTGAACTTATTGTACCTTTCTTTCTTGGGAAGGTTTTCCAGATATTTAAAATAATTTGGGTGCTGTGATCTAAGTTGTTTCTGCTTTAGGGGACATCCAAACCCAGTAATGCCGTGGTTCTTCCAGACTCTGAGATTACCCACTTGATGGTCTTGGACAAGATCTGGGCAAGTTCTCTGGATTATAAGGCAGTGATCTTTGTTCTTTTCTTTTGCTTTCTCTCAAACAGAGTCTTTGTCTCTGCTCTGAGCCGCCTGATGCCACAACTATGACTGCACTGGGTGAGACCTGAAGCAAACACAGCATTAGGTCTAATTCAAGGCCTTCTGTAACCACTCCTTGGCTGCTGCCTATGTTTACTCAAGGCCCTGGAGCTTACAATCAGCAAGTGGGAATGCAAGTCACACCTGTTTTATTCTCTTCAAGGTGGTGAGGTCTCTCAACCTTCAGATGGGTTCAGAGGTGCTGTCCAGGATTCAGGGTCTTGCAAAGAGATACGTAAATAGAATGCTCCACAATATGTGAAGATATTAGTGTCCCTTGTGAATGCTCAACAAAGACTGACATGAGCAGAGGAGGATTTGAATTATCAGGTAAATAAAATGAAACATTCTGTGGATATCAGTCAGGCTTCATCACAAGGAACTCCTCTTATTTTCCAATGGAATCATGAACAAAGTTGACATGTTGGCAGGGATGGATGTTATTGATGGATTTGTAATGTATCAACTTTGCTGAGCCAAACTACATTTCCTGGAATTTCATTTATTGTATTTTTCCATTTAGGATGGGCCGCAAAGGAGATTCTTCCAAGATTTCAGAAGTTGGAAGGGAAGCAGAATCCATTTGATAACACAAACACATTGTTGCTTATCTGTTGACTCAACTTGGGATGAAGAAGCAGTTGAGCCAGTTGTGTGTGTAGAGCTCAAGGACAAAGGTCCTTAGCTTCTGCAGAATACTATCATCACCAAGCTCACAGGCTTCTAGAGCAGACATGTGCTTCAGTCCATTCTGTGGGCTTCCAGCTTCTACTCTTGGAGTTCCATCCTTTTTTATGATATTACCTTTCTAACTGCATATGCTGTGGACTTCAAGCACTTGAATCAGATGTAGAGACATTATATGGACTGCTTGAGTAGCCCCCACAACTGTGTAAGCCAAATCCCTGTAACAAGTATTTATCCGTCCATCCATTCATCTGTCTGTCTATCTATGAATCTATTGATCTATCTAGCTATATTAGTCCATTCTTGCACTCTATAAAGCACTACACAAGACTGGATAATTTATAAAGAAAAGAGGTTTAATTGACTCATAGGTCCACAGGATGTATAGAAGGCATGGCTGGGGAAGCCTCAGGAAATGTACAGTCATAGCTGAAGGTGAAGAAGAAGCAAGACATGTCTTCACAAGGCCAACAGGAGAGAGACAGTGAGTGAAAGGGGAAGTGCTACACACTTTCAAACAGACCTCATGAGAACTCTGTCATGAGACTGCACTAGGGGGATGGTGCTAAACCATTAGAAACCAGCCCCATGATTCAGTCACCCCCCACCATGCCCTACCTCCAACAATTGGGATCACAATACAACATGAGATTTTGGTAGGAACACAGACAAACCATATCACTATGTATCTATCTTTCACTGGTTCTACTTCTCAGGCTGGACACTGACTGATATAGGAGTTATTCTGAAGCCAGGCCCTTTCCTCTGTGTACTGTCCTTTTTTTGTTCTGGGCCTGCCTTCACCCCCTCATTTCCCCAGTGACCATAGCCAGTAGGTGTATTAAACATGGTTTCAAAAATTGCCTATATTTTATGATGCTTTGACCTTTTGGGGCCTTGATGGATGAGGAGAGACTTCCCTTCCCAGGGCTAGCTAATTCCTAGAGATAGAAAACAACTGCCATCTGAGCACACCTGTCATATGCAAACAAACCAACCCAGAGCCCATGCCTGCTAACTATCTAATTTATTGAGTCACTATCCTCCTGTCTTAGTATTATCCCAGGACCAGGCACTAGGCAACCAGGGGTAGTACCTACAGCTCTGAGCCTACTGACATTGTTTAAACTACTCAATCCTAAGTTACTTCCCTTGAACTGCCTTGTCTTTGTCATGGAAGCCACAACATAGTCCTGTACCTGTGCTTTCCCCTGGCTGCTTCTGCCTCCTAATAGAACCTCGTGCTTCCTCATGTGGCTCTGTGAGGAGCATCGTCCCCTCTTTTCTTGGGAATTGTAAGTAATAAATTCCTCTTGCCAAGGTGGTTTTCTCTGTCTGTCATCTTACCATGCCTGATTAAGACAAATCCTGGGTAAATTTTAAAACAATAGGAAAAAATTGTCATTAAAATGGAAAATAATCCACACAGACAGGAGATCTTTATGACACTCAAATGATACCGTCTACTAGGGTGATACTGTCTACTAGGCATAGTTTGTTAACTAATTTTCTAGTCACGTATGAAGAGAATGACTTACCTGGTAATTTCTTTAATCAGCTAATCAGAGGTGATCCTCCACCAGAAATGTGAATGCTTGAGGGAAAAATTGAAATGAACATAAATCCTTAGAACTATATTTTTGAGAGAGGTAAAAAATTATGGTTATATGAGTATTTCCAAAGATAGCAATTAAGTTGCAAAAATCATATTGAAAATGATGATATTCAAACAAGTACTTAACCCTTACATGTTTTGGTCTCCATGGCTATAGTGGCAGAACTTGTACCCCATTGTTGTATTGATGATGTCATCTGACGTGTAACAGGCATTGGAAGAGTTGTCCTTATGGGTTTAGTGTTTATTCAGCTCAGTGTGGAGAAAAAAATGTTTTTTTAGGAAACTGTGCTTATTTTCTTTCCTCTCACAATTGGATAATAAAACCAAGTTTTACAATTCAGAGAAGAATGACTTATTTCTCGAAATCTAGATTCGGAATACTTCATCTTCAACTGTGTTTATACAAAGTATTTCCTTTATGTAATCTGATATGCACACTGGAAAAGAATTAAATACTGTCAACCAAGATGGAGAAAATCAATGTACATTTGGAACAACGACATTTTTGCAGTCAATGGAAGGACGCCAGTACTTAGACCATGTTCAACTCAAGCAGAAATATTCAGAGGAAGCTGGTATCATTAAGGGACTAAGAGAAATGGGAAAATTGGATATAGTGTGGAAAAGAAATCTAGGTGAAATGGCAATGCTACAGACAATCCAACTTTTAGGAGAGTCTCCAGGTTATGAAAATATGAGGCTGTCTTTGGAGATAATCCCAGATTCTGTAACTAGAAGAGCCTTTTCACATTACCTGCAAAACAACAAACTGCAGTGATAGGAAAATGAAATTGATTTTGAATATGTGTGATACAGATTCTATTCATTGTTATGGAAGTTCACGAAGGTATCTTGGAAAGCTGCCTTCATGTTCATCTCTCTGCTTTACCTAAACACTACTATTTTTAAAACCAGGCCTGCAAAGTGTCTCTGAGATACAGCTAACAGACAAATTACTACAGAAAACATATGACTATGATAATGTTGCAAATGTCTGTGTAATACCTTCCAATGTTAAAATGAAAAGCTGAAGTTATGCTTTCTAGGAAATTTTACAGAAAATCTTTTCATACTTTTGTCAGCAGCAAAATGATCAACTAAGAGCAAGTACAAAGGCTAATTATTTTAATTTACTTCCTTTGAGATTTTGAGTGCCTTTGAAAATTAAACATTTGCTGATTTTTAAAAAATCTGATAATTTTCATGTTATGTGAAGTACTTTCTAATTCCTTATATAATTTATTGTCTATTTCCTAATTTTTATAACTTTGTTAATATTATTACGGATAGTCATTGGATTTTTTTCCTTTTAGAATGATTATAACTGCTTTTCATAAATGCATACAGCATTTGACCCTTCCTGTTTCAGTGAAGCGGTAATAGAAAACATAACATATTAGTCTACGGCCATACAACCCTGAAGATGCCCAATCTTGTCTGATCTCAGAAGCTAAGCAGGGTCAGGCCTGGTTAGTATTTGGAGGGGAGAAAATATAAAATATCAGACATATTTTGATAATTTAATTTAAATAATTACTATAGTTTATTTGATAAGATTTCAACATGATCTTGTTTAGTTATTTTCCCCTCCCCTCTCAGTCAACAGTTAACTATGGCAGTGCTTCATATAATCGAGGATGGCCTTTATTATTTAAACTTGCTGACATTTTCTACCTTGGAAAAAACGTGACCTTTTCTAATGGCATTCTATATTATTGGGGCTGGAGAATTGCATTTATGCAACACACTGACCTGGCTTCTTCACATTTACTTCTTTGGTAAAATTCTATGAACTGAGGAGTTGGTTTATTTTCATCAGTTGTTATTTTTGCAGGGACCCTTATGAAAACTACTTGAATCACACAGTTGGTTCTTAAAAATTAGCATAATGCATACTTTTACTTTTATTCAAAGCTAGGAATCAGACTTATTTAAAAAAAACTAAAAACTTGCCGCTTTCTTTCCTAAGGTAAATTTAGTAGGTTCATACATGTTGGTATAAGGTCTGAAACTCTAAACCACAATGGTTACCTAAACAGCAAGTGGAAGAACAAGGATTTGCTCTCATCTCTGTCTGTCACAAAGTTCTGAGGTCCTAATCATAAATAAAACTGCATCTGAAGAAGTGTGTAATGGAGTTGTTTTACTGCTTTCTTTAAACAAGTTATTCTTCAATCCTTCATTCACAAATTAATTTTTCTTTAGAAAAATTAAGCCATTTTAGATATCAGCTAATTACTGACTTTTGAGCATGCAAGATTTATCATCTTCAATGATATGTTTTCCTTAAGCTTCTGCCCTTTCACATTGCTTTTCTTTTAAAATTTAAGCATTGACTTCTTAGTGTAGAAGCAATTCATGTATGCATTATCTATGAAAATAACAGAAGTTGCATGCTTCTTTCAATTGTTTCTCTAAGGCCAGGAATGGTAATGAAGCTCCAGTTAATATTATAGCTCTGAGTTACTGCATTATACTCTCTCTAGCTTTCCTGACTCACTTGCAACATTTTGGACATAATTTCTTTATCAATTGTGACCCTATTCTTTCTTTTATCTTGAGAACCTGACAGATAAACACACAGACACACACACACACACCAAGCACAAATACATTCCCCACATGTCCATAATAGACCTACATGTTTGTATGTTAGACTTAACTTTGCAAATGACCATAGTTATGGTTTGAATGTGTGTATTCCCCTCAAATTCATATGTTGGAAACTAAGACCCAATGTAATAGTAATAGAAGGGTGCACCCTCCAGCTGAGTTTACACAGAAGCAGGATCACTGGGCCAGAAGCTCTAGCAAGTGTTGCTTACCTGGCTACCAGCGGTGGGAGTTCACTGGGTCACCTGCCCTGCTGTTTGGCTGTATCCCAGAACAACAGGAGGAGGCTGTGTCCTCCAGCCAAATTCACATGGAATCAGGTTAAGAAAGTTTTCTTAACAATCCTAGTTTGTTGAATATTTCTATTATGAAATAGTGTATGGTATTATCAAATGCTTTTCATGCATCTCTTAAAATGATCATGACTTTCCCCCTTTATTCTATTAATATGCTGCATTGCATTGATTGAGATTCAGTTGTTATTTTATAGAATTAACCAGTGAAGCCATCGTCTGATAGGTTTTTCTTTTTGGAAGTTCTTTTAATACTATTATTAGCTCAGTCTTTTTACTTCTTATAGATTCATTTAGACTTTCTGTTTATCTTCGGTCATTTTTGTAGTTTATGCCTTTTTAGGAATGTCTCCATTTAATAAGTCAATCAAGTTTCTGTTATTTAGTGAATCAACTTTGTGATCTAGTATGACAACTAGCCTTTTGGTCTATAATTGTATATAATATTCATTGATTACACATTTTAGTAATTTTTCTTCCCATATTTTCATCAACCTAGCTGAAAGTTTATTAATTTTGTGGATATTTTCAATTAAACAGCTACAGCGTTTGTTGATTTTGTATTCTTTGCTTTACATATTTGCACTAAAAATTTTATTTATTTCTTCCTATTTCATTTGGGTTTAGCTTGTTCTTTTCTCTAGTCTTCAAAGGATACAGTTAAGTTATTCATTCAAAATCTTTCTTCTTTTTAAATATAGACATCTGCACAAGACAGGGATGTCCTCACTCCTATTCAACATAGTGTTGGAAGTTCTGGCCAGGGCAATTAGGCAGGAGAAGGAAATAAAGGGTATTCAATTGGGAAAAGAGGGAGTCAAATTGTTCCTGTTTACAGATGACATGATTGTATATCTAGAAAACCCCATTGTCTCAGCCCAAAATCTCCTTAAGCTGATAGGAAACCTCAGCAAATTATCAGGATACAAAATCAATGTGCAAAAATCACAAGCATTCTTATACACCAATAACAGAGAAACAGAGAGCCAAATCATGAGTGAACTCCCATTCACAATTGCTTCAAAGAGAATAAAATACCTAGGAATCTAACTTACAAGGGATGTGAAGGACCTCTTCAAGGAGAACTACAAACCACTGCTCAATGAAATAAAAGAGGATACAAACAAATGGAAGAACATTCCATGCTCATGGGTAGGAAGAATCAATATCGTGAAAATGGCCATACTGCCCAAGGTAATTTATAGATTCAATGCCATCCCCATCAAGCTACCAATGACTTTCTTCACAGAATTGGAAAAAACTACTTTAAAGTTCATATGGAACCAAAAAAGAGCCTGTATTGCCAAGTCAAACCTAAGCCAAAAGAACAAAGCTGGACGCTTCATGCTACCTGACTTCAAACTATACTACAAGGCTACAGTAACCAAAACAGCATGGTACTGGTACCAAAACAGAGATATAGACCACTGGAACAGAACAGAGCCCTCAGAAATAATGCCACATATCCACAACTATCTGATCTTTGACAAACCTGACAAAAACAAGAAATGGGGAAATGATTCCCTATTTAATAAATGGTGCTGGGAAAACTGGCTAGCTATATGTAGAAAGCTGAAACTGGATCCCTTCCTTACACCTTATACAAAAATTAATTCAAAATGGATTAAAGACTTAAATGTTAGACCTAAAACCAGAAAAACCCTAGAAGAAAACCGAGGCAATACCATTCAGGACACAGGTATGGGCAAGGACTTCATGTCTAAAATACCAAAAGCAATGGCAACAAAAGCCTAAATTGACAAATGGGATCTAATTAAACTAAAGAGCTTCTGCACAGCAAAAGAACCCACCATCAGAGTGAACAGGCAAACTACAGAATGGGATAAAATTGTTGCAATATACTCATCTGACAAAAGGCTAATATCCAGAATCTACAATGAACTCAAACAAATTTACAAGGAAAAAACAACCTCATCAACAAGTGGGCGAAGAATATGAACAGACACTTCTCAAAAGAAGACATTTATGCAGCGAAAAAACACATGAAAAAATGCTCATCATCACTGGTCAACAGACAAATGCAAATCAAAACCAAAATGAGATACCATCTCACACCAGTTAGAATGGGGATCATTACAAAGTCAGGAAACAACAGGTGCTGGAGAGGATGTGGAGAAATAGGAACACTTTTACACTGTTGGTGGGACTGTAAACTAGTTCAACCATTGTGGAAGTCAGTGTGGCGCTTCCTCAGGGAGCTAGGACTAGAAATACCATTTGACCCAGCCATCCCATTACTGGGTATATACCCAAAGGATTATAAAATATGCTGCTATGAAGACACATGCACACGCATATTTATTGCAGCACTATTCACAATAGCAAAGACTTGGAACCAACCGAAGTGGCTATCTATGATAGACTGGGAGGGATAGCATTAGGAGATATACCTAATGTTAAATGATGAATTAATGGGTGCAGCACACCAACATGGCACATGCATACATATGTAACAAACCTGAACATTGTGCACATGTACCCTAATACTTAAAGTATAATAAAAAACCAAAGTTGCGTTCAGATAAAAATAAATAAATAAATATAGACATTTAAAATTATAGATTTTCTTCTGAGCAGTGCTTTAGTTGCATCTCATTAGTTTTTGTATGATGTGTCTTCATTTTTATACAAAGCGGGAAAGATCTACATTTGACACACTAACACCACAATAAAAGAACTAGAGAAGCAAGAGCAAACAAATTCAGAAGCTTACAGAAGACAAGAGATAACTAAGATTGTAGCAGAACTGAAGGAGATAGAGACACGAAAAACCCTTCAGAAAATCAACGAATCCAGGAGCTTGTTGTCTGAAAAGATTGACAAAATAGATAGACTGCTAGCCAGATTCATAAAGAGGAAAAGAGAGAAGAATCAAAAAGACACAATACAAAATGAAAAAGGGGTGATCACCACTGATCTGACAAAAATACAAACTGCCATCGGAGAATACTATAAACAAATCTATGCAATTAAACTAGAAAATCTTCTCAGCTAACTATCGCAAGGACAGAAAAACCAAACACCGCATGTTCTCACTCATAGATGGGAATTGAAAAATGAGAACACTTGGACACAGGAAGGGGAATATCACACACTGGGGCCTGTTGTGGGGTGGGGGAGTGGGGAAGGATAGCATTAGGAGGTATACCTAATGTAAATGACGAGTTAAGGGGTGCAGCACACCAACATGGCACATGTACACATATGTAACAAACCTGCACGTTGTGCACATGTACCCTAGAACTTAAAGTGTAATAAATATATATATATATATAAATAAAATAAAAAATAGACTAGAAAATCTAGAAGAAATGGCTAAATTCCTGGACACACACACTCTCTCAAGACTAAACCAGGTTCCAAGTCTTTGCTATTGTGAGTAGTGCCGCAATAAACATATGTGTGCATGTGTCTTTATAGCAGCAGGATTTATCATCCTTTGGGTATATACCCAGTAATGGGATGGCTGGATCAAATGTATTTCTAGTTCAAGATCCCTGAGGAATCGCCACACTGACTTCCACAATGGTTGAACTAGTTTACAGTCCCACCAACGTGTAAAAGTGTTCCTATTTCTCCACATCCTCTCCAGCCAAATGTCCAACAATGATACACTGGATTAAGAAAATGTGGTACATATACACCATGGAATACAATGCAGCCATAAAAAATGATGAGTTCATGTCCTTTGTAGGTACATGGATGAAGCTGGAAACCAACATTCTCAGCAAACTATCTCAATGACAAAAAAAACAAACACTGCATGTTCTCACTCATAGGTGGGAATTGACCAACGAGAACACATGGACACAGGAAAGGGAACATCACACACCGGGGCCTGTTGTGGGGTGGGGGGAGGGGGGAGGGATAGCATTAGGAGATATACCTAATGTAAGTGACGAGTTGATGGGTGCAGCACACCAACATGGCACATGTATACATATGTAACTAACCTGCACATTGTGAACACATACCCTAAAACTTAGAGTATGATAATAAAAAAAGAAAACAACAACAACAAAAAGACTAAACCAGGAAGAAGTCGAATCCCTCAATAGACCAATAATAAGTTCTGAAATCGAGGCAGTAATTGATAACCTACCATCCAAAAAAAGTCCAGGACCAGACGGATTCACAGCCAAATTCTACCAGAGGTACAAAGACGGGCTGTTACCATTTTTTTCTGAAATTATTCCAAGCAATAGAGAAAGAAGGCCAACCTCACCCTGATAACAACACCTGGTGTTTTCTAATCTTCTTTCTGATTTCTTCTTTAAAGTGTTGATTAATTAAAAGTGTAATTTTTCAATGTTACATATTTGTGGATTTCCTAATATTTATTTTGTTATTTATTTCTAATTTTATTCCATTGTGGTCGGAGAACTGACTTTGTATAATTTCATTCGTCCAAAATATGTTGAGCTGTGTTTTAAGGCCTAATATATCATTTATCCTGGAGAATGTTTTATGTGCACTTGAGAAGAACATGTATTCTTTTGTGGTTCAGTTGGTTGGTCTATGAATTTCTGTTATGTCTTATTGCTTTTTAGTATTTTTATGTCCTCTATTTCCATTTTGCAATTTCGTGTACTTGTTTAATCTATTATTGTAAGTGGGATATTATAAGTATTCGTCTGTTATTAGAGAACTGTATATTTGTCCCTTCAACTCTGTCAATGTTTTTCTTTATATGTTTTGGAGCTCTCTTGTTAGGTGTTTTGGGTTTAGATTGTTTTTCTTATTTTAATTTCTTAAGGTACAAATTTAGATTATTGATGTGAGATCTTCCTGTTTAGATACAGACATATAAACTACAAATTTTCTTTGAGCATTTCTTTACCTGCAGCCCAAAAGATTTTATACGTTGTGTTTTCATTTTTATTTTTCTCAAAATATTTTCTAATTTTCCTTGTAATTTCTTTATTCTCCCTTTGAATTTTAAGAGTTTTCTTTAATTTCTACATATTTTTGGATTTCTCATTTTTTAAATCAATTTGTAGTTTCATTCCATTATAATTGGACAATTTACTTTGCATAAGTTCAGTAATTTTAATTTTTTGAGGCTTGTTTTACGGCCTAGAACATGATCTATCCTGGAGAATGTTCCATAGTACTTCAGAAGAATGTGTAGTCTGCTGTTATTGGTTAAAGTGTTCTATACATGTCTGTTACGTTTAGTTGACTTATAGTGTTGTTCACGACTACTATTTTCTTTTTGCTATAGTTTCAATGCTTGTTCCCTTCAAAATTCATGTGGAAATTTAATTGTAATTGTGGCAATATTGAGAGGTGGAACTTTTAGAGGTGTTTAGGTCATAAGGGCTCTACCCTCATGAAGGTACTAATGCCATTATCACAGGAATGGGTTTGCTATTGCAGAAGTGGGCTTGCCTCCATCTTGCTCTTTCTCTTGCTCTGTCTTTCCCTTCTTCCTTCTCCCATGATGTGATGCAGCACAAAGGTCCTAGCCAGATGCCAGTGTCTCAGTCTTTGATGCTCCAGGCTCCAGAACTGTGAGCCAATAAATTTCTGTTTATTATAAATTGCCTATCATATGATATTTTGTTACAGCAGTGCTAAATAGACTGAGACAAAAAATGATGCCAGAGAATGCAGTGTTGCTATATCAAATACCTGAATATGTGGAAGTGGCTTTGGGACTGGGTAATGAGTAGAGAATGGAACAGTTTTGAAATGAATGCTGGAATAAGCCTGTATTACTATAAATGGAGAATTAAGGGCAACTCTGGTTAAAACACAGAAGAGAATAGCTGTAAAGAAAGTCTGAATCTTCCTAGAAATTATTCAAGTGGTTGTGATCAGAATGTTGGTAGAAATATAGATGGTAATAATTATTCTGATAAGGTCTCAGACGATAGTGAGGATTATCTCATTGAAAACTTCAGTAAAGACTATACTTGTTAGAAAGTGCCAAAGAACTTGTCTGAATTGTGTCCAGGCCTGAGGGCTTTCAAGAAAGCAGAATGAGAAACTGCCCCCAAAATCCAATTACCTCCCACAAGACCCCACCTCCAACATTGGGGATTACAATTCAACACAAGATTTGGGTGGAGACACAGATTTAGGCCAAAAAAAAAAAAAAATCAACGAACTGGAATATCTGGTAGAAGAAATTTCTAAGCAAAATATTGAAGGAGCTGCATGGATTATTTTAACTGCATATACTCAAATGAAAGAAGAGAAAAACTAAAGAATCAATTTATAATTAGAATGGGAAAAAGAACATAAAGATTTGGAAAATATTCAGTCTGGTCATGTAGTGATTGAAAAGGTATGTTTAGGAGAGCAAACAAAATTGGCGCCAACAACTCCTTGTTAAAGAGAGTAGTATGACTAGAAGGAAGACAGGTGTTATTCATCAAGACAATAGGCGAGTGACCCTGAAAGCATTTTAGAGATCTTCAAGGCAAGCTAGTACTTTAAAAGTAAGGTTTCAAGAGAAGCACACATGGGACGTCAGCATTTACTGCTCTGTACTGCCACAAGTCTCTACTCCATGTATTCTGGTGAAGCACCCCTTGGCCTCCTCAATCATGGTTCAAGCGGGCCCTGCTGCTACTCTGGCCACCACTCCAGCCATTACTCTATAATGCACAGTCCATAAACCTTAGCATTGTTTATGTGGTTTTCATCATGCAGGCAAGCATAGTGTACAAGTTGTGGAGGCATAGCTGCCTTTATCAAGATTTCAAATAATGATGCAGAGATCTATGATAGGGGTGAAGCCACCATAAAGAGTCCCCACTAGGGAAATGTCTAGTGGGGTTGTGAGGAGTGAGAAAATCCAGAACTATAAGCCTACCAGTGATCACATTGGCCTGGGAGAGCTGCAGGCACAAGCCTCCAAGTTATAAAAGCTGTTGTGTAGGCTGAGTCCAGCAAGACCACAGGGTTTGGGCTGCCTTGGGAATGGGAGCCCAACTCTTGCCCCAGTGTGTCCAGGAGGTAGGACATAAAGTCAATGAAGATTATCATCAAGACTTAGGATTTAGTTTTGTTTTCTTTTTTGGGGGGTTTTATACTTACTTGGAACCAGTTACTCCTTTCCTCTTGCCTATTTCTTTTGGAATACAAATATCTATTTTATGCCTGTGCTGTCACCGTATTTTAAAATTAGGTAACCCATTTGATTTAACAGACACAGATAGAGAGGAATTTGCCTCAGGATAAATTTTGCCTTGAATTTCACCCATATCTAATTTAGATGACACTCTGGACTTAGGACTTTTGAGCTGGTGCTGGAACAAGTTAAAAATTTGGGGGCTACTGAGATAAAATAAATGTATTTCATATGTGGGAAAGACATGAGTTTGTGGTGCTGAGAGCAAAATGCTATGTTTTGAATGTTTGTTTCCTCCAAAACTCATGTTGAAATTTAATTGCCATGTTGACAATATTTAAAAGTGAGACCTTTAATAGATGTTTAGGTCATGAGAGCTTCCCACTCATAAATGAATTAATTTCATTATTGTGGGAGTGGCTTTCTTCTTGTGAGAGTGGGTTTGCCTCCTTTTGCTCTCTTTTTCACTCTCTCTTTGCCCTTCTGCTATGTTATAATGCAGCGAGAAGACCCTGACTAGATGGGGGCGCCTTGATCTTGAACTTTCCACTCTCCAGAACCATGAGAAATACATTTGTTATTATTATAAATCACTCCGTCTGTGACAAAACTGCCATAGCAGTACAAAATGAACTAAGAAAATTGTTGATATTCTGTCTAGTTATTCCATTTATTTTTAAAATGAGGTAGTGACATCTCCAACTACTTGTGTTGAATTATCTAGTTCTCCTTTAATTATGCCAGTTTTACTTTATGCAAAAGGTCTCTGTACATACTCAAGTTTAAAATTGTTGTGAATTCTTTATGAGTTTACCCCATTATAAAACATTTTTTGTCACTATTAACAGATGTTTTTGCTTAAAGTCTATTTTATCTGATATAAGTATAGTATAGCTAAAAGCAAAATCTCCCAACACAGAAATCTTCTCCATGAAAGTAGTAAAAAAGAAAATACTTTAATTATTGTTTAAGCATTAAAGCAGAATGTCATGCATATCACAGGCAATCCACTGAGAACAAAAACAGAAAAGAATCTCAACTCCTGATATAGCCAAGCAGATATTAATACAACCTGCTTTATACATGTTTTCAATATAAAAAATAATAACAAGTCTTCAAGTAAGAGGACTTGACATCACCTTTTGTAACATATAGCTAATCATAACTTTACAATGGAAACTTTAGTGGACCACTCATGTTAGCTAATTAGCTTTTATACAGAAAAAAGAAACTCTTTTTTATATCTTTACAACAGGACGTATTTTGCATACTGAAGCAAGGTGCCCACAGAAGTTAGGCTCTTACAATCTCACAAAAACTGGGAGAAAAGGGGCTTTCTCCCTAGGTGTCTGATTTCAAAACAATGCCTCCCAGGTTCCTGAGAAAGACATTCATAAATTGTGAGACTGGCAAGAACTTTATTTCTCTATGACAAAAATTTGCATATATTTGAAAAGAAATGATAAAAATGCTGAAAGAAAAAAGAGCAAGAAGTCTCTTCCTTTTTTTAATAGAAAAAAATTAAGCCTCTGACAGGTAATTTGTATTTGGCCTTACACAGCCACTCTGTGTCTTCTTGAGTTACTGTTTGCATAATATTTTGTATTAGTCCATTCTCATGCTGCTAATAAGAGTAATTTATAGCAGACTGAGCAATTTATAAAGGAAAAAGGTTTAATTTACTCACAGTTTGCATGGCTGGGAAGGCTTCAGGAAACTTACAATCATGGCAGAAGGGGAAGCCAACACATCTTTCTTCACAAGGCAGAAGCAAGGAGAAGTGGTGAGTGAAAAAGGAAAAAGCCCCTTATAAAACCATCAGATCTCATGAGAACTCACTATCATGAGAACAGCATGACAGTAACCATCCTCTGCCTTTCCAACAGTTCTCCAAAATCTCAACTCATTCCACCATTAACCAAAAAGTCCAAGTCCAAGGTCTCATCTGAGACAAAGCAAGTCCCTTCCACCTATGAGCCTGTAAAATCAAAAGCAAGTTAGTTACTTCCTAGATATAATGGAGGTACAGGAAATGGGCAAATACACCTGTTCCAAATGAGAGAAGTTGGGCACAACAAAGAGCCCACAGGCCCCAAGCAAGTCTGAAATTCAATAGGGCAGTTCTTAAGCCTTAAAGTTTCAAAAATATCTCCTTTGACCCCATATCTCACATTCAGGGCATGCTGATGCAAGAGATGAGCTTCCAGGGCCTTGGGCACTATTGTCCCTGTGGCTTTGCATGGTACAATTCTATTTCCAGCTGCTTTCACAGGCTGGCATTGAGTGTCTGGAGCTTTTTGAGGTATGTGGTGCAAGCTGTTGGTGAACCTATCATTCAGGGATCTGGAGGACAGTGGTCCTCTTCTCACAGCTTCACTAGGCAGTACCCCAGTGGGGAGTGTGTGTAGGGACTTCAACCCCATATTTTCCTTCCACCCTGCCAGCAGAGGTTCTCCATGAGGGCCCAGCCCCTGCATCAAGCTTATGCCTGGACATTCAGGTGTTTCTACACATCCTCCGAAATCTAGGTAGAGGTCCCAAACCTCAATTCTTGAGTTCTTTGCACCCACAGGCCCAACACCAACTGGGAGCCACCAAGACTTGGGGCATGCATTCTCTGAATCAATGGCCTGAGCTGTACCTTTGCCCCTTTTAACCGTGGTTGGAGCTGAAGCAGCTGGGGTGCAGTGTGCCGTGTTCCAAGGCTGCATAGAATGGGGCCCACAAAACCATTTTTCCCTCCTAGGCCTCCAGGCCTGTGATGGGACAAGCTGCTGTGAAGGTTCCTGAAATACCCTGGGGACATTTTTCCCATTGTTTTGGTGAGTAACATTCAGCTCCTCATTACTTATGCAAATTTCCACAGCTGCCTTGAATTTCTCCCCAGAAAATAAGGTTTTCTTTTGTATCACATGGTCAAGCTGCACAATTTCCAAACATTTATCTTCTGCTTCCCCTTGAACACTTTGCTGCATAAAAATATCTTCAGCTAGATACCCTAAATCATCTTAAATTTCAAAGTTCCATAGATCTCTAGGGCAGGGGTAAAATGCTGCCAGTCTGTTTGTTAAGCATAACAAGAGTTACCTTTACTTTAGTTCCCAACAACTTTCTTATGTCCATCTGAGACAATCTCAGCCTGAACTTTATTGTCCATATCGCTATTAGTATTTTGGCCAAAGCCATTCAACAAGTCTCTAGGAAGTTCCAAACTTTCCCACATCTTTCTGTCTTCTGAGCCCTCCAAGTCTCTATGAAGTTTCAAACTTTCCCACATTTTTCTGTTTTCCTCTGAGCCCTCCAAACTTCCAACCTCTGCCTGTTACCCAGTTCCAAAGTTGCTTTCACATTCTTGGGTATTCTTATAACAGCACCCCACTCTCTGCCATACCAATTTACTGTATTAGTTCATTCTCATGCTCCTAATAAAGACATACCTGAGACTGGGTAATTTATAAAGAAAAAAGGTTTCATTGACTCACAGTTCAGCATGACTGAGGAGGCCTCAAGAAACTTACAATTATGATGGAGGGGAAGAAAATATGCCCTTCTTCACATGGCAGCAGCAAGAAGTGCTGAGCGCACAGGGGAAAAGTCCCTTATAAAACCATCAGATCTTGCAAGAAGTCACTCACCATCCTGAGAATAGCATGAGGGTAACTGTCCTCATGATTAAATTACTTCCCAACAAGTCTCTCCCATTACATGTGGGGATTATGGGAACAACAATTCAAGATGAGATTTTGGTGAGTACACAGCCAAACCATATCATACATCCTTTCTCATTCTTCTTCTTTAAACATGTTTTAAATCTAAAATATAGACAGCATTATCATGGTTTTAATTCATACCACCAACTGTTCCTTTTAGTTGGAGAGTAATTACATTAAGTTTAAATAGATTAAATTTATCTTCCTGCCATTGTGCTATTTATTTTCCTATATCTTGTATCATTTTTATTCCCCAATTTGTTTATTACTACTTTCCTTTCTGTTATATAGATATTTTCTAGTATAACATTTTAATTCATTCATAGTAGCTATACTGTTTGTATTTTTTTCTGCTCACCCACTGCCCAGAAATAAACTTGGTGCTGTTGGAGGGAGGCATGGTGGGAATGAGATCAGTCTTTTCAGACCACCCTTTTGGGCTGTTTAGGAGCTGGGTGAGGCCTGTAACTGCTGGCTTTCCCCAACTTCCCTGATGATCCACATGACAAAGCAGAGGCAGCCATAATCCCTCTGGGAACATAACTCTTTTGGCCTGAGAACAACAACCCCACCTCCAGCAGCAGCCACAGCAAGCCCCACCCAAATAGAGTCTGAGCTCAGACAAGTCTATACCTGCATCCACCTGATGGTCTTTCTCTACTTGCCCTTGTAGCTGAAGACAAAGCTCCTGGGAGCTCTAGGTCCCACTGCCTGATCATCCCTATACAATCTCAGCAGATGTTCTCTTTGGAGCACTCACTCCTGGATGGAAGCTAACCAACACAAAACTAGTGCAATAAACAAAACTGCAACTAAGGACCTTCACAGAGTCCATTTTACTCCCCACTGCCACCTGCACCACAGCAGCTAATGCTATTCATGGCTGAGAGACCTGAGGATAGTTCACATCACTGTGGGGTTCAGACAGCCCCCAGTACCAGCTTAGAGCCTGGTAGTCTGCTGACTGGCTAGATCCAGAAGAGAAATAACAATCACAACAGTTTGGCTCTCAGGAAGCCCCATCTCTAGGAAAAGGGAGAGAGCACTAAATCAATGGAGCACCCTGTGGGACAAAGTAATCTGAACAGCATCATTTGAATCCCAGATCTTCCCTCTGACATAGTCTGTCCAAATGTGAAGAAACCAGAAAAAATAATTCTGGTAATATGACAAAACAAGGTTGTTCAACACACCCGAAAGATCACACTAGCTTACCAGTAGTAAACCCAAACCAAGAAGAAATACCTGAATTGCCAGAAAAAGATTTCAGAAGGTTGATTATTAAAACAATCAAGAAGGCACCAAAGAAAGGTGAAGTTCAACTTAATAAAATTTTAAAAAGGTACAAGATATAAAGGGAAATATCTTCAATGAAATAGACGTCATAAATATAATACAATAACAACTTCTGGAAATGAAGGACATCCTTAGAGAAATACAAAATGCACTGGAAAGTCTCAGCAATAGGATTGAACAAGCAGAAGGAAGAACCTCAGAGCTCGAAGACAAGGTTTTTGAATTAACTCAATCCAAAAAAGGCAATAAAAAAGAATCAAAAACATAAACAAAGGCTCCAAGAAATTTGGGATTATGTTGAATGATGAAACTCAAGAATAATTGGGGCTCCCAAAGAAGAAGAGAAATCAAAAGTTTGGAAAACATAATTGAGGGAATAATTGGAGAAAACTTCCCTGGCCTTACTAGAGATTTAGACATTGAAATACAGGAAACTCAAAGAACAACTCAACTGGGAAATTCTGCACAGAAAGATCATCATCTAGAAACACAGACATCAGGTTATCTACAGTCAAGATGAGGGAAAGAATCTTAAGACATGGGAGGCAAAAGCACCACGTAACCCATAAAAGAAAATCTGTCAGATTAATGGCAGATTTATCAGCAGAAATCTTATAAGGTAGAAGAGATTGGGGTTCCAACTTCAGCCTCCTTAAATAAGACAATTATCAGCCAAGAATTTTGCATCCAGCAAAACTAAACTTCATAATTTAAGGAAAGATACAATCTCTTCCAAACAAATTCTGAGAAAATATGCTACTACCTAGCCAGTACTACAAGGAGCTATAAATCTTGAAAAAAGTCCACAAAATAAAAAATAACATGCCCTTAAAGCATAAATCTCACAGGACCTAGAAAGCAAAAACACAATATAAAAACAAAGAATTCAGGCAACAAATAGCACGATGAATAAAATACTACCTCACATATCAATATTAACATTGACTGTAAATGGCTTAAATGCTCCCCTTAAAAGCTATACAATGGCAGAATACATAAGAGTTCACCAATAAAGTTTCTGCTGTTTTCAGGAGACTCACCTAACACTTACAGACTCATATAAACCTAAGATAAAATAGCGAAAAAGATATTCCATGCAAATGGACACCAAAAGCAAGGAAGAGTACCTATTCTTATATCAGACAAAACAAACCTTAAAGCAACAACAGTTAAAAAAGACAAAGGGACAATATCTAATGATAAAAGTACTAGTCCAAAAGGAAAATATTGCAATTCTAAATATATATGAGCCTAGTGGCATAGCTTCCAAATTTATAAAACAATAACTACTAAACCTAAGAAATTAAATAGACAGCAACACAAAATTAGTGGGGGACTTCAATACTCCACTGACAGCACTAGAAAGGTCATCAAGACAGAAAGTCAACAAAGAAACAATGGATATACACTACACCCTAGAACAAAGGAGCTTAATAGATATTTACAAAACCTTTTACTCAAAAACTGCAGAATATACATTCTATTCACCAGCACATGGACTATTCTCCAAGATAGACCATATTATAGGCCACAAAACAAGTCTTAATCAATTTCAATAAATTGAAATTATATCAAGTACCCTCTCAAACCACAGTAAAATAAAATTGGAAATAACTCCAAAAGGAACCCACAAAAAAATGCCAATATAGAGGAATTAAACAACTTATCCTGAATGATAGTCGGGTCAATAATAAAAATCCAGAAAAAATTTTAAAACAAAAATTTTGATCTGAATGCTAATAGTGACACCACCTATCAAAACCTCTGGGATACAGCAAAAGCAGTGCTAAGAGGAAAGTTCATAGCCTTAAATGCGTACATCAAAAAGTCTGAAAGAGCACATATAGACAATCTAAAGTCACACCTCAAGGAACGAGAAAACAAGAAAAAAAACAAACCCAAACCCAGCAGGAGGAAAGAAATAGTGAAGATCAAAGCAGAACTAAATAAAATTGAAACAAAAAGTACAAAAAAAGAAAAAAAGCGGGTTTTGAAAAGACAAATAAAATTGAAAGACTATTAGCGAGATTAACCAAAAAAAGAAGAGAGAAGATCCAAATAACCTCAATTACAAATTAAAGAGGAGAAATTACAACTGATACCACAGAAATACGAAAGATAATTCAAGGCTACTATGAACACATTTATGTGTATAAAGTAGAAAACTTAGAAGAGATGGATGAATCCTGGAAATATACAATGATTCTAGATTAAATCAGGAAGAAATAGAAACTGAACAGACCAATAACAAGCAGCGAGACTGGAATGGTAATAAAAAAAATGCCAACAAAATTAAAAGTCCAGGACCAGACAGATTCACAGCTGAATTCTATCAGACATTCAAAAAAGAATCGGTACTAATTATACTGACAATATTGCACAAGATAGAGAAATAGAGAATACTGTCTAAATCATTCTATGAAGATGATACGACACTAAGACCAAAACCAGGAAAAGACATACAAAAAAATAAAACTGCAGGCCAATGTCCCTAATGAACATAAATGAAAACATCCTCAATAAAATACTAGCAAACCGAATCCAACAGCATTATCAAAAATATAATTCACCATAATCAAGTGGGTTTCATACAAGGGATGCAGGGTAGGTTTTACATAAAAAAGTCAAAAAATGTGATACACCACATAAACAGAATTAAAAACAAAAATTCTTTTATGGCTGCATAGTATTCCATGGTGTATATGTGCCACATTTTCTTAATCCAGTCTATCATTGTTGGACACTTGGGTTGGTTCCAAGTCTTTGCTATTGTGAATAGTGGCGCAATAAACATACATCTGCATGTGTCTTTATAGCAGCATGATTTATAACCCTTTGGGTATACACCCAGTAATGGGATGGCTGGGTCAAATGGAATTTCTAATTCTAGATCCCTGAGGAAGCTTCCAGAGGAATGATCAGGTAGCAATATTTGCTGCTTACCAATATCCGCTGTTCTGCAGCCTCCGCTGCTGATACCCAGGAAAACAGGGTCTGGAGTGCACAACCAGCAAACTCCAACACACCTGCAGCTGACTGTTAGAAGGAAAACTAACAAACAGAAAGGACATCCACACCAAAACCCCATCTGAACTTCACCATCATCAAACACCAAAGGTAGATAAAACCACAAAGATGGGAAAAAACAGAGCAGAAAAACTGGAAACTCTAAAAATCAGAGTGCATCTCCTCCTCCAAAGGAACGCAGCTCCTCACCAGCAATGGAACAAAGCTGGACAGAGAATGACTTTGACGAGTTGAGAGAAGAAGAATTCAGACGATCAAACTACTCCAAGCTAAAGGAGGAAGTTCAAACCCATGGCAAAGAAGTTAAAAACCTTGAAAAAAAATTAGACGAATGGCTAACTAGAATAACCAAAGAAGAGAAGTCCTTAAAGGACATGATGGAGCTGAAAACCACAGCAGGAGAAGTAAGTGATGAATGCACAAGCCTCAGGAGCTGATTTGATCAACTGGAAGAAAGGGTATCAGTGATGGAAGATGAAATTAATGAAATGAAGTGAGAAGAGAAGTTTAGAGAAAAAAGAATAAAAAGAAATGAACAAAGCCTCCAAGAAATATGGGACTATGTGAAAAGACCAAATCTACAACTGATTGGTGTACCTGAAAGTGACAGGGAGAATGGAACCAAGTTGGAAAACACTCTGAAGGATATCCAGAACTTCCCAATCTAGCAAGTCAGGCCAATATTCAAATTCAGGAAATACAGAGAACACCACAAAGATACTCCTCGAGAAGAGCAACTCCAAGAAACATAATTGTCAGATTCAACAAAGTTGAAATGAAGGAAAAAATGTTAAGGGCAGCCAGAGAGAAAGGTCGGGTTACCCACAAAGGGAAGCCCATCAGACCAACAGCTGATCTCTCAGAAGAAACTCTGCAAGCCAGAAGTGAGTGGGGGCCAATATTTAACAATCTTAAAGAAAAGAATTTTCAACCCAGAATTTCATATCCAGCCAAACTAAGCTTCATAAGTGAAGGAGAAATAAAATCCTTTACAGACAAGCAAATGCTGAGAGATTTTGTCACCACCAGGCCTGCCCTAAAAGAGCTCCTGAAGGAAGCACTAAATATGGAAAGGAACAACTGGTACCAGCCACTGGAAAAACATGCCAAATTGTCAAGACCATTGAGGCTAGGAAGAAACCACATCAACTAATGAGCAAAATAACCAGCTAACTTCAAAATGACAGGATCAAATTCACACACAACAATATTAACCTTAAATGTAAATGGACTAAAAGCTCCAATTAAAAGACACAGACTGGCAAATTATATAAAGAGTCAAGACCCATCGGTGCTGTATTCAGGAAACCCATCTCACGTGCAGAGACACAAATAGGCTCAAAGTAAAAGGATGGAGGAAGATCTACCAAGCAAATGGAAAACAAAAAAAGGCAGGGGTTGCAATCCTAGTCTCAGATAAAACAGACTTTAAACCAAAAAAGTTCAAAACAGACAAAGAAGGCCATTACATAATGGTAAAGGGATCAATTCAACAAGAAGAGCTAACTATCCTAAATATATATGCACCCAATACAGGAGCACCCAGATTCATAAAGCAAGTCCTTAGAGACCTACAAAGAGACTTAGACTCCCACACAATAATAACGGGAAAATTTAACACCCCACTGTCAACATTAGACAAATCAATGAGAAAGAGAGTCAACAAGGATATCCAGGAACTGAACTCAGCTCTGCACCAAGCGGACTTAATAGACATATACAGAACATACATTCAACAAATCAACAGAATATATATTCTTTTCAGCACCACACCACACTTATTCCAAAATTGACTACACAGTTGGAAGTAAAGCACTCCTCAGCAAATGTAAAAGAACAGAAATCATAACAAACTGTCTCTCAGACCACAGAGCAATCAAACTAGAACTCAGGATTAAGAAACTCACTCAAAACCGCTCAACTACATGGAAACTGAACAACCTGCTCCTGAGTGACTACTGGGTACATAACGAAATGAAGGCAGAAATAAAGATGTTCTTTGCAACCAACGAGAACAAAGACACAACATACCAGAATCTCTGGGACACATTTAAAGCAGTGTGCAGAGGGAAATTTATAGCACTAAATGCCCACAAGAGAAAGCAGGAAAGACCTAAAGTAGACACCCTAAAACCACAATTAAAAGGACTAGAGAAGCAAGAAAAAACACATTCAAAAGCTAGCAGAAGGCAAGAAATAACTAAGATCAGAGCACAACTGAAGGAAATAAAGATACAAAAAACCCTTCAAAAAATCAATGAATCCAGGAGCTGGTTTTTTGAAAGGATCAACAAAATTGATAGACCGCTAGCAACACTAATAAAGAAGAAAAGAGAGAAGAATCAAATAGATGCAATAAAAAATGACAAAGGGGATATCAACACCGATCCCACAGAAATACAAACTAATATCAGAGAATACTATAAACACCTCTACGCAAATAAACTAGAAAATCTAGAAGAAATGGATAAATTCCTCGACATGTACACCCTCCCAAGACTAAACCAGGAAGAAGTTGACTCTCTGAATAGGCCAATAACAGGCACTGAAATTGAGGCAATAGTTAATAGCTTACCAACAAAAAGAAGTCCAGGATCAGATGGATTCACAGCCGAATTCTACCAGAGGTACAGGGAGGAGCTGGTACCATTCCTTCTGAAACTATTCCAATCAATAGAAAAAGAGGGAATCCTCCCTACCTCATTTTATGAGGCCAGCACCATCCTGATACCAAAGCCTTGCAGAGACAAAACAAAAAAAAGAGAATTTTAGATCAATAACCCTGATGAACATTGATGCAAAAATCCTCAATAAAATACTGGCAAACTGAATCCAGCAGCACATCAAAAAGCTTATCCACCATGATCAAGTGGGCTTCATCCCTGGGATGCAAGGCTAGTTCAACATACACAAACCAATAAACGTAATCCAGCATATAAACAGAACCAATGACAAAAACCATAAGATTATCTCAATAGATGCAGAAAAGGCCTTTGACAAAATTCAACAACACTCCATGCTAAAAACTGAATAAATTAGGTATTGATGGGACGTATCTCAAAATAGTAAGAGCTATCTATGGCAAACCCACAGACAATATCATACCGAATGGACAAAAGATGGAAGCATTCCCTTTGAAAACTGGCACAAGACAGGGATGCCCCCTCTCTCCACTCCTATTCAACATAGTTTTGGAAGTTCTGACCAGGACAATCAGGCAGGAGAAGGAAATAAAGGGTATTCAATTAGGAAAAGAGGAAGTCAAATTGTCCCTGTTTGCAGATGATATCATTGTATATCTAGAAAACCCCATCATCTCAGCCCAAAATCTCCTGAAGCTGATAGGCTACTTCAGCAAAGTCTCAGGATACAAAATCAATGGGCAAAAATCACAAGCATTCTTATACACCAATAACAGACAAACAGAGAGCCAAATCATGAGTGAACTCCCATTCACAATTGCTTCAAAGAGAATAAAATACCTAGAAATCCAACTTACAAGGGATGTGAAGGAGCTCTTCAAGGAGAACTACAAACCACTGCTCAATGAAATAAAAGAGGATACAAATGGAGAACATTCCATGCTCATGGATAGGAAGAATCAATATCGTGAAAATGGCCATACTGCCCAAGGTAATTTAGAGATTCAATGCCATTCCCATCAAGCTACCAATGCCTTTCTTCACAGAATTGGAAAAAACTACTTTAAAGTTCATATGGAGCCAAAAAAGAGCCCACATTGCCAAGTCAACCCTAAGCCAAAAGAACAAAGCTGGAGGCAGCACGCTACCTAACTTCAAACTATACTACAAGGCTACAGTAACCAAAACAGCATGGTACTGGCACTAAAACACAGATATAGACCAATGGAACAGAACAGAGCCCTCAGAAATAATGCCACATATCTACAACTATCTGATCTTTGACAAACCTGACAAAAACAAGAAATGGGGAAACGATTCCCTATTTAATAAATGGTGCTGAGAAAACTGGCTAGCCATATGTAGAAAGCTGAACCTGAAACCCTTCCTTACATTTTATACAAAAATTAATTCAAAATGGATTAAAGACTTAAACATTAGACCTAAAACCATAAAAACCCTAGAAGAAAACCTAGGCATTACCATTCAGGACATAGACATGGTCAAGGACCTCATGTCTAAAACACAAAAAGCAATGGCAACAAAAGCCAAAATTGACAAATGGGATCTAATTAAACTAAAGAGCTTCTGCACAGCAAAAGAAACTACCATCAGAGTGAACAGGCAACCTACAGAATGGGAGAAAATTTTTGCAATCTACTCATCTGACAATGGTCTAATATCCAGAATCTACAATGAACTCAAACAAATTTACAAGAAAAAAAACAAACAACCCCATCAACAAGTGGGCGAAGGATATGAACAGACACTTCTCAAAAGAAGACATTTATGCAGCCAAAAGATACATGAAAAAATGCTGGCCATCAGACAAATGCACATGAAAACCACAATGAGATACCATCTCACATCGGTTAGAATGGCAATCATTAAAAAGTCAGGAAACAACAGGTGCTGGAGAGGATGTGGAGAAACAGCAACACTTTTACACTGTTGGTGGGACTGTAAACTAGTTCAACCATTGTGTATGTCAGTTTGGCAATTCCTCAAGGATCTAGAACTAGAAATGCCATTTGACCCAGCCATCCCATTACTGGGTATATACCCAAAGGGTTATAAATCATGCTGCTATAAAGACACATGCACACGTATATTTACTGCGGCACTATTCACAATAGCAAAGACTTGGAACCAACCCAAATGTCCAACTATGATAGACTGGATTAATAAAATGCGGCACATATACACCATGAAATTCTATGCAGCTATAAAAATGGATGAGTTCATGTCCTTTGTAGGGACATGGATGAAGCTGGAAACCATCATTCTCAGCAAACTGTCACAAGGACAAAAAAAAACAAACACCGCATGTTCTCACTCATGTTCAATTGGAAATTGAACAATGAGAACACATGGACACAGGAAGGGGAACATCACACACTGAGGCCCTTTGTGGGGTGGTGGTAGCAGGGAGAGATAGCATAGGAGATATACCTAATGATAAATAACTAGTTGATGGGTGCAGCACACCAACATGGCACATGTATACATATGTAACAAACCTGCACGTTTTTCACATGTACCCTAAAACTTTAAGTATAATAAAAAAATAAAAATAAATAAAAAAATTATACTGCCCTAATATTAAAGTACTTACATCTACTTACAAAGAAAAAAACCCTCAGCAAAGTTGGCGTGGAAGGGACATACCTTAAAGTAATAAAAGCCATCTATGGCAAACCAATGGCCAGCATAATACTGAATGGGGAAAAGTTGAAAGCACTCCCCTTGAGAAATGGAACAAGACAAGGATGCTTACTCTCACCATGTCTATTCAACATAGTAGTGAAATTCCTAGCCAGAGCAATCAGACAAGAGAAAGAAATAAAGAACATCCAAATTGTTAAAGAGGAGTCAAACTGTTGTTGTTTGCTGATGGTATGATCGTATACCTATAAAATCCTAAAGAGTCATCCTAAAAGCTTCTAGAACTGGTAAATGAATTCAGCAAATTTTCAGGATACAAAATTAATGTACACAAATTAGTAGCTCTGCTATACACTAATAGCGACCAAAATGAGAATCAAATCTAGAATTCAACCCCTTTTACAATAACTGCAGAAAAAAAAAATCTTAGGCGTATACCTAACCAAGGACGTAAAAGACCTCAACAAAGAAAACCACAAAACACTGCTGAAAGAAATCATAGATGTCACAAACAAATAAAAACACATCTCATGCCCATGGATGGGTAGAATCAATATTGTGAAAATGACCATATGGCCAAAAGCAATCTAAAAATTCAGTGCAATTCCCATGAAAGTGCCATCATCATTCTTTACAAAATTAGATAAAAACAATCCTAAAATTCACATGGAACCAAAGAGAGCCCACATAACCAAAGCAGTATTAAGCAAAGAGAACAAATCTGGAGGCATCACATTACCTGACTTCAAACGATACTATAAGGCACTAGTTACTAAAACAGTATGGTACTAGTGTAAAAATAGGCACATTGACAAATAGAACAGAACAGAGAATCCAGAAATTAAGCCAATTATTTACAGCCAACTTGATCCTTGACTAAGCAAACAAAAACATAAAGTGGAGAAATAACACCCTATTCAACAACTGGTGCTGGAATAATTGGCAAGCCACATGTAGAAGAATAAAACTGTATCCTCATCTCTTACTTTTTGCAACAATCAACTCAAGATGGATCAAGGGCTGAAATCTAAGATCTGAAACCATAAAGATTCTAGAAGATAACTTCGGAAAACCCTACAAGACATTGGCTTAGGCAAAGACCTCATAACCAAAAACCCAAAAACAAATGCAATAAAAACAAAAATAAGTAGATGAGACTTAATTAACCAAAAAAGCTTCTGCACAACAAAAGAAATAATCACTAGATTAAACTGACAACCCACAGGGTCGGAGAAAATCTTCACAATCTATACATTCAACAAAATATAATATCAAGAATCTACAAGGAACTCTAACAAATCAGAAAGAAAAAAACATCCCCATCAAAAAGTGGGCTAAAGACATGAATACAAAATTCTCAGAAAAAGATATACAAACGGCCAATAAACATAGGAAAAAATGCTCAACATCACTAATGATCAGGGAAATACAAATAAAAACCACAGTGTGATACCACTTACTCCTGCAAGAAGGGCCATAATAAAAAATAAAAAAATATATATATGCTTGCCTGGATGTCATGAAAAGGGAACACTTTTACAATACTGATAGGAATTTAAGCTAGTACAATCACTATAGAAAACAGTGTGGGGAT
This sequence comes from Homo sapiens, assembly GCF_000001405.40. Classification (NCBI taxonomy): domain Eukaryota; kingdom Metazoa; phylum Chordata; class Mammalia; order Primates; family Hominidae; genus Homo; species Homo sapiens. Next base: position 76,631,585 of record NC_000023.11, on the reverse strand, counting down.
TCCTTAAAGAACTAAAAGTAGCAATACCATTTGATTCAGCCTTTCCACTATTGGGTATCTACTCAGAGGAAAAGAAGTCATACGAAAAAGATATTTGCACACACATGTTTATAGCAGCACAATTTGTAATTGCAGAAATATGGAACCAGCCCAAATGCCCATCAATCAACGAATGGATAAAGAAATTGTGGTGTATATATACACATCATGGAATGCTACTCAGCCATAAAAAAAACCAATGGTCTTCATAGCAACCTGGATGGAATTGGAGACCATTATTCTAAGCGAAGTGGCTCAGGAATGGAAAACCAAACATCCTATGTGCTTACTCATAAGTGGGAGCTAAGCTATGAAGATGCAAAGGCATAAGAATGATAAAATGGACTTTGGGTACTCTGGGAAAAGGGTGGGATGGGGGTGAGAGATAAAAGACTACACATTGGGTACAGTGTACACTGCTCAGGTGATGAGTGCACTGACATCTCAGAAATCACCACTAAATAACTTATTCATGTAATCAAACACCACATTTTCCCCAAAAATCTATTGAAATTAAAAAAGAGAAAATAAATAAAAATTTAAAAGTTACTCTTTTATAGCTTCATTTTCTTCCCCTCTCTTATGCTATTATTTTCATGGCTTGGATCTTTATACATTATTTGACCATAAGCAATGATAAAAAATTACTCCTTTGTAAAGTTGTGTTTTAAATCATATAAGAGATTAAAAGGCAGTACAAGCAATAAATATATTTATAATGTCTTTTATATTATCTATATGTTTCAATTACTGGTGCTTTTGTAATCATCACGGAAATTCAAATTAAAACCACAATGAGATACCACCTACTCTTCTAAGAAGGGCCATAATTAAAAAGTCAAAAAACAATAGATGTTGGCATAGAGATGGTGAAAAGGGAACTATTTTACACTGCTGGTGGGAAGGTAGATTAGTAAAACCACTATGGGAAACAGTATGGAGATTCCTTAAAGAACTAAAAGGAGAAGTAGCATTCAATACATCTATCTCACTACTGGGTATGTACCCAAAGAAACAGAAGTTATTATATCAAAAAACACATGCACACACGTTTGTAGCAGCAAAATTTACAATTGCGAAAGTATAAAACCAACTTAAATGCCCACCAACCAATGAGTGGATAAGAAAAATGTGGTATATCTATCTATCTATCTATCTATCTATCTATCTATCTATCTATCTATCTGAAATACTACTCAGCCATAAAAAGAAATGAAATAATGTCTTTTGCAGCAACTTGGATAGAGTTAGAGGCCATAATTCTAAGTGAATTAACCCAAGAATGGAAAACCAAATGCTGTATGTTCTCACTTATAAGTGGAATCTAAGCTATGAGGATGCAAGGACATACAGAATAATATATTGAACTTGGGAGGCTCAGTGGGGGATCTGGGGAAGGGTGAGGAATAAGACTACGTATTTGGTATGTGTACACTGCTTGGAATACACATATACTAAAATATCAGAATCCACAACCTTAGAATTTATCCATGTAACCAAAAACAACGTGTATCCATTTATATTCAGAATCTGTTGAAATAGAAAAAAATTACTAGTTCTTTTATTCATGTGGTTTCTAGTTACTACATAGAGTACTTGAATTTCAGCCTAAAGGTCACATTTTAGCATTTTGTGTAGGGCAAGTGGCTGCTAGCAACAAGCTCTCTTCTTAGTTCTTGCTAATATAAGAATTTCTTAATTTCTCTCTCATTCTTGAAAGTGTTTCTGTGTATGAAACAGTCTTTCAGCACTTTGATGTCATCCCATTGCTTACAGGCTCTATGGTTTCTGTCAGAAATCATCTATAAATCTTACTGAGAATCCTTATTAATGAGGAACTTATCTTCTGATGCTTTCAAGATGCTCTATTCATCTTTGTTTCTCAAAATTTTGATTATCATGTCTAGGTGGGGATCTCTGAGTTCTGAGTTTATCGTATGTAGAGTTTATTGAGCTTCTTGATGTGTAGATTAATGTTTTCCATAAACTTTGAGAAAATTTAAGCCACTATTTCTTTTTTCCTCATAAACTTGCTTTTTCTTTTTCTAGATGTATAGGGTACACTTGCAGTTTTGTTACATGGATATATTATGTAGTGGTGAAATCTGAAATCTGGGCTTTTAGTGTAACCATCATTCGAATAGTGTACATTGTACTTATTAGGTAATTCTTCATCCATCACCCCCTCTCACTCTCCTACCCCTCTGAGTCTGCAGTGCCTATGATTTTGCTCTCTATTTCCATGAGTACAGATTATTTAGCTCCCAATTATAAGCAAGAGAATGTGGTATTTGACTTTATGTTACTGGGCGATCTTATTTAAAATAATGGCCTTCAGCAGCGTCCATTTTGTTGCAAAGCACATAATTTTATTATTTTTAATGGCTGAATAGTATTTAATGGCATGTTTGTGTGTCTGTGTGTGTGTGCATGTGTGTGTATAGTTATTCAAACAACTGTTGATGGACACTGAGGTTGATTACATATTTTTGAGACTGTAATGTTGCTGTGATAAACATATGAGTGTAGGTGTCTTTTTGATATAACATTTTTTCTTTGGGTAGGCATCCAATAGTTGGATTGCTGAGTGGAATAACAGTTCTATTTTTACTGTTTTGAGAATTCTCCAACCTGTTTTCCATACAGGTTTTACAAATTTACATCCCACCAACAGTGTATAAGCATTCTATTTCTTCACATCCTCACTAAAATCTGTTGCTTTTTGACTTTGTAGTAATAGCCATTCTGAGTAAGGTAAGATAGTATATCCTTGTAGTGTTAATTTGTATTTATCTGATTATTAGTGGGTTTGAGCATTTTAAAATTTTTATTTCAATAGTTTTGGGGAAACAGGTGGTTTTTTGTTATATGGACAAGTTCTTTAGTGGTGATTTTTGAGATTTTGGTGCACCCATCACCCTAGCATTGTACATTGTACCCAATATGTAGTTTTTTATACCTCACCCCACTCTCATCATTCCTCCTGGGTCCCTAAAGTGCATTCTATTATTCTTATGCCTTTGCATTCTCATAGCTTAGCACCCAGTTATAAGTAAGAACACACAGTATTTGCTTTTCCATTCCTGAGTTACTTCACTTAGAATAACGGCCTCCAACTCAATCCAAGTTGCTACAAATAATATTGTCTCATTCCTTTTTATGACTAATATTCCATGGTGTATCTAGACCATATTTTATCCACTCATTAGCGTTTGAGCATTTAGGTTAGTTTTACATTTTTGCAATTTTGAATTGTGCTTCTATAAACATGTGTGTGCATGTGTCTTGTTCATATAACTTATTTTTCTTTGGATAGACACCCAGTAGTGGAATTGCTACATCAATTGGTAGTTCTCCTCTTTGTTTTTAAGGATTCTCCATACTGATTTCTATAGTGGCTGTACTAGTTTACATTCCCACCAGCAGTGTAAACATTTTCCTTCTTCACCACATCCATGACAACATTTTTTTTTTATTTTTAAATTATGGTCATTCTTACAAGAGTAAGGGGATATCTCATTGTGAGTTTAATTTGCATTTCCCTGAAATTAGTGAAGTTGAGCATTTTTTATATGTTTGTTGGTTGTTTGTATATCTTATTTTGGGAGTTGTCTATTCATATCCTTTGCCCACTTATTGATGGGATTTTTTTTTCTTACTGATTTGTTAGAGTTCCTTGTAGATTCTGGATATTAGTCTTTTGTCAGATGTATAGTTTGCAGAGATTTTCTCCCACTCTTGTCAGTTTAATCTGTTAATTATTTCTTTTGCTGTGCAGAAATTTTTTAGTTTAATTAGGTCTAGTTTATTTAATTTGTTTTTGTTGCATTTGCTTTTGGGTTCATTGTCATAAATTATTTGCCTAAGCTAATGTCTAGAAGGGTTTCTCTGATGTTATCTTCTAAAACTTTTATGATTTTAGGTCTTAGATTTAAGTGCTTCATCCATCTCGAGTTGGTTTTTTTATAAGATAAGAGATGGTGATTCAGTTTCATTATTCTATATATGGCTTGCCAGTTAACCCAACATCATCAGTTGAATAGGGTGTCCTTTTTTCAATTTATGTTTTTGTGTGCTTTGTCAAAGATCAGTTGCCTTTAAATATTTAACTTTATTTCTGGGTTCTCTATTCTGTTCCATTGGTCTACATGCTTATTTTTATACCAGCAGCATGCTGTTTTGGTGACTATGGCTTTATTGCATAGTTTGAAGTCAGGTAATGTGATGCTTCCAGATTTGTTCTTTTTGCTTAGTATTGTTTTGGCTATGTGGGCTCTTTTTTGGTTCCATATGAATTTTAAAATGTTTTTTCTAGTTCTGTAAGTAATAATCATAATATTTTGATGAGATTTGCATTGAATCTGAGGATTGTTTTTGGCAGTAAGGTAATTTTTACAATATTGATTCTACCCATCCATGAGCACGGAATGTATTTTCATTTGTTTGTGTCATCCATGATTTCTTTCAGTAGGGTTTTGTAGTTTTTCCATGTTGAAATCTTTCACGTCCTTGGCTAAGTGTATTTCTAAATGTTTTATTTTATTTTTTTGCAGTTGTGATAAAAGGGGTTGAGTTCTTGATTTGATCTTCAGATTGGTCATTGTTGGTGTATAGCCATGCTATTGATTTGTGTATATCATTTGCCTGTCATGCAGGTTTGAATCTGGGGGATGTTCCTTCTGTGGGGCTGCACTCACCCTAGATTGTTCTAAGAAGGCTGTCTGTAGGTGCATCTATGCTGCATTTCTGTAGGGGGGAGCCCCAGATCTGTCTGCAGTGGAGTGCCGGAGGGGAAAAAGGACCTCTTCTTCAAAGCCCTTCGTGATCACAGAGGCTGCCTGGCTGTTGGGGTAGAGGTGCAGACATTCCATACTGCACCCAGCACTGAAATTGTCTCTGCTGTGAGAAACTTTCCACCAGGAAAAGGTCTGGATCTCAAGCCTGCTGTTCAGATTCTTTTGTCCTACCAGGTAATCCCTTGATGTGGTACTCTCCCTCTTTCCCTAGGAATGGGGCTTCTTCAGAGCCAGACTGCAGTGATTGTTATTGCTGTTCTGGGTGTAGCCACCCAGTGGGGCTGTTGGGCTCCAGTCTGGTGCTGGGGAATGTCTGCAAAGAGTCCAATAATCAGACCAGTCTTCAGGTCTCCCAGCCATGGGTACCAGTACCTGCTATAATGAGATGGCAGGGGAGTAATATAGATTCTGATTTTCCTTGGCTGTAGATGGGATTACTGTGCTGGCTTTCTCAAATGCTGGTTTTGCTAGCAGTGATGTTGTCAAGTGGACAGACTCAGGACTTCTTATTAGTCACTGAGTTGCATGCAGTGGTGTCAGCTGTTATTTTCTCCTTCTTGGGAGCAGTGTTATTCTGCCACGAGTTTCTTTAATAGCCTGAGTTTAATGGCCTCCAGTGAGGAAGTGACACTTGTAAGACAGCACCAGCTGTGGTAGTAGTAGTGGAATTTGAGCTTACCCTTTGTTGGTCAGGGGAAGTATTCTGGTTTCTCAGGTGATTGGCAGGGACATAAATCTCACAATAATTTATGCCTTTTGTGTTAAGCTAACAGGGTGGGTAGAGCAATACCATTAAGTCTGGGAATGGTTAGCCAGGTCTGAGCTCAGACACTCCTTGGGCAGGGCTTTTCACAGCCCCTGTGGGGGATTGTGGGGTATGGTTCTCAGGCCAATGGGGTTGTGTTCCAGAGAGGAGTATGACTGCCTCTGCAAGAAAAGTAAGAAATAGCCAGTAGTGATAGGCTTCACCCAGCTCCCACGAAGTTGGTGAGGCTGGTCTTGCTCTTGCAGTGCTCTACTAACAACACCGAGTTTAGAATCAGGCAGCCTGTGCAGAGAACTCAGATCTGACCCCAGCCATATTCTTCCCTGTTGAGAAAGCAAGCATGGCTTTCAGTCCACACAACTTTCCATTTGCCTGCAATGCTGGGTGCCCAGCTCCTGTGCTCATATTTACAGTACTTCTCGCTTGCCCCCCAGATTCTGTTCAAGTGAGTTTATGGCCACTCAAAATTACACCACAAAATTCAGTTGGAAGCTTCTTTCACCCTGTGACACTTCCCTGAGTTCACTGGCTGACTTACCTATGGGTTCTCTGTGGGATATACTCAGTGATAGCTTCCACTTCCCTTGGCTCAAGCTGAAGACTAGGAATAAACAGAAGACTCTTCCTACAACTCTATTTTTATACTTCACGCCACTTTCTAAATCTATTCTTGCTCTAGGTAGGGTTAAAGCCTTTCCCCTTGGTCTGGATTTTCATATTCCCCAGTGTAGATTTGTGTTAAGAGGTAGGGTCTCCCCTTCTCACACTCTGGAAACAGTTTTTCACCTTTGTCATGGAGTTTGCCGTGGTATGCCACTTTTTAAAAAATAATCTGTAAATTCTTTCAGTTTTCAGGGTATGTTCCTGCAGTGGTTCTTGAAAGAAAAGTTCACAGTGTGAATCTTCACACTGTTCTCTCCTTCCAAGTGGAAGAGACATGCTAGCAATGCCTTCTATCTGCCATCTTGAAAAATAAAAAAAGATTGAGCATTTTTTAATGTGTGTCGGCCATTGGTATATAAATAAATTGCCAATATCTCATATATTTCTTTATATGACCTTTGTTGGAAGTATAGTTTGCAAATATTTTCTCTCAACCTGTAGGTTGTCTGTTTATTCTTTTGATACTTTATTTGTTGCACAAAAGCTTCTTAGTTTAATTAAGTCCCACTTATCAATTCTAATTTTTGTTGGATTTGCTTTTGAGGAGTTCATCATAAATTTTTTGACACAGTCAATGTCCAGAAGAGTATTTCCTAGGTTTAATTCTAGGATTTTTATAATTTGAAGTCTTACACTTAAATCTTTATTCCATGTAGAATAAATTTTTGCATATGGTAAGAGACAGGGGTCCAATTTTTTTCATCTTCATATAGTTAGCCAGTATTCCCAGCACCATTTATTGAATAAGACATCCTTTCTTCATTGCTTATTTTTCTTGAGTTTGTCAAAAATCAGTTGGTTTTAGGAGTGCAGTTTTATTTCAGGGGTCTCTATTCTGTTTCATTGGTCTATATGTCCATTTTTCTATGAGTCCATGTTGTTGTGGTTACTATAACAGCGTAGTGTAGTTTGAAGTCGGGCGTGATGTCACTGGTTTTGTTCTTTTTGCTTAAGATTGCTTTGGCTAGTTTGGCTCTTTTTTTTGGTTCCATATGATTTTAGAATGGCTTTTTCTAATTCTGTGATATATGATGTTGATTATTTGTTAGGAATAGTGTTGAACATGTAGATTGCTTCAGACAGTATGACCATTTTAATGTTTAATATGCTAATGTCTCATTAGCATATTAAATTTCCACATAGTGCTGTGTCTTTTTTATAATTATAATGAGCATTTATCAGCCCAAGGACACTAATCATGGGTTTCTGCACTTATGCACATTTGAGGATGTTCTCTTTTGTTCTACATCCTTGCTGCAGGATGTTCTAACCAAGAACCCATGATGTGGTTTGTGCACTGTTGGGTGATTTTTTTCCCTCCATCTATTTAGCCAGTTTGTTCACCTTTAAGAAAGGCTATAACCACACTATCTAACCTACCTCATACCAAGTAATGAACCTGCATATGTGCCCTCTTAATATAAAATAAAATAAATAGAAGTACGTATGGTTTATGGCTATGGTTATGTTAAATGGGTGGAAATAAAGAAATTTGTAAGAAAAAATGTATGTATTTATTGTGTACATTTTGTTTTGAAATATGTACACATTGTGGAATGTCTAAATCAAGCTAATTAACATATGTGTTATCTCACATAATTATCACTTTTTTGTGGTGAGAACACTTCAAATCTACTCTCTCAGCAATTCTCAAGACTACAATGCACTGTTATTAATGTATTGTCTCTAGCTGAAAATTTTTGTCCTTTGATCATCTCCCCTAATGGCCCTTCTCCCCCAAGCTCATGGTAACCACCATTTTACTATCTGATTCTATAAGATCAACTTTTTTATATTCCACATATAAGTGAGACCATATGTTATGTGTGCTGCTCTTATTTCATTTAGCATAAGGTTCTCCACTTGTATCCATGTCATCACAAAGGACAAGATTTCCTTCTTTAAAGCTAAAGCATATTATATCGTGCATTGATACCAGATCTTCTTTATCAATTAATCCACTAATGAACACTTTCACTGTTTCTGTATCTAGACTACTGTGAATAGTGCTGCAGTGAACATGAGAGGGCTGATATCTCTTTGATGAACTTATTTTGTTTCCTTTGGGTATATATTGAATAGTAAAACTGTCTTCTTTTGAAAAGTGTCCATGTCTTTTGCCACTTTTTAATGGGGTTGTTTGTTTTTCTCTTGTAAATGTGTTTAAGCTCTTTAAAGATGGTGGATATTAGACCCTTGTCAGATGCATAGTTTGCCAATATTTTTTCCCATTCTGTAGGTTTTCTGTTTATTCTGTTGATAACTTCTTTTTCTGCACAGAAGCTCTTAAGTATAATTTAATCCCACTTGTCAAGTTCCGCTTGTATTGCAAATGCATTTGGTGTCTTTGTCATGAAATCTTTGCCCTTTCCTATATCCAGGATGGTATTGCCTAGGTTGTCTTCCAGGATTTTTATAATTTTGGGTTTTACAATGAAGTATTTAATTTATACTGAGTTGATTTTTGTATATGGTGTAAAAAAAGCTGTCCTGCTTCAATTTTCTGTATATGGCTAACCAGTCATCCCAGCACCATTTATTGAGTAGGGAGTCTTTTCCCCATTGCTTGTTTTTGTCAGCTTTGTTGATGATCAGATCATCATCAATTTGTCACCTTATTTCTGGACTCTCTATTGTGTTCAATGGGTCTATTGACCTGTTTTTGTACCAGTACCGTGCTGTTTTGGATACTGTAGTCTTGTAGTATAGTTTGAAGTCAGGTAGCATATCTCCACCCTGCTCTTTTTGCTTATGATTGCTTTGGCTATTAAGGCTCTTTTTCAGTTCCATATGAATTTTAAAATAGTTATTTCTAGTTCTGTGAAGAATGTCACTTGCTGTTTCATAGGAATAGCACTGAATCTGTAAATTTCAATGGGCAGTATAGCCATTTTAGTGGTATTGATTCTTTCTACCCATAAACAAGAAATGTTTTTCCATTTGTTTCTCTGATTTCTTTGAGCAGTGTTTTGTAATTCTCACTGTAGAGATCTTTCACCTCCCTGGTTAGCTGTATTCCTAGGTATTTTATTCTTTTTGTGGCAACTGTGAATAAGATTACATTTCTGATTTGGCTCTCCATTTGGCTGTTGTTGGTGAGAGAAATGCTAGTAATTTTTGTACACTGATTATGTACCCTGCAACTTTGCTGAATTTATCATCTGAAAGAGCTTTTGAGCTGAGACTATGGGGTTTTCTATATATAGAATTATGTTGTCTGCAAGCAGAGGTAGTTTGACTTCCTTTCTTCCTAATTGGATGCCTTTATTTCTTTATTTTGCCTTACTACTGTGACTATAACTTCCAATACTATGGTGAATAGAAGTGGTGAGAGAGGGCACCCTTGTCTTAGGCAGTTTTCAAGGGAAATGGTCTCAGCTTCTGCCCATTAATTATAATGCTCACTGTGGATTTGTCATAGATGGCTCTTATTATTTTGAGCTATGTTTCTTTAATACTTAGTTTGTTGAGACCCTTCAACATGAAGAGATGTTGAATTTTATCAAAAGACTTTAATGGATCTATTGAGATAATCATACGGTTTTTGTCTTTAGATCTGTTTATGTGGTGAATCACATTTATTGATTTGCATATTTTGAACCAATGTTGCATCTAGGGAGTAAACCCTACTTGATCTTGGTAAATTCTCTCTTTTCTTTTTATGTGCTGCTGGATTCGGTTTTCAAGTATTTTGTTGAGGATTTTTGCATTGATGTTTATCAGGGATATTTTTCTGAGGTGTGTCTGTGTGTGTGTGTGTCCTTGCAAGGTTTTGGTATCAAGATGATGTTTGCCTCATAGAATGAGTTTGGGAGAAGTCCCTTCTCCTCCATTTTTTGGAATAGTTTTTGCAGGAGTAGTATTAGCTCTTCCTTGTACATCTGGTTGAATTAGGCTATGAATCTATCAGGTTCTGGGGTTGTTTTGATTGGCAGGCTATTTATTGCTGATTAGATTTTAGAGCTCTTTATTGGTCTCTTCAAGGAATAAGTTCTTTCCTACTTCATTCTTGAGAGAGTGTATGTGCCCATGAATGTATCCATTTCTACTAGATTTTCTAGTTTGTGACCAGAGGTTTTTGTAATATTTTCTGATGGTTGTTATTATTTCTGTGGGTTCAGTAGTAACATTTCCTGTCATTTCTAATTGTGTTTATTTGGACTTTCTCTCTTTTCTTCTCTATTAGTCTAGCCAGTGGCCTATCCATTTTATTAGTTTATTTTAAAAGACGAACTTCTGGAGTCATTGACTTTTTGGATGGTTTTTTGTGTCTCTCTTTTTGTCAGTGTAGCTCAAATTTTTATTTCTCATCTTCTGCTACCTTTGGGGATGATTTGTTCTTGCTTCTCTAATTCTTTTGGTTGTGAAGTTAGGTTGTTAATTTGAGATCTTTCTAACTTTCTAATGTGGGTATTTGGTGCTAAGAATTTCCCTCTTAACACTGCCTCAGCAGTGTCCCAAAGATTCTAGTATGTTGTATCTTTGTTCTCATTATTTCCAAAGAACTTCTTTATTTCTGCCTTAATTTCATTATTTATCCAAGTCATTCAGGAGCATGATGTTTAATTTCCATGTAATTGCATGTTTTTGAGCAATTTTGATAGTCTTTACTTCTATTTTTATTGCACTGTGATTCAAGAGTGTTTTTGGTAGAATTTTGTTTTACATTTGTTGAGGATTGTTTTATGTCCAATTATGTGGTCGATTTTAGAGAATGTGCCATGTGGCAATGAGAAGGATGTATATTCTGCTGCTTTTTAAAGGAGAATTCTGTAGAGGTCTATGAGATCCATTTGGTCCAATGTTGAGTTTAGGTCCTGAATTTTTTTTAATTTTCTGCCTTGATGATCTGTCTAATACTGTCAATGGAGGAGCCTATGTGTCTTTGAAGGTCTCTAAGAACTTGCTTTATGAATCTGGGTGTTTCTGTATTGGGAGCACATATATTTCTGATAGCTATTCTTGTTGAATTGAATCCTTTCTCATTATGTAATGCCCTTCTTTGTCTTTTTCATCTTTGTTGTTTTAAAGTCTGTTGTTCTGTCTGAAATTAGGATGGCAACCCCTGCTTTTTTTCTGTTTTCCATTTGATTGGTAGATTTTTATCCTCCCCTTATTTTGAGCCTATGAGTGTCATTACATGTCAGGTGGGTCTCTTGAAGACAGCTTACCATTAAGTCTTGCTTTGTTATCCAGCTTGTCAGTCTGTGCCTTTTAGGTGGGGTATTTAGACCATTTACATTCAAGTTAGTATTAATATATGTATATTTGATTCTGTCATTGGGCTCTTAGCTGATTTGTATGTTTGCTTCTTTGTGTGGTTGCTTTATACTGACACTGGTCTGTGTATGTAAGTGTGTTTTGTATTAGTTGGTAGTGGTCTTATATTATTTCTCCTTCACTTAGAAAACTTAGTTTGGCTGGATATGAAATTCTTGGTTGAAAAAAATTTTTTCTTAAAGAGTGTTAAATATAGGCCCCCAATCTCTTCTGGATTTTAGGGTTTCAGCTAAGAGGTCTGCCTTTAGGTCTGATGAGTTTTCCTTTGTAGGTTACCTGTCTTTCCTTTCTAGCTGCCTTTAGAATTTTTTTTTTTTAATTTTGACTTTGGAAAAATCTGATGATTATGTGACTTGCAGATGGTCTTCTTGTGTAGACTCTTGCAGGAATTGTCTGCATCTCCCGAATTTTATTGTTGGCCTCTCTAGCAAGATTGGGTAAGTTTTCATGGATGACATTCTGAAATATTGTTTCCAAGTTGTTTGCTTTCTTTCCCTCCCTTCCAGGCATATCGTTGATTCATAGATTTGGCCTCTTTACATAGTCACATACTACTCAGAGGTTTTGTTTATTCTTTTTTATTCTTTTTTCTTTTTTTCTGTCTTACCCTCTTATTTCAGAGAACCAGTTCTGACCAGAAAGAACCAGATCTTTAATTACTGGGATTCTTTTCTCAGCTTGGTTTATTAACCAGTTAATACTTGTGATTGCATTGTGAAATTTTTGTATTGTGTTATTCAGCTGTTTCAGACCTGTTAGGCTCTTTTTTTATACTAGCTATTTTGTCCTTCAGCTCCCATATTGCTTTGTTGTTATTTTTTAATTTTCCTTGGGTTGGGTTTTGCCATCCTCCTGGATCTCAATGATCTTTGTCCTTAACCATATACTGAATTATATTTCTGTCATTCCATCCAGTTCATCCTGGTTAGGAACTCCTGTTGGAGAACAGATGTGGTCATTTGGAGGACATATGACATTTAGGCCATTTCAGTTACCAGACTTCTTGCATTGGTCCTTACTCATCTCTGCATGTGGGTGTTCCTTTAACTGCAGTGTAGATTGATTACAGTCAATAGGCTTCTTTTCTGGATGTTTTCACCAGGCCAAGGTTGTATGCAGGGTCTTTATTTGAAACTAACTTCTTGTCTCTGGTTTTATAGGGGGGTATGTGAGTGAAGTAGTTTTGGTGTTGAAGCTCTGAGGTGTGATCCAGCAGGTGGCACTTAGGCTTATTAGCCAGTTGGTAGACTCTTACTCAAGTTGTCTGACTCTGCTGTTTCCTTACAGTTGCAACCATTTTCCCTCTCAATGCTCTGAAAGTGTGGATTCGTCTCCTTCTTGAATGTTGGCTATAGATTATGACTTGGGATTCCTGGGCTTCCCTCTGCAGTTCTAGGATGGTCTCAGTGTTTATGTTCTTTCCCTAACTTGGAGGCAGCAGAGGAAGGGATCTTAGTAGTGGTTGTGGCTGAGGGTTTTTTTGTCTCCTGGGGGCTCCTCCCCAGAGAGGTGCAGGTCAGCAATTGCTCAGTGCAATCATTCTAGGACAGAGGGTCTGTGTTATGGACCCAAGCCAGGGTTTCCCTCTCTTGTGATGAGCAGTGGAGTGTGTGCTAGACCCGTGGGGGATGAATTGTTCTTCTCTCCTGGGTCAATTGCAGCTTGTTGGAGGTGTGGATAAAGCACTAAGGATCTTTGCTCCTTAGTTAGTCTGGGGGTGGCAAGGGTAGTTTCATTGCAGAGGCAGTGACAGAGAGGTTTTCAACTACCCCTGGAGGAGGCTCTGTCCAGGGAGTTGTCAACTTGTTACTGGCTCAGTATGTCTGGCATGGGTTGGCTGAAGTCCCAAGCTTGGAGGATGCACCTGATGAGGAGATATGAGAGTGGGCACTCACGTAACTTTTTCATAGGGCTGCTGCAGCATGCTGGGGGCCTGCTTCAGTTTCTACTCACCTTGGATTTTGCAGTACCTGGAGGTATCACCAATGAAGACTGCAAAACAGTGAAGATGGAAGCCTGTCCATTCCTTTGAAAGCTACATCACAGGGAGGTACAGGCCTGTCACCAGCCCGAAGACACCTTTAGGAGGTGGCTTCAGACCCTGGTTGGGAGGTCTCACCCCGTGAGAAGGAACTGGATTGGGTACCCGCTTAAAAAAGCAGTCTGGCCACGTTTTGGTAGAGCAGCTGTGCTTTTCTGGGAGTCCTTCAGCCCATGGTCCATTCGGACGCTCCAAAACTCAAAGGCTAGAATAGCTAAGTGACCTAAAAAGCAAAAATGATGGCCTGTTCATCCTCTGGGAGCTTTATACTAGGGAGGTTACAAATCTCTGTAGGCTAGAAAACACTGGCAGGGGTGGCTGGAGGCCCCAGTTTTCAGGTCCACCCAGTTAAGAGGAATGGGATCAAGGACCCACTTGGAGAATCAATCTGGCCACGTTTTGGTGGAGCAGTTATACTGTGCTGGGAGCTCGTTTTTGCCTCTGGTTGCCTTGGACTCTCCAAAGCCCAAAGGCTAGAATGACTAAGTCACCCAAATAGCAAAGATGGTGGCTCACCCTTCTCTCTGGGAGCACTCTACCAGGAAGAATTCTACCCTTTTTTCACTGGAGAACATGGGCGAGTGTGGCTGGAAGCCTTGCTTGGGACATCTGTCCAGTGAGGAGGAGCAGGATCTGGTACCCACTTAAAGCAGCAGTCTGGTCACATGTTGATAGAGCAGCTGTGTTGTACTGGGGGATCCCTAACATCCCCAGTAGGCTCGGACTCTCCAAAGCCTGAAGGCTGAAAGGGCTAGGGTGCCCAAACGGTAAAGATGGAGGCCTGTGCCTAGCTTCAAGAGCTCCTTCTTAGGGAGATGCAATATCGCCATTGGTGGCTGGCTGGAATTTCAAGTCAATGGGTCTTATCTTGTGAGATGCCATGGAAGTGGGGCCTTCAGGCTGTCACTGCTCAGGCCCAAGGAGTAAGCCTCTTTTATAGGAGTATGTATGGGTGTCTAACCTCCCACTTTGCTGGAACTTTATTTGTTGGAAAGGCCAAGTATCTTAGGCTAGCTGTGCATGCATGAGTGGCTGCTCTGCTGAGACTCCTTTTAGCTCTGTTTCCCAGACTGAAGGCATGGGTGGAGTGGGTTTACAAAGAGACATCCTGACCCTAGAGTTGGAAAGATCCATGGAAGAAGCATGGTTTCCTGAAGTCGCACATTTACTCACTGCTTCCCTGGGTGGAGGATGTTCCCCTGGCCCTGTGTTGCTTCTGGATGGCCTGTTGTTTTGCCTTGCTTTTCTTCATTCTGTGTGGGTCAAGTTGTTTCCTTGATTAGTCCCAATGTGAGTACCCGAATGTCTCAGATGAAGGTGATGTATTTACTCACTCTTTCCGTTCCTCTCCATGAAAGCCACATACAGTAGCCACTTATAGTTGGCCATCTTGGCCACTCTTCTCGAAACCAATTGTTTATTTTTTATTTTTTAAATTTTACTTTAAGTTCTGGGACACAAGTGCAGAACATGTAGGTTTGTTACATAGGTATGCCATGGTGGCTTACTGCACCTATCAACCCGTCATCTAGGTTTTAAGCCCTGCGCGCATTAGCTATTTGTCCTAATACTCTCCCTCCCCTCACCCCCTATTTCTCCACTGGCCCCAGTGTGTGTTGCTCCCCACTCTGTGTCCGTGTGTTCTCATTGTTTAACTCCCACTTGTGAGTGAGGTGAGAACATATGGTGTTTGGTTTTCTGTTTCTGTGTTAGCTTGCTGAGAATGATGGCTTCCAGCTTCATCCATGTTTTTGCAAAGGACATAATATTATTTCTTTTCATGGCTGCATAGTATTCCATGGTGTATATGTACCAGATTTTCTTTAACCAGTCTATCATTGATGGGCATTTGAGTTGGTTCAGTGCCTTCACTATTGTAATTTGTGTTTCAATAAACATACATGTGCATGTGTCTTTATAGTAGAACGATTTATATTCCTCTGGGTATATACCCAGTAATGGGATTGCTAGTTCAAATGGTATTTCTGGTTCTAGATCCTTGAGGAATTGCCACACTGTCTTTCACAGTGGTTGAACTAATTTACATTCTCACCAACAGTGTAAAAGCATTCCTATTTCTTCACAGTCTCGCCAGAATCTCTTGTTTCTTTACTTTTTAAATAATTGTCATTCTTAGTGGCATGAGATGGTATCTCATTGTGGTTTTGATTTGCTGTAATGATCAGTGATGTCAAGATTTTTTTGATATGTTTGTTGGGCACATAAATGTCTTCTTTTAAGAAGTTTCTGTTCATATCCCTGGCCCACTTTTTGATGGAATTATTTGTTTTTGTCTTGTAAACTTGTTTAAGTTCCTTGTAGATGCTGGATATTAGACCTTTGCCAGATGGGTAGATTGCAAAAATTTTCTCCCATTCTGTAGGATGCCTGTTCACTCTGATTATAGTTGTTTTTTCCTGTTCAGAAGCTCTTTAGTTTAATTATATCCCATTTGTCAATTTTGGCTTTTGTTGCAATTGCTTTTGGTGTTTTCCTCATGAAGTCTGCCCATGCCTATACCCTGAATGGTATTGCCTAGGTTTTCTTCTAGGGTTTTTGTGGTTTTGGGTTTTATATTTAAGTCTTTAATTTATCTTGAGTTGATTTTTGTATAAAGTTTATGGAAGGGGTCCAGTTTCAGTTTTCTGCATATGGCTAGCCAGTTTTCCCAGCACCATTTATTAAATAGGGAATTCTTTCCCCATTGCTTGTTTTTGTATGGTTTGTCAAAACCATACAAATAATTGTAATCTATTATTTTAGGGGTGTGGTGTTATTTCTGAGGCCTCTGTTCCGTTCCATTGGCCTATATGTCTGTTTTGGTACCGGTACCATGCTGTTTTGGTTACTGTAGACTTGTAGTACAGTTTGAAGTCAGGTAGCGTGATGCCTCCAGCTTTGTTCTTTTTGCTTAGGATTGACTTGGCTCTACAGGCTCTTTTTTGGTTCCATGTGAAATTTAAAGTAGTTTTCTTTCTAATTCTATGAAGAATGTCAATGACAGTTTGATGAGAATAGCATTGAATCTATAAATTACTTTGAGCAGTATGGCCATTTTCATGACATTGATTCTTCCTATTCATGAGGATGGAATGTTTTCTTATTTGTTTGTGTCCTCTCTTTTTCACTTGAGCAGTGGTTTGTAGTTAACCTTGAAGAGGTCCTTCACATCCCTTGTTAGCTGTATTTCTAGGTATTTTATTTTCTTTGTAGCAATTGTGAATAGGAGTTCATTTATGATTTGGCTCTCTGTTTTTCTGTTGTTGATGTATAAGAATTCTTGTGGCTTTTGCACATTGATTTTGTATCCTGACATTTGGCTTAGGTTGCTTATCAGCTTAAGGAGTTTTTGGGCTGGGACGATGGGGCTTTCTAAATATAGAATTGTGTCATCTGCAAACAGAGACAATTTGATTTCCTGTCTTCCTCTTTGAATACCCTTAATTTCTTTCTCTTGCCTGATTATCCTACCCAGAACCTTCAATACTATGTTGAATAGAAGTGGTTAGAGAGGGCATCCTTGCGTTGTGCTGGTTTTCGGAGGGAATGCTTTCAGCTTTTGCCCATTCAGTATGATATTGGCTGTGGGTTTGTCATAGATAGCTCTTATTATTATGAGATATGCTTCATCAATACCTAGTTTATTGAGAGTTTTTAACATGAATTGATGTTAAATTTTATCAAAGGCCTTTTCTGCATCTACTGAGATAATCATGTGGTTTTTGTCATTGCTTCTGTTTTTGTGATGGATTGCGTTTATTGATTTGCATATGTTAATCCAGCCTCATATCCCTGAGATGGAGCCGACTTCACCGTGGTGGATCAGCTTTTTGATATGCTATATGGTTTGCCAGTATTTTATTCAGGATTTTCTCATCTATGTTCATCAGGAATATTGGACTGAAGTTTTTGTTGTTATTGTGTCTCTGCCAGGTTTTGGTATCAGGATGATGCTGGCCTCATAAGATGAGTTAGAAAGGAGTCTCTCCTTTTCATTTGTTTGGAAGAGTTCCAGAAGGAATGGTGCCGGCTGCTCTTTTTATCTCTGGAAGAAGTCGGCTGTGAAGCTGTCTGGTCCTCGGCTTTTTTTTGGTTGGTAGGCTATTCATCACTTCTTCAGTTTCAGAACTTGTTATTGGTCTATTCATGGATTCGAATTCTTCCTGGCTCAGTCTTGGGAGGGTGTATGTGTCCAGTACTTTATTCATTTTTCCCAGATTTTCTAATTTATTTGCATAGAGGTGTTTATAGTATTTTTTGTTGCTTGTGCTTTGGGCTCATATCCAAAAAGTTATTGTTCAGAGCCACATAATGGAGCTTTTCTCCTGTATTTCCTTCTAGTATTAACACAGTTTCAGATCTTCCATCTAAGTTTTTAATTCGTTTTGAGTTAAATTTTATATAAAATATAAAATAAAGGCCCAATTTCATTTAATGCATGAATTTTTTTCTGGGTTCTCTTGTTCCATTAGCACATGTGTTTGTATTTATGCTGTTCTGATTATTATAGTTTTCTCCTAGAGTTTGAAAAAAGACAATGTGATACCTCCAGCTTTGTTCTATTTGCTCCATCTAGATTTCCTGACTATTTGGGGCCTTTTGTGGCTATACATGACATTTGGGATTTAGTTTTCTATTTCTGTGAAAACTGTAATTGAAGTTTGATGGAAATTACACTGATTCTGTAGATCACGTTGATAGTATGTACTTTTAACAATATTAATTCATTCAAACAATGAACACGATATTTTCATATTTATTTGTGTTTTCTTCCATTTCTTTCATTAATGTTTTATTGTTTTCATCATACAGCTCTTTTATCTCCTTGGAGGGAATGTCCTGTTTATTTCTTTTCTGGATAGGTTCTTGTAAGTCTGTAAACATGCTACGTTTTTCTTTATTTTTTTAATTTTTATTTTTGTGGGTGTATACATTTATGGGGTACATGAGCTATTTTGATACAGGCATGCAGTGTGAAATAATGATATCATGGAGAATGAGGTATCCATCCTCTCAAGTATTTATCCTTTGTGTTGCAAGCAATCGAATTATACTTTTTCATTATTTTAAAATGTACAGTTAAGTTATTATTGACTATAGTCACCCTGTTCTGCTTTCAAATAGTAGGTCTTATTCATTCATTCTATTTTTATTTTTTATAGCCATTAACCATCTCCATCTCCGTCTTCCTCCCCTTTACCCTTTCCATCTTCTGGTAACTATCCTTCCTTTCTTTATGTTGATGATTTAAATTGTTATGATATTTAGATGCCACAAATAAGTGAGAACATGCAATTTTTGTCTTTTGGTGCTGGCTTATTTCACTTAATGATCTCTAGTTCCATCCACTTTGTTGCAAATGACAGAACATCACTCTTTTTTATGGCTAAATAGTACACCATTATGTACATGTGTGCGATTTTGTTTATCCATTTATCTCTTCATGAACACTTAAGTTGCTTACAAATCTTTGCTATTGTGAACAGTGCTACAACAACAAACATGGGAACACAGATATCTCTTGGATATACCAATATTCTTTCTTTTGGGTATATACCCAGCAATGGGATTGTTTGATCATATGGTAGCTCAATTTTTCTCATTTTGAGGAACCTCCACACTGTTCTTTGTAGTGATTTTACTAATTTACCTTCCCACCAACAGTGTTTCAGGGTTCTTTCTTTCCCACATTTTCATAAGCATTTGCTATTGCTTGTCATTTGACTATAAGCCATTTCAACGGGGGTGAGAAGTTTTCTCATTGTAGTTTTGATTTGCATTTCTCTGAAGATTAATGATGTTGAGCACCTTTTTATGTACCTGTTGGCCATTGTATGTCTTCTTTTGAAAATTTCTATTCAATTATTTTACCCACTTTTTGATCAGATTGTCAGATTTGTTATAGAGTTTTTTGAGCTCCTTATGTATTCTGGTTATTAACTTTTTGTCAGACGGGTGGTTTGTAAATATTTTCTTTCATTCGGTTTGTTGCATCTTTGTTGACTGTTTCCTTTGTTATACATAAGTTTTTTAACTTCTTATTATTCCACTTGTCCATTTTTGCTTTGTTTGCCTGTGCTTGTTGGGTATTAATCAAGAATTTTTTTGCCTAGACCAATGTCCTGGAGAGTACCTCCACAAAGTTTTCTTGTAATAGTTTCACAGTTTAAGGTCTTAAATTTAAGTCTTTATTTTGATTTCATTTTTGTACATGGCAAGAAGTGAGTATCTATTTTGATTCTTATGAATACGAACTTTCAATTTTTTCAGCACCATTTATTGAAGGCACTGTCTTTTTCTCAGTATATGTTCTTGGACTATTTGTCAAAAATGACTTCACTTTGGGTATGTGGATTTGTTTCTGGGTTGTTATTCTTTTCCTATGAACTATGTGTCTGTTTTTATGCCAGTAACAACCATGCTTCTTTTGCTACTATAGATCTGTAGTATAATTTGAAGTCAGGTTATGTGATTTCTCCAGTTTTGTTCTTTTTGCTTAGAATAACTTTGGCTATTGGGGGTCTTCTTTGGTTTCAGATAAATTTTAGAATTTTTTTTTTGTTTCTGTGAAAAATGTCATTGGTATTTTGATAGAGATTGCATTGAATCAGCATATTGCTTTGGGCAGTATGGACATTTTACCAATATTCATTCTTTCAATCCACGAACATGGAATATCTTTTCTTTTTGTGTCTTCTTCAATTCTCTTTATCAATGTTTTGTAGTTTTTATTGTAGAGAAATTTCACTTGTTTGGTTATGTTAATTCCTAGGTATTTAATTTTATTTGTGGTTACTGTAAATCAAATTATCTTTTTTATTGCTTTTCCAGATTGTTCACTGTTGGCATATAGAAATGCTATAGATTCTTTGTGTTTTACAACTTTCCTGAATTTATCAGTTCTAATAGGTTCTTGGTGGATTCTCTACATTTTTTGAAATATAAGGTCTTATCTTCTGCAAGCAAGGATAATTTGACTTCTTGCATCTCAATTTGGATAACCTTTATTTTATTCTCTTGTCTGATTTCTCTGGGTAAGACTTACAGTACTATGTTTAATAACAGTGGTGAAAGTTTTTTGTCATGTCCCAGATCTAAAAGGAAATGCTTTCAGGTTTTTTTTATTTTATTCTGTATGATAGTAGCTGTAGTTCTGTCACATATGGCCTTTATTAGGTTGAGGTATGTTCCTTCTATACCCACTTTATTAAGGGTTTTTTTAAATGAAGGGATGTTGATCTTTATCAAATATTTTTTCAACATTAATTTAAATTATCATATTCTGCTGATATGATGTATCACTCTAATTGATTTGCATATGTTGAACCATATTTGCATCCCAGGCATAAATCTCACTTGGTCTTGATGAACGATTTTTTAATGTGTAGTTGAATTTGAATTTGTATAATCTTGTGAATTTTTTCATCAATATTTATCAGATATATTGGCATGTAATTTTTTTTTCTTCATGTGTCTTTGTCTGGTGTTAGAGTTACGCTAGTCTTGTAGAATTAGTTTGAAAGTATTCCCTTTTTTTCTATTTTTCAGAATAGTTTAAGTAATGTTGGTATTAGTTTTTCTTGAAATGTCTGATAGAATTGAGCATTGAAGCCATTGGTTCCTGGTCCTTCCTTTTCTAAAAGACTTTATTATGGCTTTGATTTTATTATTTGTCATTCATCTGTCTATGTTTTAATTTTTTTAATTCAATCTTTGTAGGGTGTATGTGTCTGGGAATTTGTACATTTCTTTTATATTTTCTAATTTATTGAAATATAGTTGCTCATAGTACCACTAATAGCTATTCGAATTACTCTTGTATCCCCTGCAATGTTTCCTTTTCCATCTCCGATTTTGTTTATTTTGGTCTTCTCTTTTTTCTTAGTTATTCTGGCTAAAGGTTTGTCAATTTTATCTTTTCAAAAAACCAACTGTTTGTTTCATTGATCTTTTGTATTGGTTCCTTTATTTCAATTCTATTTATTTATATACTGATTCTTTTTCTTTTCTTCTATTAATTTTAGGTTTGTTTTCTCTTTCTTTTCTAGTATTTGAGATGCATCAATAGCTTATTAATTTGAAGTTTTTCATTTTTTTATGTGGGCACTTACAGCAATACATTTCCCTCTTGTACTGCTTTTACTGTATATCTAGGATTTGATACGTTGTGTTTCAATCAGCATTTGCTTCAAGAAGTTTTCAATTATGTTTTTAATTCCGTCGTGAACCCTCTGGTCATTCAGGAGCATGTTATTTAATGTCCATGTGCCTGTATAGTTTCCAAAATTTTTCTTGTTAATGATTTCTAGTTTTCTTCCATTGTGGTCATAAAATAACTTGACATTATTTCAATTTTTGAATGTTTTATTACTTGTTTTGTGACCTAATATAGAATCTATCCTTGAAAATGTTCCATGGGCTGAGAAGGATGTGTATTCTGGAGCCACTAGATAAATTTTTCTGTACATGTCTATTAGATCTATTTGATCTATAGTGTGGATTAAATCCAATGTTTCTTTGTTGATTTTCTATTTGGGAGATCTGTTCAATGCAGAAAATGTGGTGTTGAAGTTTTCAGCTATTATTGTATTGGAGTCTATCTTTCTTTCTAGCTCTAATAAAATTTTCTTTATATATCTGGGTGCTCCACTATTAGGTGTATATATAATTAATTACAGTCATTATATTTTCTTGCTGAATTTGTCACCTTTATTATTATATAAGGACTTTCTTTGTTTTCTATTATAGTTTCTTCTTGAAATCTATTTTGTCTAATGTAAGTGTAGCTACTCCTGCTCTGTTTTGATTTTCATTGACATGGAGTATCTTTTTTCATCACTTTATATTTTATTTATGTGTATCTTTATAGGTGTAATGTATTTCTGGTAGGCGAGAGATCACCGGGTCTTGGTTTTTCATCTATTCATTCACTCTATGTCTTTTTATTGGAGAATTTCATCTATTTACATTCAACTTTTTTCTTTTCTTTTTTTTTTTTTTTTTTTTGAGACGGAGTCTTACTCTGTTGCTCAGGCTGGAGTGCAATGGTGTGATTATTGCTCACTGCAACCTCTGTCTCCTGGGTTCAGCCTCCCGAGTAGCTGGGATTACAGGCACCTGCCATCATGCCATCATGCCCGGCTAATTTTTGTATTTTTGCAGAGACGGGGTTTCACCATGTTCGCCAGGATGGTCTTGAACTCCTGACCTCAGGTGATTCGCCTGCCTCTGTCTCCCAAAGTGCTGGGATTATAGGCATGAGCCATTGCGTCCAGCATCAATGTTATTTTTGATAAGTAGGCAACTATTCCTGTAATTTTGTAGTTTGTTTTCTGGTTGTTTTGTTGTCTTCTCTTTCTGATTTTTTTCCTTATTATCTTCTTCTTAGTGAAAGTAATTTTTTCTGGTGCTTTGATTCAATTTATTGGTTTTTATTTTCGTGAGTCTGTTGCATGTTTTTAAATTTGAGGTTACCATGCTGCTAGCAAATGCTATCTTATAAATCATTATTTTAAACTGATAACAACTTAATACAGATTGCATATACAAGCAAACAAACATGCAAAAAAGGTGATAAAAAGTCGACACTTTATCTTTTTCTCTTCATGTTTTAATTTTTTGTTGTTTCTATGTCTTATTTTATTGTTTATATATTAAAACATTGTTTTAGTTATTATTTGTGATAGGTTCATCATTTAGTCTTTCTACTTAAGACAAAACTAGTTTACACAGCACCACTACAGTGCTATATTTTCCTGTGTACTTACTGTTACCACTGAGTATGGTCCCTTTTGGTGATTTCTTCTTGCTCATTAACATCCTTTTCTTTCTGTTTGAAGAATTCTCTTTAGCATTTCTTGTAGAACAGGTTAGGTGTTGATTAATGCTTGAAGGTGTTCTTAATGCTTGAAGGATATTTTCACCAGATATACTATTACGGAGTAAAATGTCTTTACATTTTCAGCACTTTAAATATGTCATAACACTCTATTCTGACTTGTAAAATTTCCACTAAAATGTCTGCTCCACTGATGTATTGAAGCTTCATTTTATGTTGCTTCTTTTATCTTGCTGCTTTTAGGATTATTTCTTCATCCTTGACCTATAAGGTTTAAATATGAAATGCCTAGAGATAGCCTTCTTTGGGTTAAATACACTTGGTTTTCTATAACCTTCTCATAGTTGAAGGTTGATATCTTTCTCCAGTTTTGGGAAGTTCCCTTATTTCTTTGAATAAACTTTATACTTCTTTCTCTCTCTCTACCTCCTAATTAAGGCCAATAACTCTAAGATTTACCCTATGGAAGCTATTTTCTACATCTTTTAGGTGCAGAAAACTGTTTTTTATTCTTTTTTTGTCTCCTCTGACTGTATTTTCAAATATTCTGACATCAAGTTCACTAACCCTTTCCTCTGTTTTATCAATTCTGCCATGAAGAGACTGATACATTCTTCATTATGTCAATTGCATTTTTAACTCTAGAATTTCTGCTTGATTCTTTTTGATTATTTTAATCTCTCTGTTAGATTTATCTGTTATAATTCAAATTATTCCTCTGTTTTATGTTGAATTTCTTTGGGTTTCAACAAAATAGCTGTTTTGAATTTTCTGGCTGAAAGGTACTATATCTCTGTTTCTCCTTGATTGGTCCCTGATGTCTTACGTAGTTCATTTGATGAGGTCATATTTTCCTGGATGGTGTTGATCCTTATAGATGTTTCTTGGTGTCTGAGAATTGAATAGTTAAGTATTTTTTTGTAGAGTTCAGTCAGAGCTTGTTTTTCTTAGAAAGATTTTTTTCATGTATTTAGAGACTTTGGCCTCAAACCCAATAATGCTCTTGTATTTTGCAGAATCATAAAAGTACCACCTTAGTACCCCTATCACCAGTGGGACTGCACTAGGTCAGACTTGAAGCCAGCACAGCACTAGATCTTGCCCATGGTCTTTCCCTTCAGAGTGATAATTTTTCTCTGGCCCTGCGTATGTTCAGAGATGTTTTCTGGGAGCCAGGGCTTGGAGTCAAAAACTTTACAAGTTTACCTGATGCTCTATTCTATGATGACTAAGGTGGCACTCACACCACAATACAAAGTTCTTCCCACTTTTCCTTTCCTTTTCCACAGCCAGATGAGAATCTCTTGGTGGCCACCATGACCACTGGTTTATGTGGTTTTTCCAGGCCTTCACTGGTGCTCACTTAAAGCTCAAGGTTTTCCATCAGCTTGTGATAAATACTGCCAGGCCTAGGACCCACCTTCAGGGCAGTGGAATGCCTTCTGACTTAGGGAAAATCCATAAACGCTGTCCAAGAGTCCAGGCCTGAGGCTGCTTGTTGTTCTACCTACCGTTGTCTATCTGGTATCTAAGGTGGAAGACGAAGTTTTCTTTATATTTTCCTCTGCTTTTCTCACATGGAAGGCATCTTTTACCATTACTATCACAGTTGGGAATGTGTAAGAACACCCCTAAAGCCAGCACATCTCAGAGCTCAAAGCCCATGAACTGTGCCTGAACGGATATCTAACATGCAAGACATAGTCATCTTTACTCTTCACTCTCCTCTCCTTAAGCAGAAGGAAGAAGTCACTTTTACTGCTGCAAGATGCACTGCCTGGGATTGTGGGAGAGGTGGCACAAGCACCTTCTTAGCTGTGCCAGCTGGTGTGACCCTAGGTCAGGTTTCACCCTAATCCACTAGCTCTAATCCCAGCCGAGGACTAGGAGTTGCCTAGGAATGACAGTCTATGTGTCCTAGACTGCCTTTCAAGTTTAATTAGGACCTCAGAGAACTTCAGCCTGCATTGGCTAAGGTTGCTGAGAAACTTAAGCTCTGACTACTAGTGTGGGCAATTTTTCTCTGATTATGTCTTGTCCAAATGTTTCCTCTGTGCACAAGTGACTGAATCCAGCATGTCTGTATTCCCCACTGTGACAAGGCACCACTGAGTTCAATGTAAGACCCCCCCCATCACCAAGTTCTCTCTCTCCAGAATGCACAGATTCTCTTTCTGTGCCACATGGCCGCTGCTGAGGGATGGAGGAGGGGTGACATTGGCAATTAAAGACTGTCTGTCCTGTCCTCCTTCATGCCTTTTTTAGCAATATGAAGTTAAAACCAGGTACTGTGATTACTCACCTAATTTTTGGTTCTTGTAATGGTGCTTTTCTTGTGGTCAGAGAGTTGTTAAGATTTAATTTTCCAGCATGGGAGACAAATGGTGTAGGCTTTTATTCCATATTTCTATACTCTCACAATTTTGCTTTAAAGAATAGATAAATGGGATATTCGTTGAAAATAAATTATAATCATTGAAAATAAATAACTAACCTGCACAATGTGCACATGTACCCTAAAACTTAAAGTATAATAATAAAAATAAATAAATAAATAAATAAATAAATAAATAAATAAATAATGGCAAAAAAAAGAGTTATTTTCAAACATGGGCTAAATAAAAACATGACTCTACACAAATAGATAAATAGAACAAAATAGTGTACATAAATTCTTTCCTTTGAGAGAAGGAAAGAAATTCCTATAGCAACAATTTTGAGTCCATGATAAGGCATGGAATCTAGTTCATACATGGAGGTATTTGCCTCATGTAGGTGTATGAACACTTAATCTCTAGAAATTTAAGAGACCATGTTTGAGTATAGGTAATGGAAAATGGGTAGATGTGGTACTGTAAGCTTGTGGAAATGAGGCACTTATTAATTCTATTTTTTGTGGAAATGGAAAGATACGAAGAAAAAGAAGAAAAACATTAGGGAAAAGTGGAAGTGAAGCTGAGATGTTGGCAGACTGAGGAGAGAGAAGAAAATGTGGAAAAAATGTCTAAGAAAGGCAGAGTAATTAGATATTAGAAATATATTATGATTTATGGCCAGATTTAGTAGACATACATAGGGTTACTTGTTATAAATTGAGGGTAAGAAAAGTTGACATATTCTGTGTTTTATTTCCAACCACATTTATTTGTGTGGATGAAGGCTGGAAGCAGCCAGAAAGTGTTGTTTTTAAATAGGGTTGTTATTTTACCAAATGTATTATGAAGTGAAAAAGAAGAAAATATCTGGATAGAACGGTGAGGATAAAGAGAGATGATTTTGATTGAAAATTTTTATCAATTATAAGCTCAAGAGGATGTGACTAATTGCATGAGTTTAGATATGAGAAGAGTAATCTGGAAAAAGAGCAAATGGGGTATTTAAAATGAAATGCAGAAAATTCTGGATGGGTTTCTTCCAATTGTGATGACAAAGTCTAGGATGTGAGTATGGAAATGAATGGCTAAAAGAGGTTGGAAGAACCAGTATTGGAGAAGAGGAGATTCAGCAGTTAAAAAGACAGTGTCATAGAAGAATCACCTATGTGAAAAAATGTCAGTTAAAAATTTGTAAAAGGAGAAATGTCGGAGGAATAATGAATCCAATTGTAAAATTTTTTTATGAGTAAGAAAGAATCAAATATTTGGCTTATAGATAACTGAAATTGGCAGGGATAAGGATGTCAAATAAGTTGCTGAATATACATTTCCAGACTCAGAGAACAAGAGTTTCCCGGTGACTGGAGATATAAATGTGTAATTTATTGTGTTTAGGTGATGATTGAAGCAGAGAATATGTGTAAACTTCTTTAGAGAGAGAGAGTATAGAATGAGAAAAGAACTGATCCTTGAGGATTCAAAATAAAATGGGTGGTACAAACAGTGTACTGTTGTGAAAGAAAAAAATAAGAAGATAAATGTGTCACGAAGTAAAAAATATAATTTTCTTAGGAAGGAGAGAATATTCAAAATTCTATAATTATTCTAAAAATACAAGTAAAAATACTGCATAGAACTTATTAAATTTAGTGACTTAGAGATTAGTGATAATATTAACAAAAGCTACTGTGTGCTAGCACAGTTACAGAAGACATTAGGGTGGAAACAGTAGTTAGTATGACTTGAGATTATTGTGTCAGTTAGTAAAAACGACAGTTAGAACATTTTAAGAGAATATAAGAGTAATAAAATTAAAAAGCAAGGTTCAATTATAATTGGTTTAAAGGTAGAGATTTGAACATACTTAACAGGTAATGGGAGAATATTCAGATGAGAGAGCCAAGCCAAAGTGAAAAGAAATAGAAGGCTAAAGGGGAAATAAGTCAAAGTACTATGTTGTTGTAAAGAGTTAGTTTAAGAAGGAGGAACAGCTACTCTATTGTATCATGAAAAACAGAGGACTAGAACATACATAAATGCAGACAAGTGCAAGTGGTGTAGAAGGGAAGCACAGATATTAGAGCAGAAAGATTGCAATAGTAGTTATGAGAGAAAAAAAGTAGCATTGCAGAACAAAGTTGAGGACCACTATCTGACATTGGTGATTACAAATTTCTAACATAACTAAATTGCCCGATTTGGAAAGGTTTTCTCAGCAACCTTAGTTGCCCAAGTGGTGGGATAAAAAAATAATAAGTGGGGGTATCATTCAAGGCTTTGGCTTAGACATATTAGTTTTTAAAAAAAATAAAAAGAGGCAAAGGAATATAAAAAAATAGAACGAGGTGAGGAGTACCAGAAAGGTTATTACTACAATAATAGACTGGAATATAAAGTAGATGAAGAGTGAAATAAATACAAAAATAATTTAGTGGAAAGGGAGAATATAAGTGACTTAACGGTGTGTACATATATCTGGGGTGAATGGAGAGTAGTGAGAGTAGTTGCACAGATGAGCTAAAGGGAAACAAAGTAGTGGATACAGAGTGATGTGTTAGAATTCATTATTTGTGAGGTTATGGGTGATGGTGAGATTAAAATGCTACTTTGAAGGAGGCAAAGCAAGATGACTAAATAGAAGTCTTCACCAATTATCCTCTCCACAGAAACACCAAATTCAATAACTATCCACACAAAAAAGCACTTTCATAAGAACAAAAACCAGGTGAATTATCACACTACCAGGATTTAGCTTCTTATTACAGAAGAGGCAATGAAGAAGGTATAAAGGACAGTCTTGAATTACCAATGCCAACACTCCCCCATTACCCAACAGGCATGAAAAGAGACATCTGGCTTAAAAAATGGCGCACCAGGAGATTATATCCCGCACATGGCTTGGAGGGTCCTACACGCACGGAGTCTCACTGGTTGCTAGCACAGCAGTCTAAGATCAAACTGCAAGGTGGCAGCAAGGCTGGGGGAGGGGCGCCCGCCATTGCCCAGGCTTGCTTAGGTAAACAAAGCAGCCAGGAAGCTTGAACTGGGTGGAGCCCACCACAGCTCAAGGAGGCCTGCCTGCCTCTGTAGGCTTCACCTCTGGGGGCAGGGCACAGACAAACAAAAAGAAAGCAGTAACCTCTGCAGAATTAAATGTCCCTGTATGACAGCTTTGAAGAGAGCAGTGGTTCTCCCAGCACGCAGCTGGAGATCTCAGAACGAGCAGACTGCCTCCTCATGTGGGTCTCTGACCCCTGACCCCTGAGCAACCTAACTGGGAGGCACCCCCAAGTAGGGGAAGACTGACACCTCACACAGCTGGGTACTCGTCTGAGACAAAACTTCCAGAGGAACCATCAGACAGCAGCATTCGCGGTTCATGAAAATCTGCTGTTCTGCAGCCACCGCTGCCGGTACCCAGGCAAACAGGGTCTGGAGTCGACCACTAGCAAACTCCAACAGACCTGCAGCTGAGGGTCCTGTCTATTAGAAGGAAAACTAACAAACACAAAGGACATCCACAACAAAAACCCATCTGTACATCAACATCATCAAAGACCAAAAGTAGATAAAACCAGAAAGATGGGGAAAAAACAGAGCAGAAAAACTGGAAACTCTAAAAAGCAGAGCACCTCTCCTCCTCCAAAGGAACGCAGCTAATCACCAGCAATGGAACAAAGGTTGATGGAGAATGACTTTGACGAGTTGAGAGAAGAAGGCTTCACACGATCAAACTACTCTGAGCTACAGGAGGAAATTCAAACGAAGGCAAAGAAGTTGAAAACTTTGAAACAAATTTAGACGAATGTATAACTAGAATAACCAATAGAGAGAAGTGCTTAAAGGAACTGATGGAGCTGAAAGCCAAGGCTCGAGAACTACGTGAAGAATGCAGAAGCCTCAGGAGCCGATGCAATCAACTGGAAGAAAGGGTATCAGTGATGGAAGATGAAATGAATGAAATGAAGTGAGAAGGGAACTTTAGAGAAAAAAAGAATAAAAAGAAACGAGCAAAGCCTCCAAGAAATATGGGACTATGTGAAAAGAACAAATCTGTGTCTGATTGGTGTACCTGAAAGTAATGGGGAGAATGGAACCAAGTTAGAAAACACTCTGCAGGATATTATCCAGGAGAACTTCCCCAATCTAGCAATGCAGGCCAACATTCAGATTCAGGAAATACAGAGAACGCCACAAAGATACTCCTCGAGAAGAGCAACTCCAAGAAACATAATTGTCAGATTCACCAAAGTTGAAATGAAGGAAAAAATGTTAAGGGCAGCCAGAGAGAAAGGTCAGGTTACCCACAAAAGGAAGACCATCAGACTAACAGCAGATCTCTCAGCAGAAACTCTACAAGCCAGAAGAGAGTGGGGGCCAATATTCAACATTCTTAAAGAAAAGAATTTTCAACCCCAAATTTCATATCCAGCCAAACTAAGCTTCATAAGTGAAGGAGAAATAAAATACTTTACAGACAAGCAAATGCTGAGAGATTTTGTCACCACCAAGCCTGCCCTAAAAGAGCTCCTGAAGGAAGCACTAAACATGGAAAAGAACAACTGGTACCAGCCACTGCAAAATCATGACAAATTGTAAAGACCATTGAGGCTAGGAAGAAACTACATCAACTAACGAGCAAAATAACCAGCTACCATCATAATGACAAGATCAAATTCACACATAACAATACTAACTTTAAATGTAAATGGACTAAATTCTCCAATTAAAAGACACAGACTGGCAAATTGGATAAAGAGTCAAGACCTATCAGTGTTCTGTATTCAGGAAATCTGTC
Organism: Homo sapiens; assembly: GCF_000001405.40. Taxonomy (NCBI): domain Eukaryota; kingdom Metazoa; phylum Chordata; class Mammalia; order Primates; family Hominidae; genus Homo; species Homo sapiens. Next base: position 76,600,989 of record NC_000023.11, on the reverse strand, counting down.
TCATGTTCAGAGACAAACATAGACTCAAAATAAAAGGATGGAGGAAGATCTACCAAGCAAATGGAAAACAAAAACAGGCAGGGGTTGCAATCCTAGTCTCAGATAAAACAGACTTTAAACCAAAAAAGATCAAAAGAGACAAAGAAGTCCATTACATAATGGTAAAGGGATCAATTCACCAAGAAGAGCTAACTATCCTAAATATATATGCACACAATACAGGAGCACCCAGATTCATAAAGCAAGTCCTCAGTGACCTACAAAGAAACTTAGACTCCCACACAATAATAATGGGAGACTTTAACACCCCACTGTCAACATTAGACAGATCAATGAGACAGAAAGTTAACAAGGATACCCAGGAATTGAACTCAGCTCTGCACCAAGCAGACCTAATAGAAATCTACAGAACTCTCCACCACAAATCAATAGAATATACATATTTTTCAGCACCACACCACACCTATTCCAAAATTGACCACATCGTTGGAAGTAAAGCACTCCTCAGCATATATAAAAGAACAGAAATTATAACAAACTGTCCCTCAGACCACAGTGCAATCAAACTAGAACTCAGGATTAAGAAACTCACTCAAAATCACTCAACTACATGGAAACTGAACAACCTGCTCCTGAATGACTACTGGGTACATAATGAAATGAAAGTAGAAATAAAGATGTTCTTTGAAACCATCGAGAACAAAGACACAACATACCAGAATCTCTGGGACACATTCAAAGCAGTGTGTAGAGGGAAACTGATAGCACTAAATGCCCACAAGAGAAAGCAGGAAAGATCCAAAATTGACAACCTAACATCACAATTAAAAGAACTAGAAAAGCAAGAGCAAACACATTCAAAAGCTATCAGAAGGCAAGAAATAACTAAAATCAGAACAGAACTGAAGGAAATAGAAACACAAAAAACCCTTCAAAAAATTAATGAATCCAGGAGCTGTTTTTTTGAAAGGATCAACAAAATTGATAGACCGCTAGCAAGACTAATAAAGAAGAGAGAAGAATCAAACAGATGCAATAAAAAATGTTAAAGGGGATATCACCACCAATCCCACAGAAATACAAACTACCATCAGAGAATACTACAAACACCTCTACACAAATAAACTAGAAAATCTAGAAGAAATGGATAAATTCCTCGCCACATACACCCTCCCAAGACTAAACCAGGAAGAAGTTGACTTTCTGAATAGATCAATAACAGGATCTGAAATTGTGGCAATAATCAATAGCTTACCAACCAAACAGAGTCCAGGACCAGATGGATTCAAAGATGAATTCTACCAGAGGTACAAGGAGGAACTGGAACCATTCCTTCTGAAACTATTCCAATCAATAGAAAAAGAGGGTATCCTCCCTAACTCCTTTTATGAGGCCAGCATCATCCTGATACCAAAGCTGGGCAGAGACACAACCAAAAAAGAGAATTTTAGGCCAATACCCTTGATGAACATTGATGCAAAAATCTTCAATAAAATACTGGCAAACCGAACCCAGCAGCACATCAAAAAGCTTATCCACCATGATCAAGTGGGCTTCATCCATAGCATGCAAGTCTGGTTCAATATACGCAAATCAATAAATGTAATCCAGTACATACACAGAACCAAAGACAAAAACCACATGATTATCTCAATAGATGCAGAAAAGGTCTTTGACAAAATTCAACAGCACTTCATGCTAAAAACTCTCAATAAATTAGGTATTGATGGGACGTATCTCAAAATAATAAGAGCTATCTATGACAAACCCACAGCCAATATCATACTGAATAGGCAAAAACTGGAAGCATTCCCTTTGAAAACTGCCACAAGACAGGGATGCCCTCTCTCACCACTCCTATTCAACATAGTGTTGGAAGTTCCAGCCAGGGCAATTAGGCAGGAGAAGGAAATAAAATGTATTTAATTAGGAAAAGAGGAAGTCAAATTGTCCCTGTTTGCAGATGACATGATTGTATATCTAGAAAACCCCATTGTCTCAGCCCAAAATCTCCTGAACCTGATAAGCAACTTCAGCAAAGTCTCAGGATACAAAATCAATGTACAAAAATCACAAGCATTCTTATACACCAATAGCAGACAAACAGAGAGCCAAATCATGAGGGAACTCCCATTCACAATTGCTTCAAAGAGTATAAAATACCTAGGAATCCAACTTACAAGGGACATGAAGGACCTCTTCAAGGAGAACTACAAACCACTGTTCAATGAAATAAAAGAGGATACAAACAAATGGAAAAACATTCCATGCTCATGGGTAGGAAGAATCAATATCGTGAAAATGGCCATACTGCCCAAGGTAATTGATAGATTCAATGCCATCCCCATGAAGCTACCAATGACTTTCTTCACAGAATTGGAAAAAACTACCTTAAAGTTCATATGGAACCAAAAAAGAGCCCGCATTGCCAAGTCAATCCTAAGCCAAAAGAACAAAGTTGGAGGCATCACGCTACCTGACTTCAAACTATACTACAAGGCTACAGTAACCAAAACAGCATGGTACTGGTACCAAAACAGAGATATAGATCAATGGAACAGAACAGAGCCCTCAGAAATAATGCCACATTATCTACAACTATCTGATCTTTGACAAACCTGAGAAAAACAGGCAATGGGGAGAGGATTCCCTATTTAATAAATGGTGCTGGGAAACCTGGCTAGCCATATGGAGAAAGCTGAAACTGGATCCCTTCCTTACACTTTATGCAAAAATTAACTGAAGATGGATTAAAGACTTAAACGTTAGACGTAAAACCATAAAAATCCTAGAAGAAAACCTAGGCATTACCATTCAGGACATAGGCATGGGCAAGGACTTCATGTCTAAAACACCAAAAGCAATGACATCAAAAGACAAAATTGACAAATGGGATCTAATTCAACTAAGGAGCTTCTACACAGCAAAAGAAACTACCATCAGAGTGAACAGGCAGCCTACAAAATGGGAGAAAATTTTCGCAACCTACTCATCTGACAAAGGGCTAATATCCAGAATCTACAATGAACTCAAACAAATTTACAAGGAAAAAACAAACAACCCCATCAAAAAGTGGGTAAAGGGCATGAACAGACACTTCTCAAAAGAAAATATTTATGCAGCCAAAAAACACATGAAAAAATGCTCACCATCACTGGCCATCAGAGAAATGCAAATCAAAACCACAATGAGATACCATCTCACACCAGTTAGAATGGCGATCATTAAAAAGTCAGGAAACAACAGGTGCTGGACAGGATGTGGAGAAATAGGAACACTTTTACACTGTTGGTGGGACTGTAAACTAGTTCAACCCTTGTGGAAGTCAGTGTGGTGATTCCTCAGGGATCTAGAACTAGAAACACCATTTGACCCAGCCATCCCATTACTGGGTATATACCCAAAGGACTATAAATCATGCTTCTATAAAGACACATGCACACGTATGTTTATTGCGGCACTATTCACAGTAGCAAAGACTTGGAATCAACCCAGATGTCCAACAATGATAGACTGGATTAAGAAAATGTGGCACATATACACCACGGAATACTATGCAGCCATAAAAAATGATGAGTTCATGTCCTTTGTAGGGACATGGATGAAATTGGAAATCATCATTCTTAGTAAATTATCACAAGAACAGAAAACCAAACACCGCATATTCTCACTCATAGATGGAAATTGAACAATGAGAACACATGGACACAGGAAGGGGAACATCACACTCTGGGGACTGTTGTGGGGTGAGGGGAAGCTGGAGAGATAGCTTTAGGAGATATACATAATGCTAAATGACGAGTTAATGGGTGCAGCACACCAGCATGACACATGTATACATATATAACTAATCTGCACATTGTGCACCTGTACCCTAAAGCTTAAAGTATAATAATAATAATAAAATAAAATAAAATAAAATAAAGAAAAATCCATTTTCTGAGAAGAAATTCAAACCAGCTGCAGAAATTTCCATAAGTAATGAGAAACTGAATATTAATTCCCAAGACAATAGGGAAAATGTCTCCAGGGCATTTCAGGGGTCTTCACAGCAGCCCCTCTAATAACAGACCCAGGGACCTAGGAGGAAATGGTTTTGTGAGTCAGACCCAGGGTCCCCATGCTGTATGTATCCTAGGGACTCGGTGCCCTGAGTCCCAGCCACTCCAGCTGTGGCTGATAGGGGCCAACATAGAGCTTGAGCCATGCCTTCAGAGGGTGAAAGCCCCAAACCTAGGCAGCTTCCACGACGTGTTGAGCCTGCAAGTGCACAGAATTCAAGAATTGGGGTTAGGTAGCCTCCACCTAGATTTTAGAAGATGAATGGAAATGCTTGGATGTCCAGGGAGAAGTTTGCTGCAGGGGCAGGGCACTCATGAAGAACCTCTGTTAGGGCAATGCAGAAAGAAAATGTGGGGTTGGAGCCCCTACACAGAGTCCCTACAGAGGCACCACCTAGTGGAGCTGTGAAAAGAGGGCCACCATTTTCCAGAACCCAGAATGGTAGATCCACTGACAGCTTGCACTGTTTGCCTGGAAAAGTCACAGATACTCAATGCCAGCCCATGAAAGCAGCTTGGAAGGAGGTTGTACCCTGCAAAGCCACAGAGGTGCAGCTGCCTAAGATGATGGGAACCCAACTCTTGCATTAGTGTGACCTGAATATGAGACCTGGAGTCAAAAAAGATCATTTTGGGGCTTTAAAATTTGACTGCCTTTCTGAATTTCAAACTTGCATGGTCCTTGTAACTCCTTTGTTTTGGCCAATTTATCCCATTTGGAATGGCTGTATTTACCCAATATCTGTACCCCCTTGTATCTAGGAAGTAACTAGCTTGCTTTTGATTTTATAGGCTCATAAGTGAGAGGGACTTGCTTTGTGTCAGATGAAAGTTTGCCCTGTGGACTTTTGGGTTAATGCTGAATAAGAATTTGTGGGACTGTTGCAAAGGCATGATTGGTTTTGAAATGTGAGGATATGAGATTTGGATGGGATGAATGATATGGTTTGGCTCCTTGTCGCCACCCAAATCTCATCTTGAATTGTACTCCTATAATTCCCATGTGTTGTTGGAGGGACCTGGTGTGAGATAATTTGTCATGTGGGTGGTTTCCACCATATTGTTCTTATAGTAGTGAATAAGTCTCATGAGATCCGATGGTTTTATCAGGGGTTTCCACTTTTGCATCTCCCTCATTTTCTCTTGCTCCCACCATGTAAGAAATCCCTTGCACCTCCTGCCATGATTCTGAGGCCCCCCCGGTCATGTGGAACTGGAAGTCCAATGAAACCTCTTTTTCTACCCAGTCTTGAGTATATCTTTATTAGCAGCATGAAAACGGACTAATACAGATGGGTACAAATAAGGCCAGAGAGTAAAGATAACAATAAATACCTCACCCTTCAATGCCCAGATGCTGAAGTACATTTTCTAGCATCAACACTATTCAGGAAAACATGACCTTATCAATAAACTAAATAAGGCACCAGGGACCAATCCTCGAGAAACAGAGATTTGTTACATTATAGACAGATAATTCAAAATAGTTGTGTTGAGAAAACTCAAAAAAAATTGGAAAAAAACAGAACAAATTCAGAATTTTATCAGATAAATTCAACAAGAAGATTGAAATAATACAAAGTCAATGGAGAATAAAAAAATAAAGCACACGTTCAGGATATATAAAATAGACTCAAAAAGGCAAATCTAAGACTTATTGGCCTTAAAAAGGAGGTAGAGAAAAAGGTAGGGGTAAAAAGTGTATTCTAAAAGACAATAACAGATAACTTCCCAAACTTAGAGAGAGATATCAACATTCATTGACAAGAGGTTTATAGAACAAGCAGGGGATTTAACCCAAAGACTACCTCAAGGCATTTAATAATCAAACTGCCAAAGGTCAAGGATAAAGAAAGGATCCTACAAGTAGAAAGAGAAAAGAAACAAATAACATAAGGGAGCTTCAATACATCTGGCAGCAGACTTTTCAGTGAAAACTTTGCAGTCCAGAAGAGAGTGGCATGAAAAATTGGAAATGCTAAAGAAAAAGTCTTTTTACTCTAGAATATTATATCTGGTGAAAACATCTTTCAAAACTAAAGGAAAAAAATATGCATCTTCCAGACAAACAAAAGCTGAGGGATTTCATCCACACCACTTCTATCCTGCAAGAAATGCTAAAGGGAGTACTTCAATCAGGAAAAAATAAATAAATGAGCAATACATAATCACCTGGTGAAACAAAACTCACTGGTAATAGTAAGTACACAGAGCACACAGAATACTATAATACTGTAACTGTGGTTTGTAAACTAACTTTATTCTAAGTAGAAAGAGTAAATGATTAACCAATCAAAAATAATAACTGCAAAAACTTTTCAAAAAATTAGCACATATACAATATATTATAAATATAATGTATATGCAATATAATAAAATATATTTTACAATATAATAATATAATATACATCACAATACAATAGAAATAGAAATAAAAAGCTAAATAGTGGGGGGTGAAGCTAAGGCACAGAGTTTTTATTCATTTTCTTTTGGCTTGCTTTTTCATTTATGCAATGTTAAGTTGTTTTCAGTTTAAAATAATGGCTTATATGATAGTGCTTGCAAGCCTCATGGTAAACCTAAACCAAATAAAATACAATAAATACAGAAAAAATAAAAGGCAAGAAAGTAAATCATATACCAGAGAAAATCATCTTTACTAAAAAAGGACAGGAAGGAAAGAAAGAAGGAAGAGAAGGCCACAAAACAACCAGAAATAAAACAATAAAATGGCAGGAGTAAGTCATTACTTATCAATAATAACATTGAATGTCAATAGACTAAACTCTCTAATCAAAAGACATAGACTGGCTGAATGGATGCAGAAACAACTCATAGATCTGTTGCTACAAGAAACAAACTTAACCTATATAAACTCACGTAGATTGAAATAAACGCATAGAAAAAAATATTCCACGACAATGGAAACTAAAATAGAATGGAAGTCAATATACTTACATCAGACAAAAGAGATTTAAAGACAAAAACTGAAAAAAGAGAGAATGAAGAACACTACAATATAATGATAAAGGGGTCTACTCAGCAAGATGATATAACACATTTAAATATACGTGCACCCAACACTGGAGCACCCAGATATGTGGAGGAAATATTATTTGAGCTAAAGAGAGAGATAGGTCCCAATACAATAATATCTGAAGACTTCAACATCACACTATCAACACTGAGCAGATCTTTCAGATAGAAAATCATCATAGAAATGTCAGACTTAATGTACATTATAGAATAAATAGATTTAATAGATATTTCCAGGCCATTTTATTGAATGGCTGCAGAATACACATTCTTTTACTCAGCACATGAAATATTCTCAACGATAGGCCATATGTTAGGTCACAAAACAAGTTCAAAAATTTTACATAATATCAAGCTTCTTTGATGACCACAGTGGCATAAAACTAGAAATCAACGACAATAATTTTAGAAACTATAGAAATACATAAAAATTAAACAATATACTCCTAAATGACCACTATGTCAGTGAAGAAATTAAGAAAAAAATTGAAAAAAATTTTGAAACAAATAATAATAAAAACACAAAATACTAAAACTTATGGAATACAGCAAAAGCAGTACTAAGAAGAAAGCTTATAGCAGTAAGTGCCGAAATTTTTTAAAAAACTTTAAATAAATAACATAATGATGCATCTCAACGAACTATAAATGAAAAAGCAAACCAACTCCAGAATAGAAAAAGAGAAACAAATAAAATCACAGCAGAATAAATAAAATTCAGATAAAACACCAATACAATGTATCAATAAAACAAAAAGTTGGTTTTTCAAAATTGAAACAAATTAAATTAGTTTAAAGATTGTGGAAGACAGTGTGGTGATTCCTCAATGATCTAGAACTAAAAATATCATTTGACCCAGCAATCCCATTACTAGGTATATACCCAAAGGAATATAAATCATTCTATTATAAAGAACACATGCATACATATGTTTATTGACACACTGTTCACAATAGAAAATTCTTGAAACCAACACAAATGCCCATCAATGATAGACTGGATAAAGAAAATGTGGCACATATACACCATGGAATACTATGCAGGCATAAAAACGGATGAGTTCATGTCCTTTGCAGGGACTTGGATGAAGCTGGAAACCATCATTCTCAGAAAACTAAAACAAGAACAGAAAACCAAACACCACACGTTCTCACTCATAAGTGAGAGTTGAACAATGAGAACACATGAACACAGGGAGGGGAACATCACACGTTGGGGCCTGTTGGAGGGTGGGGGGCTAGGGGAGGTACAGCATTAGGGGAAATACCTAATGTAGATGACAGGTTAATGGGTGCAGCAAATCTCTATGGTACATGTATACCTATGTAACAAACCTGAACGTTATGTACATGTACCCCACAACTTAAAGTATAATAATAAAAAATAATAATATATATATTGTTTCATTTAATTGCACAAAATTTTGATTTAAACAGTGAAACAAAATTGACAAACTTTTAGCTAGACTAAGAAAAAAGAGAGGAGATACAAATAAATAAAATCATAAATAAAAAAGTCATTACAACTGACACTGCAGAAATTTAAAGGACTATAAGTGGCTACTATGAGCAGCTATATGCCAATAAATGAGAAAGCCTAGAAATATGGACAAATTCCTAGTCACGTACCACCTACCAATATTGAACCACAAAGAAATTTAAAACCTGAACAAATCAATAACAAGTAATGAGATAGAAGCCATAATAAAATTCTCTTATTAAAGGAAAGCCTGAGACCTGATGGCTTCACTGTGGAATTTTACCAAACATTCAATGATGAACTAATATCAGTTTTTCTGAAATTATTCTAAAAAATACAGGAAAAGAAAATACTTTGAAAATCATTCTATGAAGCCAATAGTCCTGATACCAACACCAGACAAAGACACATCAAAAAGTTAAAAAGTACAAGCCAATATTACCGATAAATATTTATGCAAAAATCCTCAACAGCATACTAGCAAACAAAATTCAACAATACATTAGAAAGATCACTCAGGATTGCTGGCAAGATGGCCAAATAGGAACAGGTCCAGTCTGCAGCTGCCAGTGAGATCAACAAAGAAGGTGAGTGATTTCTGCATTTCCAACTAAGGTACCCTGTTCATTTCACTGGGACTGGTTGGACAACGGGTGCAGCCCACAGAGGGTGACCCAAAGCAGGGTGGGGTGTCACCTTACCCAGGAAGCACAACGAGTCCGGGAATTTTCTTCCCCGCCCAAGGGAAACTGTGAGGGACTGAACCTGAGGAACCATGCACTCCAGCCCAGATACAGCTCTTTTCTCGTGGTCTTCACAATGCACAGACTAGGAGATTCCTTCAGGTGCCTACCTCACCAGGGCCCTGGGTTTTAAGCAAAAAACTGGGTGGCCATTTGGGCAGACAGCGAATTACTTGTAGGAGTTTTTCTATTTTCATACCCCAGTGGCACCTGCAATGCCAGGGAGACAGAACCATTCACTCTCCTGTACAGGGGGTTGAAGCCAGGGAGCAAAATGTTTTGGCTCAGTGAGTCCCACCTGCACAGAGCCCAGCAAACTAAGATCCACTGGCTTGAAATTCTTGCTGTCAGCACGGCAGCAATCTGAGATTGACCTGGGATGCTTGAACTTGGTTGGTGGGAGGGTCATCCCCCATTGCTGAGGCTTGAGTAGGCGGTTTTACCCTCACAATGTAAACAAAACTGGTGGGAATCTCAAACTGGATGGAGCCCACTGCAGCTCAGCAAGGCCAATGCAGCCAGACTGCCAGAATTCTCCTTTCTGGGCAGTGCATCTCTGAAAAAAAGGCAGCAGCCCCAGTCAGGGACTTATAGATATAACCCCCATCTCCCTGGGACAGAGCACCTGGGGAAAGAGGCAGCTGTGGGCGCAGCTTCAGCAAACTTAAAAGTCCCTGCCTGACAGCTCTGAAGAGAACAGCGGACCTCACAGCACAGAGCTCAAGTTCTGCTTAGGGTCACACTGCCTCCTCAGGTGGGTCCCTGACCCTCATGTATTCTGACTGAGAGACACCTCTCAGTACAGGACAACGGACACCTCATACAGGAGAGCTCCAGCTGGCATATGCCAGGTGCCCCTCTGGGAAAAATCTTCCAGATGAAACAACAGGAAACAATATTTCCTGTTCTGCAGTCTCCGCTTCTGATACCCAGGCAAAGAGTGTCTGGAGTGTACCTCTAGCAAACTGCAGCATACTTGCAACAGAGAGGCCTGACTGTTAGAAGGAAAACTAACAAACAGAAAGGAATAGCATGTTCACTCAGAGAACTCATCTGAAGGTCACCAACATCAAATACCAAAGGTAGATAAATCCATAAAGCTGGAGAGAAACCAGCGCAAACCTTTGAAACCTTTGAAAAAAGGTTAGACGAATTGCTAACTAAAATAAGCAGTTTAAAGAACATAAATGACCAGATGGAGCTGAAAAACACAGCACAAGAACTTCATGAAGCATACACAAGCATCCATAGCCAAATTGATCAAGCAGAAGAAAGGATATCACAGATTGAAGATCAACTTAATGAAATAAAGCGAGATGACAAGATTAGAGGAAAAAGAATAAAAAGGAATGAACAAAGCCTCTAAGAAAGATGGAACTATGTGAAAAGACCAAATCTACATTTGATTTGTGTACCTGAAAGTGATGGGGAGAATAGAACCAAGTTAGAAAACACTCTTTAGGATATTATCCAAGAGACCTTCCCCAACATAGTAAGACAGGCCAACTTTAAAATATAGGAAATACAGAGAACACCACAAAGATACTCTTCAAGAAAAGCGACCCTAAGACACACAATCTTCAGATTCACCAAAATTGAAATGAAGGAAAAAATGTCAACTGCAGACAGAGAGAAAGGTTGGGTTACCCACAGAGCTAAGACCATCAGACTAATAGCATATCTCCTGACAGAAACCCTACAAGCCAGAAGAGACAGGGAGCCAATATTCAACATTCTTAAAGAAAAGAAATTTTAATCCGGAATTTCATATCCAGCCAAATTAAAGCTTCATGAGCGATGGAGAAATAAGATCCTTTACAGACAAGCAAATCCTGAGAAATTCTGTCACCACCAGGCCTGCATTACAAGAGGTCCTGAAGGAAGCACTAAATATGGAAAGGAACAACGAGTACCAGCCACTGCAAAAACATACCAAATTGTAAAGAACATTGACACTATGAAGAAACTGCATCAACTAATGGCAAAATAACTAGCTAGCATCTTAATGACATGATAAAATTCACATATAACAATATTAACCTTAAATGTAAATGGGCTAAATGCCCCAAATAAAAGACTCAGACTGGTTAACTGGATAAAGAGTCAAGGCCCTTCAGTGTGCTGTATTCAGGAGACCCATCTCACGTGCAAAGACGCACATAGGCTCAAAATAAAGGGATGGAGGAATATTTACCAAGCAAATGGAAAGCAAAAAGAGCAGGAGTTGCAATCCTAATCTCTGATAAAACAGATTTTAAACCAACAAAAATCAAAAGACCAAAGAAGGGCAATACATAATGGTAAAGGGATCAATGCAACAAGAAGAACTAAATATCCTAAATATATAAGCACCCAATACAGGAGCACCCAGATTCACAAGGCAAGTTCTTAGAGATCTATAAAGAGATTTATACTCCCACAAAACAATACTGGGAAAATTTAACACCCCACTGTCAATATTACACAGATCAATGAGACAGAATTATACAAGGATATACAGGACTTGAACTCAGCTCTGGACCAAGCAGAACTAATAAACATCTACAGAACTCTCCACCTCAAATCAACAGAATATACATTCTTCTCAGCACCACATCGCACTTATTCCAAAATTGAATACATAGTTGGAAGTAAAGCACTCCTCAGCAAATCTAAAAGAACAGAAATCATAACAAACAGTCTCTCAGAACACAGTGCAATGAAATTAGAACACAGGATTAAGAAACTCACTCAAAAGTGCACAACTACATGGAAACTGAACAACCTGCTCCTGAATGACTACTGCAAATAAAGAAATTAAGGCAGAAATAAATAACTTTTTTGAAACTCATAAGAACAAAGACACAATGAACCAGAATCTCTGTGCACAACTAAAGCAGTGTTTAGAGGGAAATTTATAGCACTAAATATCCCCAGAAGAAAGTGGGAAAAATCTAAAATTGACACCCTAACATCACAATTAAAAGCACTAGCGAAGAAAGAGTAAACAAATTCAAAAGCTAGCAGAAGACAAAAAACAACTAATATCAGAGTAGAACTGAAGGAGATCAAGACACAAAAAAAATTTTAAAAAAATCAATGAATCCAGAAACTGTTTTTTTGAAAAGATTAACAAAATACATATAGACCAGTAGCCAGACTAATAAAGAAAAAAAGAGAGCAGAATCAAATAGATACAATAAAAAGTGATAAAGGAGATACCACCACTGATCCTACAGAAATACAAACTGCCATCAGTGAATACTATAAACACCTCTACACAAATAAACTAGAAAACCTAGAAGAAATGAATAAATTCCTGGAAACATACACCTTCCCAAGACTAGACCAGTAACAAATTGAATCCCTGAATAGACCAATAAAAAGTTCTGAAGTTGAGGGAGTAATTATTAGCCTACCAACCAAAAGAAGTCCAGGACCAGATGGATTCAGTCGAATTCTACCAGAGGTACAAAGAGGGTCTTGTACCATTCATTCTGAAACTATTCCAAACAATAGAAAAAAGAGGGAATTCTCCCTAACTCATTTTATGCGGCCGGCATCATCTTGATACCAAAACCTGGCAGAGACACAATAAAAATGGAAAATTTCAGGCCAATAACCCTGATGAACATAGCTGTGAAAGTCCTCAATAGGGCAAACCAAATCCAGCAGTACATCAAAAAGCTTATCCACCATGACCAAGTTGGCTTCACCCTGGGATGCAAGGCTGGTTCACCACATGCAAATCAATACATGTAATCCATCACATAAACAGAACCAATGACAAAAACCACATGATTAACTCAATAGATGCAGAAAAATCATTTGATAAAATTTAACACCGCTTCATGCTAAAAACTCTCAATAAACTAGGTATTGATGGAACATATCTGACAATAATACAAGCTACTTATGATGAACCTACAGCCAATATCATACTAAATGGGCAAAAGCTGGAATAATTCCCTTGGAAAACTGGCACAAGACAAGGATGCCCTCTCTCACCACTCCTATTCAACATAATATTGGAAGTTCTGGCCAGGGCAATCAGGCAAAAATAAATAAATAAATAAAGAAGGGTATTCAAATAAAAATTGAGGAAGTAAAATTTTCTGTTTGTATATGATATGATTGTATATTTTATATTGACATGATTGTATATTGATTGTATGACAAAACCCCATTGTCTCAGTCCAAAATATCCTTAAGCTGATAAACTTCAGCAAAGTCTCATGATACAAAATCAATGTGCAAAAATCACAAGAATTTCTATACACTAATAATAGATAAACAGAGAGACAAATCATGAGTGAACTCCCATTCATAATTGCTGCAAAGAGAATAAAGTACCTAGGAATACAACTTACAAGGGACGTGAAGAACCTCTTCAAGAACTACAAACCACTTCTCAAAGAAATAACGGAGGACACAAACAAAGGTACAAACTTTCTATGCTCATGGCTATGAGCCATCGATATTGTGAAAATAACCATACTGCCCAAAGTAGTTTATAGACTCAATGCTATCCCCATCAATCTACCATTGACTTTCTTCACAGAATTAGAAAAAAAAACTAATTTAAATTTCATACAGAACCAAAAAAGAGCCCGTATAACTGAGGCAATCCTAAACAAAGAGAACAAAGCTGGAGGCATCATGCTACCTGACTTCAAACTGTAGTACAAGGCTACAGTAACCAAAACAGCATGGTACTGGAACCAAAACAGATATATAAACTAATGGAACAGAACAGAGGCCTCAGAAATAACAACCAAAACAGATATACAAACTAATGGAACAGAACAGAGGCCTCAGAAATAACACTACACTGCTACAACCATCTGATCTTTGACAAATCTGACAAAAAGAAGCAATGAGGAAAGGGTTCCATATTTAATAAATGGTGTTGGGAAAACTGGCTAGCCATAGGCAGAAAACTAAAACTGAACCATTTTCTTACACAGTATGCAAAAATTACCTCAAGATGGATTAAAGACTTAAATGTAAGATCTAAAACCATAAAAACCCTAAAGAAAACCTAGGCAATACCATTCAGGACATAGGCATAGGCAAAGACTTCATGAATAAAACGCCAAAAGCTATGACAAGCCAAAATTGACAAATAGGATCTAAATAAACTAAAGAGTTTCTGCATAGCAAAAGAAACTATCATCAGAGTGAACAGGAAACATACAGAACAGGAGAAAATTTTTGCAATCTATCCATCAGACTTTGGCTAATATTTAGAATCTACAAGGAACTTAAACAAATCTACAGGAAAAGTAAAAACGACCCCATCAAAAAGTGCACAAAGGATATGTACAGACATTTGTCAAAAGAAGACATTTATATGGCCAACAAACATATGAAAAAAAGCTCATCATCACTGGTCATCAGAGAAATGCAAATCAAAACCCCAATGAGATACCATCTCATGCCTGTTCAAATGGCAATCATTAAAAAGTCAGGAAACTACAGATGCTGGAGAGGATGTGGAGAAATAGGAACACTTTTACACTGTTGGTGGGAGTGTAAATTATTTCAACCATTGTGGAAGACAGCGTGTCGATTCCTCAAGGATCTATAACCAGAAATATCATTTGACCCGGCAATTCCATTACTGGGTATATATCCAAAGGATTATAAATCATTGCACTATAAAGACACATGCACACGTATGCTTATTGTGGCACTGTTCACAATATTGAAGACTTCAAACCAACCCAAATGCCCATCAATGATAGACTAGATAAAGAAAATATGACACATATACACCATGGAATACTCTGCAGCCATTAAAAAGGGTGAGTTCATGTTTTTTGCAGGGACATGGATGAAGTTGGAAACCCTCATTCTCAGCAAACTAACACAGGAACTGAAAACCAAACACCACATCTTCTCACTCATAAGTTGGAATTGAACAATGACAACACATGGACACAGGGCAGGGAACATCACACACTGGGGCTTGTTGGGGTTTGTGGGGCTAGGGAATGGATAGCATTAGGAGAAATACATAATGTTGATGACGGGTTGGTTAGTGTAGCAAACCACCATGGCACGTGTATACCTATGTAACAAACCTGCACTTTCTGCACATGTATTCCAGAACTTAAAGTATAATTTTAAAAAACTCAATAGTTTAAAGTCTGGGACCTGATGGTTTCACTGCTAAATTTTACACCAAACAATTAAAGAAAAACTGACACCAATCTGACTCAAAGTACTCTAAAAAATACAGGAAAATTAGTGAATAATAACAGATTTATTCTGTAAGGCCAATATTACCCGAATACTAAAATCGGACAAAGACACCCCAAAAAAGAAAACTACAGACGAATATGCAAAAATTCTTAACAAAATGCTAGCAAACAGAATTCAACAATAGATTAAAAATCTTCATCAAGATTAAGTGGGTTTTATCCAAAGGATGCAATATATTTCTCTGTATGCAAGTTAATCAATGTGATACATCATATCAGCAGCATAAAGGAAAAAAACATATAATTACATCAATTCATGTTGAGAAGGAATTTAATAAAATTCAACATTCCTTATAATAAGAAACCCTCAAAAGTTATGTATAGAGGAAACATACCTCAGTACTATAAAAACCATATGTGACCGACCCAGAGCTAGTATAAAAATTAATGGGAAAAAATCTGCAAGCCTTTCTTTTACTACCTGTAACCTGATAAGGATTCCTACTGTCAACACTTTTATTCAATATAGTACCAGGAATTCTAGCTAGAGAAACCAGAAAAGAGAAAACAATAAAAGGCATCCTAATTAGACAGGAACTAGACAAATTATCCTTGTTTGCAGATGATATAATCTTATATCTGGATAAAACTAAAGACTAGAACAAAAACTTTTAGAACTGACAAAGAAATTTAGTGAAGTTGCAGAACACAAAATCAAGATACAAAAATCAGTAGCATTTCTAAATGCCAACACTGAACCATCTGAAAAAGAAATCAAAAAGTAATCTCATTTTCAGTGGCCAGAATTAAAATCACTTAGGAATTAACTTAATTGAGAAAGTTTTATCTCTACAATAAAAGTTTTATCTCTACAAATAAAGTTTTATCTCTACATAAAAACTATAAAACACTGATGAAAGAAATTGAAAAGGACACAAGAAAATGGAAAGATATTTCAAGTTCATGGATCTAAAGAAACAATGTTATTAAAATAACAATACTTCTCAGAGAAATCTACAGATTCAATGCAAACCTTATCAAAATACAAATGATAGTTTTCACAGAAATAAAAATAATTTTAAAATTTACATGAAAACAAAAAAGACTCAGCATAACCCAAGCTATCCTGCCCAATAAGAACAAAATGGGAGGGCCAGGCACGTTGGCTCACACCTGTAATCCCAGCACACTGGGAGGCTGAGGTGGGTGGATCACGGAACATGAGGTCAAGAGATCGAGACCATCCAGGCCAACATGGTGAAACCCCATCTCAACAAAAAATACAAAAATTATCTGGGTGTGGTGGTGCATAACTATAGTACCAGCTACTCAGGAGGCTGAGGCAGGAGAATCACTTGAACCCAGGAGGTGGAGGTTGCAGTGAGCTGAGATCATGCCATTGCACTCCTGCCTGGCTACAGAGCAAGCCTCCATCCAAAAAAAAAAAAAAAAAGTGGAGGAATCACATTACCGGACTTCAAATTAAATTGCCAAGCTGGGGTGGGTGGAGCCAAGATGGCTGAATAGGAACAACTCCGGTCTACAGCGCCCAGCATGAGTGACACAGAAGATGGATGATTTCTGCATTTCCATCTGAGGTACTGGGTCCATGTCTCTAGGGAGTGCCAGATAGTGGGTGCAGGACAGTGGGTGCAGCCCACCGTGTATGAGACGAAGCAGGGCAAGGCATTGTCTCACTTGGGAAGCACAAGGAGTCAGGGAGTTCCCATTGCTAGTCAAAGAAAGGGGTGACAGAAGGCTCCTGGAAAATCAGGTCACTCCCATCCCTATACTGCACTTTTCAGAGGAGCTGAAAAAATGGTGCACCAGGAGATTATATCCCGCACCTGGCTCAGAGGGTCCTACACGCACGGAGTCTCACTGGTTGCTAGCACAGCAGTCGGAGATCAAACTGCAAGGCAGCAGCAAGGCTGGGGAAGGGGCACCCGCCATTACCCAGGCTTGCT
The DNA here is from genome assembly GCF_000001405.40 of Homo sapiens. Taxonomy (NCBI): domain Eukaryota; kingdom Metazoa; phylum Chordata; class Mammalia; order Primates; family Hominidae; genus Homo; species Homo sapiens. Next base: position 76,583,517 of record NC_000023.11, on the reverse strand, counting down.
TAGGTAAACAAAGCAGCTGGGAAGCTTGAACTGGGTGGAGCCCACCACAGCTCAAGGAGGCCTGCCTGCCTCTGTAGGCTCCACCTCTGGGGGCAGGGCACAGACCAACAAAAAGACAACAGTAACCTCTGCAGACTTAAATGTCCCTGTCTGACAGCTTTGAAGAGAGCAGTGGTTCTCCCAGCACGCAGCTGGAGATCTCAGAACTGGCAGACTGCCTCCTCAAGTGGGTCCCTGACCCCTGACCCCGAGCAGCCTAACTGGGAGACACCCCCCAGTAGGGGCAGACTGACACTTCACACGGCCGGGTACTCTTCTGAGACAAAACTTCCAGAGGAACCTTCAGACAGCAGCATTCGCGGTTCATGAAAATCTGCTGTTCTACAACCACCACTGCTGGTACCCAGGCAAACAGGGTCTGGAGTGGACCTCTAGCAAACTCCAACAGACCTGCAGCTGAGGGTCCTGTCTGTTAGAAGGAAAACTAACAAACAGAAAGGACATCCACACCAAAAACCCATCTGTACATCAACATCACCAAAGATCAAAAGTCGGTAAAACCACAAAGATGGGGAAAAAACAGAGCAGAAAAACTGGAAACTAAAAAGCAGAGCACCTCTCCTCCTCCAAAGGAACGCAGCTCCTCACCAGCAATGGAACAAAGCTGGATGGAGAATGACTTCGATGAGCTGAGAGAAGAAGGCTTCAGACGATCAAATTACTCTGAGCTATGGGAGGACATTCAAACCAAAGGCAAAGAAGTTGAAAACTTTGAAACAAATTTAGAAGAATGTATAACTAGAATAACCAAAACAGAGAAGTGCTTAAAGGAGCTGATGGAGCTGAAAACCAAGGCTCGAGAACTACATGAAGAATACAGAAGCCTCAGGAGCCAACGCGATCAACTGGAAGAAAGGGTATCAGCAATGGAAGATGAAATGAATGAAATGAAGTGAGAAGGGAAGTTTAGAGAAAAAAGAATAAAAAGAAATAAGCAAAGCCTCCAAGAAATATGGGATTATGTGAAAAGACCAAATCTACGTCTGATGGTGTACCTGAAAGTGATGGGGAGAATGGAACCAAGTTGGAAAACACTCTGCAGGATATTATCCAGGAGAACTTTCCCAATCTAGCAAGGCAGGCCAACGTTCAGACTCAGGTAATACAGAGAACGCCACAAAGATACTCCTCGAGGAGAGCAACTCCAAGACACATAATTGTCAGATTCACCAAAGTTGAAATGAAGGAAAAAATGTTAAGGGCAGCCAGAGAGAAAGGTCGGGTTACCCTCAAAGGGAAGCCCATCAGACTAACAGCGGATCTCTCGGCAGAAACCCTACAAGCCAGAAGAGAGTGGGGGCCAATATTCAACATTCTTAAAGAAAAGAATTTTCAACCCAGAATTTCATATCCAGCCAAACTAAGCTTCATAAGTGAAGGAGAAATAAAATCCTTTACAGACAAGCAAATGCTGAGAGATTTTGTCACCACCAGGCCTGCCCTAAAAGAGCTCCTGAAGGAAGCACTAAACATGGCAAGGAAAAACCGGTACCAGCCACTGCAAAATCATGCCAAAATGTAAAGACCATCGAGACTAGGAAGAAACTGCATCAACTAACCAGCAAAAGAACCAGCTAACATCATAATGACTGGATTAAATTCACACATAACAATATTAACTTTAAATGTAAATGGACTAAAAGCGCCAATTAAAAGACGCAGACTGGCAAATTGGATAAAGAGTCAAGACCCATCAGTGTGCTGTATTCAGGAAACCCATTTCACGGGCAGAGACACACATAGGCTCAAAATAAAAGGATGGAGGAAGATCTACCAAGCAAATGGAAAACAAAAAAAGGCAGGGGTTGCAATCCTAGTCTCTGATAAAACAGACTTTAAACCAACAAAGATCAAAAGAGACAAGGAAGGCCATTACATAATGGTAAAGGGATCAATTCAACAAGAAGAGCTAACTATCCTAAATCTATATGCACCCAATACAGGAGCACCCAGATTCATAAAGAAAGTCCTGAGTGACCTACAAAGAGACTTAGACTCCCACAGAATAATAATGGGAGACTTTAACACCCCACTATCAACATTAGACAGATCAACGAGACACAAAGTTAAGAAGGATATCCAGGAATTGAACTCAGCTCTGCACCAAGTGGACCTAATAGCCATTTACAGAACTCTCCACTCCAAATCAACAGAATATACATTTTTTTCAACAACACACCACACGTATTCGAAAATTGACCACATAATTGGAAGTAAAGCTCTCCTCAGCAAACGTAAAATTATAGAAATTATAACAAACTGTCTCTCAGACCACAGTGCAATCAAACTAGAACTCAAGATTAAGAAACTCACCCAAAACCGCTCAACTACATGGAAACTGAACAGCCTACTCCTGAATGACTACTGGATACATAACGAAATGAAGGCAGAAATAAAGATGTTCTTTGAAACCAACGAGAACAAAGACACCACATACCAGAATCTCTGGGACACATTCAAAGCAGTGTGTAGAGGGAAATTTATAGCACTAAATGCCCACAAGAGAAAGCAGGCAAGATCTAAAATTGACACCTTAACATCACAATTAAAAGAACTAGAAAAGCAAGAGCAAACACATTCAAAAGCTAGCAGAAGGTAAGAAATAACTAAAATCAGAGCAGAACAGAAGGAAATAGAGATACAAAAAACCCTTCAAAAAATTAATGAATCCAGGAGCTGGTTTTTTGAGAGGATCAACAAAACTGATAGACCACTAGCAAGACTAACAAAGAAAAAAAGAGAGAAGAATCAAATAAACACAATAAAAAATGATAAAGGGGATATCACCACCAATCGCACAGAAATACAAACTACAATCAGAGAATACTACAAACACCTCTATGGAAATAAACTAGAAAATCTAGAAGAAATGGATAAATTCCTCGACACATACACCCTCCCAAGACTAAACCAGGAAGAAGTTGATTCTCTGAATAGACCAATAAAAGGCTCTGAAATTGTGGCAAAAATCAATAGCTTACCAACCAAAAAGAGCCCAGGACCAGATGGATTCGACAGTCGAATTCTACTAGAGGTACAAGGAGGAATTGGTTCCACTCTTTGGAAACTATTCCAATCAATAGAAAAAGAGGAAATCCTCTCTAACTTATTTTATGAGGCCAGCATCATCCTGATACCAAAGCCAGGCAGAGACACACAAAAAAAGAGAATTTTAGACCAATAACCTTGATGAACATTGATGCAAAAATCCTCAACAAAATACTGGCAAACAGAATCCAGCAGCACATCAAAAAGATTATCTTCCATGAACAAGTGGGCTTCATCCCTGGGATGCAAGGCTGGTTCAATATACACAAATCAATAAATGTAATCCAGCATATAAACAGAAGCAAAGACAAAAACCACATGCTTATCTCAATAGATGCAGAAAAGGCCTTTGACAAAATTCAACAGCACTTCATGCTAAAATCTCTCAATAAATCAGGTATTGATGGGACGTATCTCAAAATAATAAGAGCTGTCTATGACAAACCCACAGCCAATATCATATAGAATGGGCAATAACTGGAAGTATTCCCTTTGAAAACTGCCACAAGACAGGGATGCCCTCTCTCACCACTCCTATTCAACATAGTGTTGGAAGTTCTGGCCAGGGCAATGAGGCAGGAGAAGGAAATAAAGGGTATTCAATTAGGAAAAGAGGAAGTCAAATTGTCCCTGTTTGCAGACGACATGATTGTATGTCTAGAAAACCCCATTGTCTCAGCCCAAAATCTCCTTAAGCTGATAAGCAACTTCAGCAAAGTCTCAGGATACAAAATAAATGTACAAAAATCACAAGCATTCTTATACACGAACAACAGACAAACAGAGAGCCAAATCATGAGTGAACTCCCATTCACAATTGCTTCAAAGAGAATAAAATACCTAGGAATCCAACTTACAAGGGATGTGAAGGACCTCCTCAAGGAGAACTACAAACCACTGCTCAAGGAAATAAAAGAGGATACAAACAAATGGAAGAAAATTTCATGCTCATGGGTAGGAAGAATCAATATGGTGAAAATGGCCATACTGCCCAAGGTAATTTACAGATTCAATGCCATCCCCATCAAGCTACCAATGCCTTTCTTCACAGAATTGGAAAAAACTACTTTAAATTTCATATGGAACCAAAAAAGAGCCCGCATTGCCAAGTCAATGCTAAGCCAAAAGAACAAAGCTGGAGGCATCACACTACCTGACTTCAAACTATACTACAAGGCTACACTAACCAAAACAGCATGGTACTGGCACCAAAACAGAGATATAGATCAATGGAACAGAACAGAGCCCTCAGAAATAACGCAGCATATCTACAACTATTTTATCTTTGACAAACCTGAGAAAAACAAGCAATGTGGAAAGGATTCCCTATTTAATAAATGGTGCTGGGAAAACTGGCTAGCCATATGTAGAAAGCTGAAACTGGATCTCTTCCTTACACCTTTTTACAAAAATCAACTCAAGATGGATTAAAGATTTAAACATTAGACCTAAAACCATAAAAACCCTAGAAGAAAACCTAGGCATTACCATTCAGGACATAGGCATGGGCAAGGACTTCATGTCTAAAACACCAAAAGCAATGGCAACAAAAGCCAAAATTGACAAATGGGATCTAATTAAACTAAAGAGCTTCTGCACAGCAAAAGAAACTACTATCAGAGTGAACAGGCAACCTATAAAATGGGAGAAAATTTTCACAACCTACTCATCTGACAAAGGGCTAATATCCAGAATCTACAATGAACTCAAACAAATTTACAAGAAAAAAACAAACAACCCCATCCAAAAGTGGGTGAAGGACATGAACAGACACTTCTCAAAAGAAGACATTTATGCAGCCAAAATACATATGAAAAAATGCTCATCATCACTGGCCATCAGAGAAATGCAAATCAAAACCACAATGAGATACCATCTCACACCAGTTAGAATGGCAATCATTAAAAAGTCAGGAAACTACAGGTGCTGGAGAGGATGTGGAGAAATAGGAACATTTTATACTGTTGGTGGGAATGTAAACTAGTTCAACCATTGTGGAAGTCAGTGTGGCAATTCCTCAGGGATCTAGAAGTAGAAATACCATTTGACCCAGCCATCCCATTACTGGGTATATACCCAAAGGACTATAAATCATGCTGTTATAAAGACACATGCACATGTATGTTTATTGCGGCATTATTCACAATAGCAAAGACTTGGAACCAACCCAAATGTCCAACAATGATAGACTGGATTAAGAAAATGTGGCACATATACACCATGGAATACCATGCAGCCATAAAAAATGATGAGTTCATGTCCTTTGTAGTGACATGGATGAAATTGGAAATCATCATTCTCAGTAAACTATCGCAAGAACAAAAAACCAAACACCGCATATTCTCACTCATAGGTGGGGATTGAACAATGAGATCACATGGACACAGGAAGGCGAATATCACACTCTGGGGACTGTTGTGGGGTGGGGGGAGGGGGGAGGGATAGCATTGGGAGATATACCTAATGCTAGATGACAAGTTAGTGGGTGCAGCGCACCAGTATGGCACATGTATACATATGTAACTAATCAGCACAATGTGCACATATACCCTAAAACTTAAAGTATAATTAAAAATAAAAATAAAAATAAAAAATAAATTGTAAAACGTTAAAAAATAAAAAATAAAAAGACTTCTTAAACAAAAAAAAACCGCTCAACTACATGGAAACTGAACAACCAGCTCCTGAACGACTACTGGGTACATAAGGAAATGAAGGTAGAAATAAAGATGTTCTTTGAAACCAACGAAAACAAAGACACAACATACCAGAATCTCTGGGAAACATTCAAGGCAGTGTGTAGAGGGAAATTTATAGCACTAAATGCCCACAAGAGAAAGCAGGAAAGATCCAAAATTGACACCCTAACATCACAATTAAAAGAACTAGGAAAGCAAGAGCAAACACATTCAAAAGCTAGCAGAAGGCAACAAATAACTAAAATCAGAGTAGAACTGAAGGAAATAGAGACACAAAAAACCCTTCAAAAAATTAATGAATCCAGGAGCTGGTTTTGTGAAAGGATCAACAAAATTGGTAGACTGCTAGCAAGACAAATAAGGAAGAAAAGAGAGAAGAATCAAATAGACGCAATAAAAAATGATAAAGGGGATATCACCACCGATCCCACAGAAATACAAACTACCCTCAGAGAATACTACAAACACCTCTACACAAATAAACTAGAAAATCTAGAAGAAACGGATAAATTCCTCAACACATACACCCTCCCAAGACTAAACCAGGAAGAAGTTGAATCTCTGAATAGACCAATATCAGGCTCTGAAATTGTGGCAACAATCAATAGCTTACAAACCAAAAAGAGTCCAGGATCAGATGGATTCAGAGGCGAATTCTACCAGAGGTACAAGGAGGAACTGGTACCACTCCTTTTGAAACTATTCCAATCAATAAAAAAAAAGGGTGTCCTCCCTAACTCATTTTATGTGACCAGCATCATCCTGATACCAAAGGCGGGTAGAGACACAAACAAAAAAGAGAATTTTAGACCAATATCCTTGATGAACATTGATGCAAAAATCCTCAATAAAATACTGGCAAACAGAATCCAGCAGCACATCAAAAAGCTTATCCAGCATGATCAAGTGGGCTTCATCCCTGGGATTCAAGGCTGGTTCAATATACGCAAATCAATAAATGTAATCCAGCATATACACAGAACCAAAGACAAAAACCACATGATTATCTCAATAGATGCAGAAAAGGCCTTTGACAAAATTCAACAGCACTTCATGCTAAAAACTCTCAATAAATTAGGTATTGATGGGACGTATCTCAAAATAATAAGAGCTATCTATGACAAACCCACAGCCAATATCATACTGAATAGGCAATAACTGGAAGCATTCCCTTTGAAAACTTGCATAAGACAGGGATGCCCTCTCTCACCACTCTTATTCAACATAGTGTTGGAAGTTCTGGCCAGGGCAATGAGGCAGGAGAAGGAAATAAAGGGTATTCAATTAGGAAAAGAGGAAGTCAAATTGTCCCTGTTTGCAGATGACATGATTGTATATCTAGAAAACCCCATTGTCTCAGCCCAAAATCTCCTTAAGCTGGTAAGTAACTTCAGCAAACTCTCAGGATACAAAATCAATGTACAAAAATCACAAGCATTCTTATACACCAGTAACAGACAAAGAGAGAGCCAAATCATGAGTGAACTCCCATTCACAATTGCTTCAAAGAGAATAAAATACCTAGGAATCTAACTTACAATGGATGTGAAGGACCTCTTCAAGGAGAACTACAAACCACTGCTCAATGAAATCAAAGAGGATACAAAGAAATGGAAGAACATTCCATGCTCATGGGTATGTAACTTATAGATTCAATGCCATCCCCATCGAGCAACCAATGACTTTCTTCACAGAATTGGAAAAAACTACTTTAAAGTTCATATGGAACCAAAAAAGAGCCCGCATCGCCAAGTCAATCCTAAGCCAAAAGAACAAAGCTGGAGGCATCACACTACCTGACTTCAAACTATACTACAAGGCTACACTAACCAAAACAGGATGGTACTGGTACCAAAACAGAGATATAGACCAGTGAAACAGAACAGAGCCCTCAGAAATAATGCCACATATCTACAACTATCTGATCTTTGACAAACCTGACAAAAACAAGCAATGGGGAAAGGATTCCCTATTTAATAAATTGTGCTGGGAAAACTGGCTAGTCATATGGAGAAAAGTGAAACTGGATTCCTTCCTTACACCTTATACAAAAATTAATTGAAGATGGATTAAAGACTTAAACGTTAGACCTAAAACCATAAAAACCCTAGAAGAAAACCTAGGAATTACCATTCAGGACATAGGCATGGGCAAGGACTTCATGTCTAAAACACCAAAAGCAAAGGCAATGAAAGCCAAAATTGACAAATGGGATCTAATTAAACTAAAGAGCTTCTGCACAGCAAAAGAAACTACCATCAGAGTGAACAGGCAGCCTACAAAATGGGAGAAAATTTTCGCAACATACTCATCTGACAAAGGGCTAATATCCAGAATCTACAATGAACTCAAACAAATTTACAAGGAAAAAACAAACAACCCCATCAAAAAGTGGGCAAAGGATATGAACAGACACTTCTCAAAAGAAGACATTTATGCAGCCAAAAAACACATGAAAAAATGCTCACCATCACTGGCCATCAGAGAAATGCAAATCAAAACCACAATGAGATACTATCTCACACCAGTTAGTATGGCAATCATTAAAAAGTCAGGAAACAACAGGTGCTGGAGAGGATATGGAAAAATAGGAACACTTTTACACCGTTGGTGGGACTGTAAACCAGTTCAACCATTGTGGAAGTCAGTGTCGCGATTCCTCAGGGATCTAGAACTAGAAACACCATTTGACCCAGCCATCCCATTACTGGGTATATACCCAAAGGACTATAAATCATGCTGCTATAAAGACACATGCACATGTATGTTTATTGTGGCACTATTCACAATAGCAAAGACTTGGAACCGACCCAAATGTCCAACAATGATAGACTGGATTAAGAAAATGTGGCACATATACACCATGGAATACTATGCAGCCATAAAAATGGATGAGTTCATGTCCTTTGTAGGGACATGGATGAAACTGGAAATCATCATTCTCAGTAAACTATCATAAGAACAAAAAACCTAACACCGCATATTCTCACTCATAAGTGGAAATTGAACAATGAGAACATATGGACACAGGAAGGGGAACATCACACTCTGGGGACTGTTGTGGCATGGGGGGATGAGGGAGGGATAGCATTAGGAGATATACCTTATGCTAAATGACGAGTTAACGGGTGCAGCACACTAGCATGGCACATGTATACATATGTAACTCTCCTGCACATTGTGCACATGTACTCTAAAACTTAAAGTATAATAATAAAAAAAATAAAAAAAGAAAAAATAATAAGAAAACTGGCAGAAGACAAAGATATCATCTCTCACCACTTCTATTCAACATAGTATTAAAAGTTCTGGCCAGGAAAATCAGGCAAAATAAATAAAAGGCATCCAAATATGAATAGAGAAATTCCAACTATCCCTGTTTGCAGATGACATAATCCTGTAACTAGAAAAACCCATAGTCTCAACCCAAAAGCTTCTTAAGCTGACAAACAACTTCAGCAAATTCTTGGAATACAAAACCAATGGGCAAAAACACTAGTTTTTTTTTTTCTTACTATTATTTAAATTCTATGGTACGTGTGCAGAATGTGCAGTTTCGTTATATAGGTATTTATGTGCCATGTTGGTTTGTTGCACCCATCAACTCGTCATTTACATTAGGTATTTTTCCTAATGCTATCCTTCCCACAGTCCCAAACCGCACAACAGGCCCCAGTGTGTGGTGTTCACCACCCTGTGTCCATGTGTTCTAATTGTTCAACTCCCACCTATGAGTGAAGACATGCCATGTTTGGTTTTCTGTCCTTGTGATAGTTTGCTTAGAATGATGGTTTCCAGCTTCATCCGCTTCCCTGCAAAGGACATGAAATCATCCTTTTTATAGCTGCATAGTATTCCATGATATATATGTGCCACATTTTCTTAATCCAGTCTATTATTGATGGACATTTGGGTTGGTTCCAAGTCTTTGCTATTGTGAATAGTTCCGCAGTAAACATACATGTGCAAGTGACTTTATACTAGTATAATTCATAATCTTTCGGTATATACCCAGTAATGGGATCACTGAGTCAAGTGGTATTTTTAGTTCTAGATCCTTGAGGAATTGCCACACTGTCTTCCACAATGGTTGAACTAATTTAAACTCCCACCAACAGTGTAAAAGCGTTCCTATTTCTCCACATCCTCTCCAGCATCTGTTGTTTCCTGACTTTTTAATGATCACCATTCTAACTGGCGTGAGATGGCACCTCACTGTGGTTTTGATTTGCATTTCTCTGATGACCAGTGATGATGAGCATTTTTTCGTATGTCTGTTGGCTGCATAGATGTCTTCTTTTGAGAAGTGTCTGTTCATATCCTTTACCCACTTTTTGATGGAGTTGTTTTTATCTTGTAAATTTGTTTGGGTTCTTTGTAGATTCTGGATATTAGCCCTTTGTCTGATGGGTAGATTGCAAGGATTTTCTCCCATTCTGTAGGTTGCCTGTTCACTCTGATGATATTTTCTTTTGCTCTGCAGAAGCCCATTAGTTTAATTAGATCACATTTGTCTATATTGGCTTTTGTTACCATTGGTTTTGGAGTTTTAGACATGAAGTATTTGCCCATGCCTATGTCCTGAATGGTATTGCCTAGGTTTTCTTCTAGGATTTTTATGGTTTTAGGTCTTACATTTAAGTCTTTAATCCATCTTGAGTTAATTTTTGTACATGATGTAAGGAAGGGATGCAGTTTCAGCTTTCCACATATGGCTAGCCAGTTTTCCCAGCACCATTTATTAAATAGGAGATCTTTTCCCATTGGTTGTCTTTGTCAAGTTTGTCAAAGATCAGATGGTTTTAGATATGTGGTTTTATTTCTGAGGCATCCATTCTGTTCCATTGGTCTATGTATCTGTTTTGCTACAAGTACCATGCTGTTTTGGTTACTGTAGGCTTACAGTATAGTAACCAAAGTATAGTTTGTAGTATATTGTTTGAAGTCAGGTAGTGTGATGCCTCTAGCTTTGTTCTTTTTGCTTAGGATGGTCTTGGCTATGTGGGCTCTTTTTCGGTTCCATATGAACTTTAAAGTAGTTTTTTCCAATTCTGTAAAGAAAGTCCATGGTAGCTTGATGGGGATAGCATTGAATCTAAAAATTACCTTGGGCAGTATGGTCATTTTCCCAATATTGATTCTTCCTATCCATGAGCATGGACTGTTCTTCCATTTGTATGTGTCCTCTTCTGTTTCATTGAGCAGTAGTTTGTAGTTCTCCTTGAAGAGGTCCTTCACATCCCTTGCAAGTTGGATTCCTAGGTATTTTATCCTCTTTGTGGTAATTGTGAATGGGAGTTTACTCATGATTTGGCTCTCTGTTTGCCTATTATTGATGTATGGAATGCTTGTGATTTTTGCACATAGATTTTGTATCCTGAGAATTTGCTGAAGTTTCTTATCAGCTTAAGGAGATTTGGGGCTGAGACAATGGGGTATTCTAAATACACAATCATGCTATCTGCAAACAGAGACAATTTGACTTCCTCTTTTCCTAATTAAACACCCTTTATTTCTTTCTCTTGCCTGATTGCCCTAGCCAGAACTTCCAACATTATGTTGAATAGGAGTGGTGAGAGAGGGCATCCTTGTCTTGTGCCAGTTTTCAAAGGGAATGCTTCCAGTTTTTGCCCATTTAGTGTAATATTGGCTGTGGATTTGTCATAAATAGCTCTTATTATTTTGAGATGTGTTCCATCAATACCGAGTTTATTGAGAGTTTTTAGTATGAAGGGCTGTTGCATTTTGTCAAAAAACCCTTACTGCATCTATTGAAATAATCAGGTGGTTTTTGTCATTGATTCTGTTTATGTGATGGATTACATTTATTGATTTGCGTATGTGGAACCTGCCTTGCATCCCAAGGATGAAGCGAACTTGATCGTGGTAGATAAGCTTTTTGATTTGCTGCTGGATTTGGCTTGCCATTATTTTATTGAAAATTCTCACATCGATGTTCATCAGGGATATCGGCCTAAATTTATGTTTTTTTGTTGTGTCACTATCGGGCTTTGTCATCAGGATGATATTGGCCTCATAAAATGAATTAGGGAGGATTCCCTCTTTTTCTACTGATTTAAACAGTTTCAGAAGGAGTGATACCAGATCCTCTTTGTACCTCTGGTAGAATTAGGCTGTGAATCTGTCTGGTCCTGGACTTTTTTGCTTGGTAGGCTATTAAATATTGCCTCAATTCGAGAACATATTATTGGTCTATTCAGAGATTCAACTTCTTCCGGGTTTAGTCTTGGGAGGGTGTATGTGTCCAGGAATTTATCTATTTCTTCTAGATTTTCTAGTTTATTTGCATAGATGTGTTTATACTATTCTCTGGTGGTAGTTTACAAACTGTGGAATTTGTGGTGATATCCCTTTTATCATTTTTATTGCACTGATTTAATTCTTCTCTCTTTTCTTCTTTATAAGCCTTGCTAGCAGTCTATCTACTTTGTTCATCTTTTTCAAAAAACCAACTCCTGGATTCATGGATTTTTGAAGGGTTGTTTGTGTGTATCTCCTTAAGTTCTGCTCTGATCTTAGTTTTTTCTTGTCTTCTGCTCTCTTTTGAATTTGTTTGTTCTTGCTTATCTAGTTCTTTTAATTGTGATGTTAGGGTGTCAATTTTAGATCTTTATGGCTTTCTTTTGTGGACATACAGTGCTATAAATTTCCCTCTACACACTGCTTTAATTGTGTCCCAGAGGTTCTGGTATGTTGTGTCTTTGTTCTCACAGGTTTCAAAGAACATCTTTATTTCTGCCTTCATTTCATTATTTATCCAGTCGTCATTCAGGTGCAGGTTGTTCACTTTCCATGTAGTTGTGTGGTTTTGAGTGAGTTTCTTAACCCTGAGTTCTAATTTGATTGCACTGTGGTCTGAGAAACTGTTGTGATTTCTGTTCTTTTTCATTTGCTGAAAAGTATTTTACTTCCAATTATGTGGTCAATTTTAGAATATGTGTGATGTTGTGCTGAAAAGAATGTGTATTCTGTTGATTTGAGGTGGAGAGTTCTGTAGATGTCTATTAGGTCTGCTTGACCCTGAGCTGAGTTCAAGTCCTGGATATCCTTGTTAACCTTCTGTCTTGTTGATCTGACTAATATTGACACTGGGTTGTTAAAGTCTCCCATTATTATTGTGTGGGAGTCTAAGTCTCTTTGTAATTCTCTAAGGACTTGTTTATGAATCTGGGTGCTCCTGTATTGGCTGCATGTATATTTAGGATACTTAGCTCTTCTTGTGGAATTGATTTCTTTACCGTTATGTGTGATCTTCTTTGTCTCTTTTGATCTGTGTTGGTTTAATATCTGTTCTATTGGAGACCAGCATTGCAACCCCTGCTCTTTTTATGCTTTCCATTTGCTTTTTAGGTCTTCCTCCATCCCTTTATTTTGAGCCTATGTGCATCTTTGAATGTCAGATGGGTCTCCTGAATACAGCACACCAATGGGTCTTGACTCTTTATCCAATTTGCCCGTCTGTGTCTTTTAATTGGGGCATTTAGCCCATTTACATTTAGGGTTAATATTGTTATGTTTGAATTTGATCTTGTAATTATGACGTTAGCTGTTTATTTTGCCCATTAATTGATGAAGTTTCTTCATAGTGTTGATGGTCTTTAAAATTTGGCATGTTTTTGCAGTGGCTGGTACCAGTAGTTTCTTTCCATGTTTAGTGCTTCCTTCAGGAGCTCTTGTAAGGCAGGCCTGGTGGTGAGAAAATTTCTCAGCATTTGCTTGTCTGTAAGGATTTTATTTCTCCTTCACTTATGAAGCTTATTTTGGCTGGATGTGAGATTCTGGTTTAAAAATTATTTTCTTTAAGAAGGTTGAATATTGGCCCCCACTCTCTTCTGGCTTGTAGGGTTTCTGCCGAGAGATCCCCTGTTAGTCTGATGGGCTTTCCTTGTGGGTAACCTGACTTTCTCTCTGGCTGCCCTTAACATATTTTCCTTCATTTCAACCTTGGTGAATCTGACAATTATGTCTTGGGGTTGCTCTTCTCAAGGAGTATCTTTGTGGTGTTCTCTGTATTTCCTGAATTTGAATGTTGGCCTGCCTTGCTAGGTTAGGGAAGTTCACCTGGATAATATCCTGAAGAGTATTTTCCAACTTGGTTCCATTCTCCCTGTCACTTTCCAGTACACCAATCAAACCTAGATTTAGTTTTTTCACATAGTCCCATATTTCTTGGAGGCTTTGTTCATTTCTTTTCACTCTTTTTTCTCTAATCTTGTCTTCTTCCTTTGTTTCATTCATTTGATCTTCAATCACTGATATCCTTTCCTCCACTTGATCAAATCAGCTATTGAAAATTGTGCATGCAACGCAAAGTTCTTGTGTCAAGGGTTTCAGCTCCATTGGGTCACTTAAGGTCTTTTATACACTCTTTATTCTAGTTAGCCATTCGTCTAACCTTTTTTCAAGTATTTTAGCTTCTTTGCAATGGGTTAGAACAAGCTCCTTTAGCTCAGAGAAGTTTGTTATTATGGACCTTCTGAAGCCTACTTCTGTCAACTTGTCAAACTCATTCTCTGTCCAGTTTTGTTCCCTTGCTGGTGAGGAGCTGTGATCCTTTGGAGGAGATGAGACCCTCTGTTTTTTGGAATTTTCAGCTTTTCTGCTCTGGTTTCTCCCCATCTTTGTTGTTTTATCTAACTTTGGTGTTTGACATTGGTAACCTACAGATGAGGTTTTAGTGTGGATGTTCTTTTTGTTGATGCTGATGCTACTCCTTTCTGTTTGTTAGTTTTTCTTCTAACAGTCATACCCCTCTGCTGCACGTCTGCTGGAGTTTGCTAGAGGTCCACTCCAGACCCTGTTTGCCTGGGCATCACTAGCAGAGGCTGCAGAACAGCAAATATTGCAGCCTGATCCTTCCTCTGGAAGCTTTGACCAAGAGGGTCACCCGCCTGTTTGAAGTGTCTGTCTTCCCCTACTGGGAGGTGTTTCCCAGTCAGGTTACATGGGGGTCAGGGACCCATTTGAGGAGGCAGTCTGTCCATTCTTGGGGATCAAACCCTGTGCTGGGAGAACAACTGCTCTCTTCAGAGCTGTCAGACAGGGACGTTTAAGTCTGCAGAAGCTGTTTACTGCCTTTTGTTCTGCTATGTCCTGCCCCCAGATGTGGAATCTAGAGAGGAAGTAGGCCTTGCTGAGCTGCAGTAGGCTCCACCCAGTTCATGCTTCCCGGCTGCTTTGTTTATACTGTGAGCTACTCAAGCCTCAGCAATGGAGGATGCCCCTCCCCCTATCAAGCTGCTGCATCTCAGTTTGATCTTAGAATGCTGTGCTAACAGTGAGCAAGTCTCCTTGGGCATGGGACCTGCCAAGCCAGGCACGAGACGGTATCTCCTGGTGTGTTGCATTGCTGAGACCATGGGAAAAGCAGAGTATTTGGTCAGGAGTGTACCGTTTCTTGAGGTACAGTCTGTCACAGCTTCCCTTGGCTAGAAAAGGAAAATCCCCCAACCCCTTGTGCTTCCCAGGTGAGGTGATGCCCTGCCCTGCTTCAGTTCACCCTCCATGGGCTGAACCCACTGTCCAACAAGTCCCAATGAGATGAACCAGGTATCTCAGTTGGAAATGCAGAAATCACCCACCTTCTGCACTGACCTCACTGGGAGCTGCAGACCAGAGCTGTTCCTATTCAGCCATCTTGGAAGTGTGGACGAAAAAACCTAGTATTTCTATACACCAACAATAGTCAAGCCAAGAGTCAAATAAGGAATAAACTCCCATTCACAATTGCCACAAGAAGAACAAAATACCCAAGAATACAGGTAACTAGGAAGCTAAAAGATGTCTACAAAGAGAACTAAAAACCCCTTCTTAAAAAAATCAGAGATGACACAAAGAAATGGAAAAACATTTTATGTTCATGGATAGAAAAAATACTATTTTTAAATTAAAATTGCCATACTGTCATAAGAAATTTATAGATTCAATGCTATTCCCATTAAACTAATCAACATTCTTCATAGAATCATAAAATACTATTTTAAAATTCATGTGGAACCAAGAAAGAGCCTAAATAGCCAAGGTGGTCCTAAGCAAAAAGAACGAAGCTGGAGGCATTACACTACCTGAATTCAAACAATACTACAGGGCTACAGTAAAAAATAAAACAAAAACAAAAACAAAACAGCAGAGTACTGGTAAAAGAACAGAAACATGAACTAATGGAAGAGAATAGAGAACCCAGAAATAAGACTGCACATTTACAACTATCTAATCTTTGACAAACCTGACAAAAGCAAGCAATGGGAAAGGATTCTCTATTCAATAAATGTTTCTGGGATAACTGACTTGTTATGCAAAAGATTGAAACTGGACACCTTCCTTACACCATATACAAAGATTAATTCAATAGCTGGGCATGGTGGCATGCACCTGTAGTCCCAGCTACTTGGGAGGCTGAGGCAAGAGAACTGTTTGAATGTGGGAGGAGGAGGTTGCAGTGAGCCAAGATTGCACCACTGCACTCCATCTCAAATAATAATAATAATAATAATTAATAACTCACGATGGATTAAAGGCTTAAATGTAAAACCCAAAACTGTAAATACCCTTGAAGACAACCTAGGTAGTATCATTCAGGACAAAGGCACGGGCAAGGATTTAATGAAGATGCCAAGATCATTTGCAATGAAAGCAATAATTCACAAATAGGATCTAATTAAAGAGCTTCTGTGCAAATATATATATATAATATATATATATATATATTATATATATATGAACAGAGTAAAGAGACAACCTACAGAATGGAAAAAAAAAATTTGTATACTATTCATCTGACAAAGGTCTAATATACAGCATCCACAAGAAACTTAAATTTACAAGGAAAAAAATCTATAAAATGGTCCAGAATCATGAAATTACACTTTCAAATGAGACATACATGTGGCCAGAGGTCATATGAAAAAAAGCTCAACATCACTGATCATTAAAGAAATGCAAATCAAAACCAAAATGATATACCATCTAACACCAGTCAGAATGGCTATTACTAAAAAAGTAATAAAATAACAGATGCTGGCAAGGTTGTGGTAAAAAAGGAATGCTTACACACTGTTGGTGAAAGTGTAAATTTGTCCAGCCATTGGGGAAGACAGTGTGACATTTCCTCAAATATCTAAAAACAGAAATACCATTTGACCCAGCAATGGTACTAGTGGGTATATACCCAAAGGAATATAAATTATTCTATTATAAAGACCCATGCAAGCATATGTTCGCTGTAACACTATCCACAATAGCAATAACACAGAATCAATCTAAATGTTGATAAATGTTAGACTGGATAAAGAAAATGTGGTACATCTACTCCATGGAATACCACACAATGATAAAAATTCTTCCATGTTCTTTGCAAGGAAATGGATGAAGCTAGAGGCTTAAAACCAAATATTGCATGTTTTCACTTCTAAGTGGGAGCTAAATAATGATAACATATATATATACAGAGAGGAACAACACATACTGGGATTTTCAAGGGCTGAAGAGTAAGAGGAGAAAGAGGATTAGGAAAAACAATTAATGGTACTAGGCTTAATACCTGGGTGATGAAATAATCTGTATAACAAACCCCCATGACACAAGTTAACCTAGGTAACAACCTGAAATTAGAATAAAAGCTAAAAAAAAAAAAGAAGAAGAAACAAAAAGCCTGGGCAGACCAATAACAAATATGGAAATTGAATCAGTAATCAAATACTCACACAAACAAAAAATACAGGGCCAGATGGATTCACAGGTCAATTTTACCAAATATTAAGAATTAATACCAATCCTTTTTAATTGTTGTAAGAAAAAGAAAAAGGAGGGAAGACTTCCAAACACATAAGGCCAGCATCACTCTAATGCCAAATAAAATCAAAGACACCATGAGAAAAAACACTACAGACAAATAACTCTGCTGAGTTTGGTGCAAAATTTTTCAACAAAATATTAGCTAACCAAATTCAACAGCACATTAAAAAGATATATAAAAATACAGTGGAATCTTTTTAAATATACTTTAAGTTCCAGGGTACATGTGCACAAAGTGCAGGTTTGTTACATATGTATGCATGTGCCATGTTGGTGGGCTGTACCAATTAACTCGTCATTTACATTAGGTATATCTACTAATGCTATCCATCCCCACTTCCTCCACCCCACGACAGGCCCCAGTGTGTGATGTTCCCCTTCCTGTGTCCAAGTGTTCTCATTGTTCAATTCCCACCTATGAGTGAGAACATGTGGTGTTTGGTTTTTTGTCCTTGCGATAGTTTGCTGAAAATGATGGTTTCCAGCTTCATCCATGTTCCTGCAAAGGACATGAATTCATCCTTTTTTTATGGCAACATAGCATTCCATGGTGTATATGTGCCACATTTTCATAATCCAGTCTATCATTGTTGGACATTTGGTTTGGTTCCAACTCTTTGCTATTGTGAATAGTGCCACAATAAGCATACATGTGCATGTGTCTTTATAGCAGCATGATTTATAATCCTCTGGGTATATACCCAGTAAAGGAATGGCTGGGTCAAATGGTATTTCTAGTTCTAGATCCTTGAGGAATCGCCACACTGACTTTCACGATGGTTGAACGAGTTTACAGTCCCACCAACAGTGTAAAAGTGCTCCTATTTCTCTACATCCTCTCCAGCACCTGTTGCTTCCTGACTTTTTAATAATCGCCATTCTAACTGGTGTGAGATGGTATCTCATTGTGCTTTTGATTTGCATTTCTCTGATGGCCAGTGATGATGAGCATTTCTTCATGTGTATGTTGACTTCATAAATGTCTTCTTTTGAGAAGCGTCTGTTCATCTTCTTTACCCACTTGTTGATGGGGTTGTTTGTTTTTCTCTTGTAAATTTGTTTGAGTTCATTGTAGATTCTGGATATTAGCCCTTTGTCAGATGAGTAGATTGCAAAAATTTTCTCCCATTCTGTGGGTTGCCTGTTCACTCTGATGGTAGTTTCTTTTGCTGTGCAGAAGCTCTTTAGTTTAATTAGATCCCATTTGTTAATTTTGGCTTTTCCTGCCATTGCATTTGGTGTTTTAGACATGAATTCCTTGCCCATGCCTATGTCCTGAATGGTATTGCCTAGGTTTTCTTGTATTGTTTTTATGGTTTTAGGTCTAACGTTTAAGTCTTTAATCCATCTTGAATTGATTTTTGTATAAGGTGTAAGGAAGGGATCCAGTTTCAGCTTTCTTCATATGGCTAGCCAGTTTTCCCAGCACCATTTATTAAATAGGGAATCCTTTCCCCATTGCTTGTTTTTCTCAGGTTTGTCAAAGATCAGATGGTTATAGATGTGTGGTATTATTTCTGAGGGCTCTATTCCGTTCCATTGGTCTACATCTCTGTTTTGGTACCAGTACCATGCTGTTTTGGTTAGTGTAGCCTTGTAGTATAGTTTGAAGTCAGGTAGCGTGATACCTCCAGCTTTATTATTTTGGCTTAGGATTGTCTTGGAAATGCAGGCTCTTTTTTGGTTCCATATGAATTTTAAAGTAGTTTTTTTCCAATTCTGTGAAGAAAATCATTGGCAGCTTGATGAGGACGACATTGAATCTATAAATTACCTTGGACAGTATGGCCATTTTCATGATATTGACTCTTCCTATCCAGGAGCATGGAATGCTCTTCCATTTCTTTGTGTCCTGTTTTATTTCATTGAGCAGTGGTTTCTAGTTCTCCTTGAAGAGGTCCTTCACATCCCTTGTAAGTTGGACTCCTAGGTATTTTATTCCCTTTGAAGCAATTGTGAATGTGAGTTCATTCATGATTTGGCTCTCCGTTTGTCTGTTATTGGTGTGTAGGAATGCTTGTGATTTTTGCACATTGATTTTGTATCCTGAGGCTTTGCTGAAGTATCTTATCAGCTTAAGTAGATTTTGGGCTGAGATGATGGGGCTTTCTAAATATACAATCATGCCATCTATTAACAGGGACAATTTGACTTCCTCTTTTCCTAATTGAATACTCTTTATTTCTTTCTCCTGCCTGATTGCCCTGGCCAGAACTCCCAAAACTATTTTGAATAGGAGTGGAGAGACAGGGCATCCCTGTCTTGTGCCAGTTTTCAAAGGGAATGCTTCCAGTTTTTGCCCATTCAGTATGATATTGGCTGTGGATTTGTCATAAATAGCTCTTATTAGTTTGAGATACATCCCATCAATACCTAATTAATTGGGAGTCTTTAGCATGAAGTGCTGTTAAATGTTGTCAAAGGCCTTTTCTGCATGTATTGAGATAAGCATGTGGTTTTTGTCTTTGGTTCTGTTTATAGGCTGAATTACATTTATTGATTTGCAAATGTTGAACCAGCCTTGCATCCCAGGGATGAAGCCCACTTGATCATGCTGGATACGCTTTTTGATGTGCTGCTGGATTCGGTTTGCCAGTGTTTTATTGAGGATTTTTGCCTCGATGTTCATCAGGGATATTGGTCTAAAATTCTCTTTTTTTGCTGTGTCTCTGCCAGGCTTTGGTATCAAGATGATGCTGGCCTCATAAAATGAGTTAGGGAGGATTCCCTCTTTTCCTATTGATTGGAATAGTTTCAGAAGGAATGGTACCAGCTCCACCTTGTACCTCTGGTAGAATTCAGCTGTGAATCCATCTGCTCCCAGACTTTTTTTGGTTGATAGGCTACTAATTGTTGCCTCAATTTCAGAGCCTGTTATTGGTCTATTCAGGGATTCAACTTCTTCCTGGTTTAGTCTTGGGAGGGTGTATGTGTCGAGTAATTTATCCATTTCTTCTAGATTTTCTAGTTTATTTTTGTAGAGGTGTTTATAGTATTCTCTGATGGTAGTTTGTATTTCTGTGGGATTGGTGGTGATGTTCCCTTTATGATTTTTTTTACATCTATTTGATTCTTCTCTCTTTTCTTCTTTATTAATCTTACTAGCAGTCTATCAATTTTGTTGATCTTTTAAAAAAACTAGCTCCTGGATTCATTGATTTTTTGAAGGGTTTTTTGTGTCTCTATCTCCTTCAGTTTTGCACTGATATTAGTTATTTCTTGCCTTCTGCTAGCTTTTGAATGTGTTTGCTCTTGCTTCTCTAGTTCTTTTAATTGTGATGTTAGGGTGTCAATTTTAGATCTTTCCTGCTTTCACTTGTGGGCATTTAGTGCTATAAATATCCATCTACACACTGCTTTGAATGTGTCCCAGAGATTCTGGTACCTTGTGTCTTTGTTCTCATTGGTTTCAAAAAACATCTTTATTTCTGCTTTCATTTCGTTACATACGCAGTAGTCAATCAGGAACAGTTTGTTCAGTTCCATGTAGTTGAGCTGTTTTGAGTGAGTTTCTTAATCCTGAGTTCTAATTTGATTGCACTGTGGTCTGAGGGACAGTTTCTTATAATTTCTATTCTTTTACATTTGCTGAGGAGTGCTTTACTTCCAACTATGTGGTCAGTTTTGGAATAAGTGTGTTGTGGTGCTGAGAAGAATGTATATTCTGTTGATTTGAGGTGGAGAGTTCTGTAGATGTCTATTAGGTCCACTTGTTGCAGAGCTGAGTTCAATTCCTGGATATCCTTGTTAACTTTCTGTCTCATTGATCTGTCTAATGTTGACAGTGGGGTGTTTAAGTCTTCTATTATTATTGTGTGGGAATCTAAGTCTCTTTGTATGTCTCTAAGACTTGCTTTATGAATCTGGGTGCTCCTGTATTGGATGCATATACATTTAACACAGTTAGCTTTTCTTGTTGAATTGATTCCTTTACCATTATGTAACGGTCTTCTTTGTCTGTTTTGATCTTTGTTTATTTTGAACTTTAAAGTCTGTTTTATTATAGACCAGGATTGCAACCCCTGCCTTTTTTTGTTTTCCATTTGCTTGGTAGATCTTCCTCCATCCCTTTATTTTGAGCCTATGTGTGTCCCTGCACGTGAGATGGGTCTCTTGAATACAGCACACTTATGGGTCTTGACTCTTTATCCAATTTGCCAGTCTGTGTCTTTTAATTGGAGAATTTAGCCCATTTACATTTAAGGTTAATATTGTTATGTGTGAATTTGATCCTGTCATTATGATGTTGGCTGGTTATTTTGCTAATTAGTTGATGCAGTTTTTTCCTAACATCAATGGTCTTTATGATTTGGTATGTTTTTGCAGTGGCTGGTACTGGTTGTTCCTTTCCATGTTTAGTGCTTCCTTCAGGAGCTCCTGTAGGGCAGGCCTGGTGGTGACAAAATCTCTCAGCATTTGCTTGTCTGTAAAGGATTTTATTTCTCCTTCACTTATGAAGCTTAGTTTGGCTGGATATGAAATACTGGATTGAAAATTCTTTTCTTTAAGAAAGTTGAATATTCACCCCCACTCTCTTCTGGCCTGTAGAGTTTCTGCCAAGAGATCCGCTGTTAGTCTGATGGGCTTCCCTTTGTGGGTAACCCGACCTTCCTCTCTGGCTGCCCTTAACATTTTTTCCTTCATTTCAACTTTGGTGAATCTGACAATTACGTATCTTATAGTTGCTCTTATTGAGGAGTATCTTTGTGGTGTTCTCTGTATTTCCTGAATTTGAATGTTGGCCTGCCTTGCTAGGTTGGGGAAGTTCTCCTGGATAATATCCTGCAGAGTGTTTTCCAACTTGGTTCCATTCTTCCTGTCACTTTCAGGTACACCAATCAGACATAGATTTGGTCTTTTCACATAGTCCCATATTTCTTGGAGGCTTTGTTCATTTCTTTTTATTCTTTTTTTCTGTAAACTTCTCTTCTCACTTCATTTCATTCATTTTATCTTCAATCACTGATACCTTTTCTTCCAGTTGATCGAATCAGTTACTGAAGCTTGTGCATTCATCACATAGTTCTCATGCCATGGTTTTCAGCTCCATCTAGTCATTTGAGGACTTCTCTACTCTGGTTATTCTAGTTAGCCAATTGTCTAATCTTTTTTCAAGGTTTTTAGCTTCTTTGTGCTTGGATTTGAACTTCATCCTTTATCTCGGAGAAGTGTGATCATCTGAAGCCTTCTCTCAACTTGTCAAAGTGATTCTCTGTCCAGCATTTTTCCATTGCTGATGAGGAGCTGTGTTCCTTTTGAGGGGAGAGGCACTCTGATTTTTAGAATTTTCAGCTTTTCTGCTCTGTTTTTTCTCCATATTTGTGGTTTTATCTACATTTGGTCTTTGATTATGGTGACATACAGATGGGATTTTGGTGTGGATGTCCTTTCTGTTTGTTAGTTTTCCTTCTAACAGTCAGGACCCTCAGCTGCAGGTCTGTTGCTGTTTGCTGGAGGTCCACTCCAGACACTGTTTGCCTCAGTATCAGTAGTGGAGGCTGCAGAACAGCAAATATTGCTGAACAGCAAATGTTGCTGCCTGATCGTTCCTCTGCAAGCTTCATCTCAGAGGGGTACTGGGCCATGTGAGGTGTCTGTCTGCCCCTACTGCAGGATGCCTCCCAGTTAGGCTACTTGGGGTTCAGGGACCCACTTGAGGAGGCAGTCTGTCCGTTCTCAGATCTCAAACTCCGTGCTGGGAGTACCAATACTCTCTTCAAAGCTATCAGACAGGCAGATTTAAGTCTGCAGAGGTTTCTGCTGCCTTTTGTTCAGCTATGCCCTGCCCGCAGAGGTGGAGTCTAGAGAGGCAGGCAGGCCTCCTTGAGCTGCGGTGGGCTCCACCCAGTTCAAGCTTCCCAGTGGCTTTGTTTACCTACTCAAGCCTCAGCAATGGCATGCACACCTCCCCCAACCTCACTGCCACCTTGCCGTTCGATCTCAGACTGCTGTGCTAGCTATGAGTGAGGCTCCGTGGGCATGGGACCCTCCAAGCCAGGCACGGGATATAATCTCCTGGTGTGCCGTTTGCTAAGACTGTTGGAAAAGTGCAGTATTAAGGTTGGAGTGACCCAATTTTCCAGGTGCCATCTGTCACACCTTCCCTTGGCTAGGAAATGGAACTCCCTGACCCCTTGCACTTCCTGGGTGAGGTGATGCCTCACCCTGCTTTGGCTTATGCTCATTGGGTTGCACCCACTGTCCTGCACCCACTGTCCAACAAACCTCAGTGAGATGAACCTGGTACCTCAATTGGAAATGCAGAAATCACCCATCTTCTGTGTCACTCCTGCTGGGAGCTGTAGACTGGAGCTGTTCCTATTCGGCCATCTTGGAACCTCCTCCTATATTGGGATTTATCTCTGAGATGCAAGGAATGTGCAACATACAAAAATTGTCAATGTCGAGGGTTGTTGAACATAATGGTGGAGTAAAAGGCTGCGCTGAATGTCCTCACTGCAAAGAAACAAATTTGACAACTATCTACACACACACACACACACACACACACAACCTTCATAAAAACTAAGTTATTAGGTGAGCTTTCGTAGTACTAAGTTTTAACTTCATATCAATGAAAGAGGTACTAAAGAGGTAGCAAAACAGTCTTGAATTGCAAATGCCACATCTCCCTCAAACCCCAGCAGCAGTGGCATGGTGTAGAAAGGACTTCTGGACACTTTAGGAGAGAGAGATCAGCAATTTTGATGTGTTTAACTCAGTGCTGTGCTGTTAGAGCAAAAATGAAAACAGGATCAAACTCAGCTGACACCCACCCACAGAAGGAGCATATAAACAAGCCCTAACTAGAAAGAAATTACCAGATCCAGTGGTTAGAGCTTGAGTTTCGGAAAGCCTCACCACCGAGGGATAAAATACTCTGGGTCTCTAAGAAACCTGAAAGGCAGTCTAGACCATAGTTACTTCAACTCTTAGGTGAGCCCCATGGTTGAACTGAGCCCAGATACAGTGAACAAGGAGAGGGGTTACACAACCTAGTGGGGCACCAGCTGTGGCAGCTAAGAAAGTGATGGAAGTACCCTTTCCCTAGCCCCAGACGGCATAGCTTGTGGCTTCAAAAGAGATCTCTTCTTTTCACTTGAGGAGAGGAGAGGGAAGAGTGGGGGAGGACTTTGTCTTACATCTTGGATACAATCAGCCACAGCACAATAGTGCACTGGTCAGAGTTGTGAGGTTCTAGGCCCTAGTTCTTGGATTACATTTCTAGACAAATTGTGGCCCAGAGGGAAACCCAAAATCTTGAAGGAAAAACCCCATTTCTGGAAGCATTCATCACTTGCTAACTGAGGAGAACTTGGACCCTGAAAAACTAACAGCAATACATGGGCACTTCATTGAGGACCTTAAGTGAGCCTCTTAGACTTGCTGGTTTTAAGTGAGACTTAGTAGATTCTTAGTTGCTGTGACCATAGGGTAAAACTCTTTCTAATTGAGAAAAGTAGAGAAAAAAGTAAAGGGAACTTTGTCTTACAACTTAGGTACCAGCTTGGCTACAGGGGGTAGAGCACCACGTGGGCTCTTGGGGTATCTGATTCCAGGATTTGGATCTTGTCTGGCATTTCTGGACCTGCCCTGGGCCAGAGGGGAACACATTGCCCTGAAAACTGAATCCCAGGAAAAGCAGCCTTCATCACAAGCTGATATCAAAAGCCCTTGGGGCTTAAGAAAACATTGGCCATTGTCTGGCAGCTCTCCACATGGCCTGTGGTGGTGGTAGCTAAGAAGTGAAGCTTCTCTGCCTTTGGTAAACAGAGGAAAGAATGGGAAGAATTGCATCTTGTGTTTTGAGTGCCAGCTCAGGTTAAGTAAAACAGATCATCAGATAGGACTCTAATATTTTTCACTGTAGACCCTGACTACCAGAGAGCATCTCTGGACCAACTAAAGAAATGGGGGAACTCACTGCCCTGAAGGAAAAGACATAGGCCTGGTTGGCCTTGGCACCTACTGATTGTAGAGGCCCAGGACCTTGAGCAAACATAGAGAGTAGTCAGCAAGTGTTAACAGCATGCCTTGGTCAAGACACAGTGCTGTGCTGGCTTAAGGTCCAACTCAAAATTGTCATAGTGGTGGCGGCCACAGGGATGCTTATGTCATTTTACTCCCAGCTTAAAGTGGTTCAGAACTGAGAGAAAGACTACATTTTGGGGGGAGAAAATAAGGGAAGAGAACAAATATCTCTGCCTGGTAATCCAAATAATTCTCCTGGAACTTGTCCCAAATCATCATGATGGTACCTCTATGAGTCTGTATAACCACAATGTTACTGGACTTGGGTTACTCCCTAAAGCAGATACAGCTTAGATCACAATATTGTAGTCCTTTTGAATATCTGAAAAGTCATCTGAAAAAGGACAGATACAAACAATCCCATGCCATAAACACTATTATAAATACCTAACTCTTCAGTGGCCAGGCACCAAAGAACATCTACTAGCAGCATTGATACAGGAGATAGAAAGACATTATTTAGGCAGATAGTGAGGGCAAATGAGTATTCAGCAGAACTTCCCTTCTAGCTAAAAGCAGCTCAGAAAAATTTTTTTTTTCTAACAACAAAGAACAGCCTGAAAGATCGAGCTGCAAACATATATAAGAAAGCTGGAAGTTTACATGAGGAAATGCTGGCAGCTGTGCCATTAGAAAAGGGCTACCTGGAGGCCAGGCATGTCCACCATGGAAGTTTCACCTTCCTTTTTTTTGTTAGCACATGTACAATAAGAAGGAAATGGGAAACATGGAGAAGCTCAGGCAGAGAACCCAATTGCATAATAAAATATTGGCGTGAGGACTGCCAGAGATTCCCACCCTATGCAGATGGCACATCTGATTATGACCAGTTTTTCACACCCTGTGTAGATAAGACACCACCACCCCACTGGCTCATCTATAAAACAGCCTGCATTTAACAGTGGATCAGCAGCTCATTTTTCCAGGACCCCTCTCTGTAGTAGATAGCTATTATCTTCATTTTGTCTATTAAATTTCTGTTCTTAACCTCACTCTTTGTGTGTTTGCATCCTTGATCTTGTGGCCGTGAGACAATGAACCTCAGAAAAGAGATGAAATCCCCTCTGGGCCATGGTTTGTCTATAAATGTCACCCCAAATAATTAGGCAACTTCCTTGTGGGGGATTGCCAAGGACCCAATTTAGGTTCATTGAAAGAGTGAATATAGGAGCCGGGCCCAACTCTCTACTTTTACTTCCAGGGTCTCCTCTCCTCAATTTTAAAATCAAGCAAAAAATGAAAACAAAAAGCAAAAAACAAAAAAACAGGTATCAGTCAGCCACCTAGATGTGGTTAGTGCAGCTGTTGGTCTAAAGAAATAGATGGCAGGCTTGCTGGGGAGAACATAGCTTATTCCCCAGAACCCTCAGGGTGCTGTGAATGTTGGCTTTGTTTTGAACCAGTTTTCCTTCACAGAGAGCCTAGCCATTGCATAGGTCTGGAAGAGGTCTAGAGGCAAATGACAGTTTCTGGCCGGGGCCACACCCCAGTGTTAAGTGAAGGCTTCTGGACCAACTCGAGCTCCTCACAGCTCATTGGGCTTTGGCAACAGGATCTCCAAGCTTCACAATAAGATCTCTGAGCTTTTACTACTGCAATTTCCTTCTTTTATTTCAGTGACTGTGTCTCCTATCCCCTCTCTGTATGCAATGCTGTGGGAATTTTTACAGTTCAGAGAAATAATTCTGTTATACAGGATCAACAAATGCCATAGTAACTTGGAACACAGCTCAAGTGATTGACGTTTTTGTGATTTTCTAGGAAAAGAGTGCCCCCACATCCCCAGGAACATTTCTTTCTCTCTCTCTTTTGTCTAGAGAGCACATGGATACAAAGCTACTGCCTGGTATTTTAAGGTCTACAGCGCCACCTCGTGGAATATGAATCCTGTCCATGAGGGATCTTGTCAGTGCTGAAAACCTCTAGTTTCCCAATTCTCCCTTTTTATGCCCCTCTACTAGAGATCAGGCTTTATGCCTCTTCTGTGAATTGGGAAACTCAACAACGAGAAGAAAATTGTCCTCCATAACCACATTTATCCTCAATACTGTCTACATCTTCAGGAAAACAGCCATTTGGTCCCTAAGTTCTTTTAAGACAACTATTCTTCATCCAATTAAAATGGTACTCACATAGTAAGGTGATTTTATGTCTGGAAATTAACCAGACATAAATTTCCCTTACTAAATAAATCCAGGACATAATAGCAGAATATAGAGCTCAACTCAATAATTTTCCTCCATTAAGGGGTCTTGCCCAGATGTAATTGTTATGTAGTCTTTCTCAAAATCTACCTCTCAGGGAGCCATGCAGATCACACAAGTCTAGGAAATCGAAGGGAAATCACCAGTGGAGGACTAGAGTTGAATGGGGAAGCATGACTAATCCTACCTCCCAGCTCTTCCAGATTCATACTTGCGGGTCATCCCTGCATCCATTGTGGCACCTTTAATAGATGCTGGGGCCCAAGGAACCAAAGAGGAAAATCAACAGGGGAGATGCTCCCACTGTCTTTCCCTCCACCCTGGGCTATTCCAAAGTGAAGAAGGAGCAGAGGGTTGCCTCTCTATTTTTCTAGATGAGTAACAGACAATCTTTGGCCTGCACTTCTCTCAAGTGTGTTCTGAAGCACTGAAACTCCTTTGAACCCAAGACTTTGAAGACAAAGCAGCTTATTTCCTTTTGCACAAGGACGTGGCCTTCTTATCAACTTGGGGCTGAATAGACCTGTTCCAGTGAGAGAAGCCTTGATTTTAATACTATCCAACAATTAGATCTTTTCTGTAGACAGGACAGCAAATCATCCAAGGTCCCCTATGTAGAGGCTTTATTTGTCCTGTGAGACAACCCAGACCTTTGCAAGCTTACACAATTGACCCAACTCTTTTAGAAGTCATAGCAGGAAGGCCCAAATGGAATGATTCCCCAAAACTAGAAAAAAAAATTTCAGGGCAACCATCTGAGGAAGCTATCGAGTGCCTTGGCTTTCTTATCCACCTTACTCAGGGTATTCTCCAACTACACCATCAGCTTCTCCAGTTCCATCACCTCCAAAAGTCCCCATTCCCCTAGCTTCACTCTTATCCCTACAGGTAATGCCCAATGAAAGTTATGCCACTAATGGCTGGGCATGATGGCTCATGTCTGTAATCCCAGCACTTTTGAGGCTGAAGCGGGTGGATCACCTGAGGTCAGGAGTTTGAGACCAGCCTGGCCAACATAGTGAAACCCCATCTCTATGAAAAATACAAAAATTAGCTGCGTGTGATGGCAGGCATCTGTAACCCCAGCTACTCGGGAGGCTGAGGTAGGAAAATTGCTTGAACTAGGGAGGCAGAGGTTACAGTGAGCTGAGATTGTGCCACTGCACTCCAGTCTGGGCAACAGAGTGAGACTCCATCTCAAAAATAAAAAACTGAAAAAAAAGAAAGTTATGCCACTAGGGTTCATTATCCTTTCTCATTATAGCACCTTAGGCAAATAAGGGAGGAGACTTGGACTGATTTTCTGATGACCTTGATAGATATATAGATTCCAAAATTTAACTCAGGTGTTTGACTTCACATGGAGAGATGTTATGCTGCTCCTAAGCCAATCCCTAACCACTGATGAAAAACAGGCAGCCCTGCAGGCAGCAGAGAAGTTCAGAGATGAGCAATATGTCTCCTATAGCAGGTCAAAAAGGAAAAGAGGAGATAGGAAAGGTGAAAAAATATGGGAACCATCATCCCCAGTAGGAAGAGAGGCAGTATCTCTTGATAATCCTGATTGAAATCTCAATGACTCAATAGTTGAATAAAAAAATAAACACTTTTTAAGGTGCATATTATAGGGCTTATGAAGAACTAGGGGCAAACTTTTTAATTACTTTAAACTGTCTATGATAGAACAAAAGCCAGTTGAGAATCCCTCAGCCATTATAAAAAGGCTCAGAGAGGCACTAATGAAACACACCTCTTTATCTCCTGATTCAGTAAAGTGACAGCTAATATTTAAGAACAAGTTTATTACACAGCCAGCTCCTGATATTAGAAGGAAACTGCATAAACAGTCTATACAACCAGATAGCATCTTGGAAAATCTCTTGAGGGTGACCACCTCAGTCTTTTATAATAGGGACCAGGAGGAGGCCCAAGAAAAGGAGAGGAAACACAAGTGAGGGACAGACACTCTATGGTTGCTTTGCAGGCTAGCAAAGTCCAGGATCCCCAAGGTGCATCTGCTAATTGCTACTGGTGTGGCAACTCAGGACACTTTAAAAAGTAGTGCCTAGGAAGCAAGAAGAAGCCACTTTGACCCTGTCCAGCCTGTGGTGGGGACGAGTGGAGATTAGACTGCCTGCAGAGATGGAGGTCACTGTGTCCAGAACCAGTCTCATAGATGGTCCAGAAAGACTGATGGGTCCCAGGGCTCAAACCCCTAGCTCCAATGGCTCAAACTGCCATTAATGCTAAGGACGCCCAGGTCTCTGGAAATTGAAGAAAAGAGGGTGGAACCCCTTCTAGATACATGAGCAAATCTCTCTCTTCTCTCCAATCCAGGCCCCCCATCTTTCCATAGCATGACTCTGATGGGTGTCTCAGGAGAAATTTTAACACAATATTTTTCTCAACACCTTAGTCATAGTTGGGGGGACCATGCCTTCTTAATCATGCCTGAAAGTTCCACTCCCTTATGAAGTAGAGACATTTTAGCTTGCATGGGGGCCAGCATCTTTATGGCCCCAGGACAAACTCTTTGTCTCCCCCAGTGGAAGCTAATATTAATCCAGAAGTGTGGGCAACCCAAGGAAGAATAAGTTGAGCTGTAAACACTAGGCCA
The DNA here is from genome assembly GCF_000001405.40 of Homo sapiens. Lineage (NCBI taxonomy): Eukaryota > Metazoa > Chordata > Mammalia > Primates > Hominidae > Homo > Homo sapiens. The sequence goes on along the minus strand of NC_000023.11, from coordinate 76,553,044 downwards.
GTCCAAATCCATCATAAGGATCCCACTTCTTTTAATAACCAGAGACAATATTTCCTAATGTCAGAGGCTAGAAAGGGGCTAGAAACCATTGTGAAAAACCTGAAAATGCAGAGTCATCTTAAATCCTGTAGCAGCTTCTGCAACACAACAATATTAGAAGTGCAAAACCCAATGGGGAATGGAGACTAGTTCAGGACCTTTGTCTCATTAATGAGACCATTCTTCTGGTGGTTCTTAATTCCTATACCTTGCTGACTCAAATACCTGAGGGAAGAAAGTGGTTCACAGTCCTAGATCTAAAGGATGCCCTTTTCAGTATACCATTATATCCTCATTCTCAATACCCATTTGTTTTGAAGATCCCTCTGGCCAAACTGCCCAGACAACATGAACAACTGCCTCAGGGATTTCCAGATAGTCCTCACTTGTTTGGACAGGAACTGTCAAATAATCTCTCTGAGTTTTCCCATCCTCAGGTCAGGGGTTTACAATATGTAGATGACATTCTGTTCTGTCATCTGTTCTGTTCAGTTCCCTAACTGAAGAAGCTTCTCAGGAAGGCACTGAAGTTCCTAATTTCTTAAATAACAGAGGATATGAGGTTTCAAAATCCAAGGCCCAGCTTTGCCAAACCTCAGTGTTTGGGTTTAGTATTGTCTGAAAGAACCAGAGCATTGGGGAAATAAAAGACTAAACCCATTTTCTCTTTCCCCTTTCCTAAAACCATCAAGCAACTGAGAGAATTTTGGGGCATTACAGGGTTTTGCAGACTATGGATACCTGAGTATGGTTAGATACCTTGCCCCTTATATCACCTCATGAAAGAAACTCAAGTGGCTAAATCTCAATTCCTAACCTGGAAACCTGAAACTCAAAATGCCTTTAATCAGTTAAAACAAGGCTTACTTAAGGCACTTAAAGCTTACTCAAGCACTCAGCTTTCCTGTAGGGAGGACCTTCAATCTTTATGCATCTGAAAGGAAGCGAATGGCCCTGGGAGTTTTAACTCAAGCCCGAGAACCAGATCAACAGCAAGTGTAAGGCCGAGTAAGTTACTACCTGAGTAAGAAACTTGATCTGGTGGCTAAAGATGGCTCGCATGCCACTGAGCAGTTGCAACAGTGGCCCTACTGGTACCAGAGGCCACCAAATTAACCCTGGGAAATGGCTTAACTGTTTATACTCCACATAATGTAGCAGAATTACTGCCCTCTAGGAGAAGCCTTTGGGAAACAGACAGCCAGCTCCTTAAATATCAGGCTTGGCTTGGCACAGTGGCTCATGCCTGTAATCTCAGCACTTTGGGAGGCTGAGGTTGATGGATCACAAGGTCAGGAGTTCAAGACCAGTCTGGCCAAGATGGTGAAACCCTGTCTCTACCAAAAAAAAAAAAAAAAAGAAAGAAAGAGAAGAAAATTAGCCAGACATGGTGGTGGGCACCTGCAATTCTAGCTACTTGAGAGGCTCAGGCAGAGAACTGCTTGAACCCAGGAGATGGAGGTTGCAGTGAGCTGAGATCATGCCACTGCACTCCAGCCTGGGTGACAGAGCGAGACTCCATCTCAAATATATATATATGTGTGTGTGTGTGTGTGTGTGTGTGTGTATATATATATGTATGTGTGTGTATATATATATATATGACTGTGCTGTTAGAGGGATCTACAATCCAATTAAAAACTTGCTCTCACTGAAACCCAGAAAATTTCCTCCCCAAGAAAACTAGGAACCCTGAACATGACTGTGAATAAATTGTAGTACAGACATATGCAGCCAGGGAAGATCTCAGGGAAACTTCCCTAGAAAATCTAGACTGAACCCTCTTCATGGATGGGAGCTCCTTTGTGGAGCAGGGAGTCCATAAAGTGGGATATGCAGTAGGCACTCTAAATAATTTTATTGAAAGTGCACCACGCTTTTCAGGCACAAGTGCTGAACTAGCTGAACTGGTAGCTCTTACAACTAAACTTAAAATAAGTACAGGAAAGGTAGCTAACATTTACAGTGACTCCAAGTATTCTTTCTTAGTTCATGCTCATGCTGCCATTTGGAAGGAAAGACACTTTCTTACCACTAATGGATTCCCTATAAAATACCATCAGGAAATTAACAGGCTAGTATCCTCAATTTTCCTTCCATGAGAGGTAGCCGTGATGCATTGTAAAGGACATCAGCTGGTGGCGGGCAAAATGGTAGAATAGGAAAAACTCCAGTCTGTGCCTCCCAGTGAGATCAAGGCAGAAGGTGGGTGATTACTGCATTTCCAACTGAGATAGCTGGCTAGACAGTGGGTGCAGCAAACTGAGGGTGAGATGAAGCAGGGTGGGGCATCACCTCACCTGGGAAGTGCAAGGGGTGGAGAAACTCTCTGCCCTAGCCAAGGGAAGCCCTGAGGGACTGTGCTGTGAGGAATGGTGCACTCCGGCCCTGATACTATGCTTTTCCCATGGTCTTTACAACCCTCAGACCAGGAGATTCCCTTGGGTGCGTATGCCACCAGGACCCTGGGTTTTAAGCACAAAACTGGGTAAACATTTGGGCAGACATCCAGCTAGTTGCAGGAGTTATTTTTCATACCCCAGTGGCGACTGAAACACCAGCCTAGAAAGGGGGCTGAAGCCAGGGAGCCAAGTGATATTGCTCAGCAGATCCCACACACACAGAGCCCAGAAAGCTAAGATCCACTGGCTTGAAATTCTTGATGCCAGCACAGGTGTCTGAAGTCAAACTGGGATGCTCAAGCTTGGTGGAGACAGAAGAGTCTGCCATTACTGAGGCTTCAGTAGGTGGTTTTCCCCTCACAGTGTAAACAAAGCTGCCAGGAAGTTCAAACAGGGTGAAGCCCGCTGCAGCTCGGCAGAGAGGCTGTAGCCAGACTGCCTCTCTAGATCCCTCCTCTCTGGGCAGGGTATATCTGAAAGAAAGGCAGCTGCCCCAGTTAGGTGCTTATAGATAAAACTCCCAACTCCCTGGGAAGGAGCACCTGGGGGAACGGGAGGCTGAGGGTACAGCTTCAGTAGACTTAAACATTCCTGCCTGCTGGCTCTGAAGAGAGCAGTGGATCTCCCAGCATAGCGCTTGAGCTCTGGTAAGAGACAGACTGCCTCCTCAAATGGGTACCTGGCCCACGTGCCTCCTGATTGGGTGACACCTCCCTGCAGGGGTCGACAGACACCTCATACAGAAGAGCTCCTGCTGACATTTCGCAGGTGCCCCTCTGGGATGAAACTTCCAGAGAAAGCAACAGGCAGCAATATTTGCTCTTCTGCAGCCTCTGCTGGTGATACCCAGGCAAACAAGGTCTGGAGTGGACCTCCAGCAAACTCCAGCAGACCTGCAGCAGAGACACCTGACTGTTAGAAGGAAAACTAACAAACAGAAAGAAATAGAGTCAACATCAAAAAAAAAAAAAAAAAAAAAAAAAGGACAGCCACACAGAAACCCCATCCAAAGGTCATCAACATCAAAGACCAAAAGTAGATAAATCCAGTTCTTTTAATTGTGATGTTAGGGTGTCAATTTTGGATCTTTCCTGCTTTCTCTTGTGGGTTTTTAGTGCTATAAATTTCCCTCTACACACTGCTTTGAATGCGTCCCAGAGATTCTGGTATGTTGTGTCTTTGTTCTCGTTGGTTTCAAAGAACATCTTTATTTCTGCCTTCACTTTGTTATGTACCCAGTAGTCATTCAGGAGCAGGTTTCTCAGTTTCCATGTAGTTGAGCGGTTTTGAGTGAGATTCTTAATCCTGAGTTCTAGTTTGATTACACTGTGGTCTGAGAGATAGTTTCTTATAATTTCTGATCTTTTACATTTGCTGAGGTGAGCTTTACTTCCAAGTATGCGGTCAATTTTGGAATAGGTGTGGTGTGGTGCTGAAAAAATGTATATTCTGTTGATTTGGGGTGGAGAGCTCTGTAGATGTCTATTAGGTCCGCTTGGTGCAGAGCTGAGTTCAATTCCTGGGTATCCTTGTTGACTTTCTGTCTCGTTGATCTGTCTAATGTTGACAGTGGGGTGTTAAAGTCTCTCATTATTAATGTGTGGGAGTCTAAGTCTCTTTGTAGGTCACTCAGGACTTGCTTTGTGAATCTGGGTGCTCCTGTATTGGGTGCATATATATTTAGGATAGTTAGCTCTTCTAGTTGAATTGATCACTTTACCATTATGTAATGGCCTTTGTCTCTTTTGATCTTTGTTGGTTTAAAGTCTGTTTTATCAGAGACTAGGATTGCAACCCCTGCCTTTTTTTGTTTTCCATTTGCTTGGTAGATCTTCCTCCATCCTTTTATTTTGAGCCTATGTGTGTCTCTGCACGTGAGATGGGTTTCCTGAATACAGCACACTGAGGGGTCTTGACTCTTTATCCAATTTGCCAGTCTGTGTCTTTTAATTTATGCAGCCAAAAAACACATGAAAAAATGCTCATTATCACTGGCCATCAGAGAAATGCAAATCAAAACCACAATGAGATACCATCTCACACCAGTTAGAATGGCAATCATTAAAAAGTCAGGAAACAACAGGTGCTGGAGAGGATGTGGAGAAATAGGAACACTTTTACACTGTTGTTGGGACTGTAAACTAGTTCAACCATTGTGGAAGTCAGTTTGACGATTCCTCAGGGATCTAGAACTAGAAATACCATTTGACCCAGCCATCCCATTACTGGGTAAATACCCAAAGGACTATAAATCATGCTGCTATAAAGACACATGCACACGTATGTTTATTGCGGCATTATTCACAATAGCAAAGACTTGGAACCAACCCAAATGTCCAACAATGATAGACTGGATTAAGAAAATGTGGCACATATACACCATGGAATACTATGCAGCCATAAAAAATGATGAGTTCATGTCCTTTGTAGGGACATGGATGAAATTGGAAATCATCATTCTCAGTAAACTATCGCAAGAACAAAAAACTAAACACTGCATATTCTCACTTATAGGTGGGAATTGAACAATGAGATCACATGGACACAGGAAGGGGAACATCACACTCTGGGGACTGTTGTGGGTTGAGGCGAGGGGAGAGGGATAGCATTGGGAGATATACCTAATGCTAGATGATGAGTTAGTGGGTGCAGCGCACCAGCATGGCACATGTATACATATGTAACTAACCTGCACAATGTGCACATGTACCCTAAAACTTAAAGTATAATAAAAAAAGAATATGTCTCTTGAAATATTATGAGGCAGCAGCAGGAAGAAAATTTTATCATAGTCTCAATAGTCCTCAAATTTGATAATAAAGTTATTATTTCCTTTCAAAAAAAAATTAGAGAAATCCACGAAGATGAAAAAAAAAAAAACAGTGCAAAAAGTTTGAAAATTCCAAAAACCAGAACAACTCTTCTCCAAAGGATCACAACTCTTTGCCAGCAGGGGAACAAAACTGGACAGAGAATGAGTTTGACAAATTGAAAGAAATAGGCTTCAGAAGGTGAGTAATAACAAACTCCTCCGAGCTCAAGGAGCATGTTCTAACCCAATGCAAGGAAGCTAAAACCTTAATAAAAGGTTACAGGAACTGCTAACTAGAATAAACAGTTCAGAGAAGAGCATAAATGACCTGATGGAGCTGAAAAACACAGCACAAAATATTCATGAGCCATACATAAGAAATGCCGAATTGAACAAGTGAAAGAAAGGATATCAGAGATTTAAGATCAACTTAATGAAATAAAGTGTGAACACAAGATTAGAGAAAGAAGGATAAAAAGAAATGAACAAAGCCTCCAAGAATTATGGGGTTATGTGAAAAGACCAAACCTACGTTTGATTGGTGTACCTGAAAGTGACAGGAAGAATAGAACCAAGTTAGAAGACACTCTTTAGGATATTATCCAAGAGAACTTCCCCAACTTAGGAAGACAGGCCAACATTCAAATTCAGGAAATACAAAGAATGCCACAAAGATACTACTGTAGAAGAGCAAGCCCAAGACACATAATCATCAGATTCACCAAGGTTGAATGAAGGAAAAAATGTTAAGGGCAGCCAGAGAGAAAGGTTGGGTTACCAACAAAGAGAAACTCATCATATTAACAGTGGATCTCTCTGCAGAAACACTGCAAGCCAGAAGAGAGTGGGGGCCAATATTCAACATTCTTAAAGAAATGAATTTTCAACCTAGAATTTCATATCCAGCCAAACTAAGCTTTATAAGTGAGGGAGAAATAAAATCCTTAACAGAAAATCAAATGCTGAGAGATTTTGTCACCACCAGGCCTGCCTTACAAGAGCTCCTGAAGGAAGAACTAAATATGGAAAGGAAAAATCAATACCAGTCACTTCAAAAGCATACCAAATTGGAAAGACTGTTGACACTATGAAGAAACTGAATCAATGAACAGGAAATATAACCAGCTAGTACCATATTGACAGGATCAAATTTACACATAACAATATTAACTTTAAATGTAAATTGGCTAAATGTTCCAATTAAAAGACAAAGAGGGTAAATTGGATAAAAAGTCAAGAGCCATCTGTGTGCTGTATTCAGGAGACAAATATCTCGATACAGACACCCATAGCCTCAAAATAGAAGGATGGAGGAATATATAACAAGCAAATGGAAAGCAAAAAAAAAAAAAAAAAAGCAGGGGTTGCAATCCTAGTCTCTGATAAAACAGACTTTAAGCCAACAAAGATCAAAAAAGACAAAGAAGAGCACTACATAATGGTAAAGATCAATGCAACAAGAAGAGCTAACTATCCTAAATATATATGTACCCAATACAAGAGCACCCAGGTTCATAAAGCAAGTTCTTAGAGACCTACAAAAAGACTTAGACTCCCACACAATAATACTGGAAGAGTTTAACACCCCACTGTCAATATTAGACAGATCAATGAGACAGAAAATTAACAATATTTAGGACGTGAACTCAGCTCTGGACAAAGCAGACCTAATAGACATCTACAAAACTCTCCATACCAGATAAGCAGAATATACATTCTTCTTAGCACCACATCACACTTATTCTAAAACTGACCACATAATTGGAAGTAAAACAGCCCTCAGCAAATGCAAAAGAATGAAAATCATAACAAACAGTCTCTCAGACCACAGTGCAATCAAATTATAACTCAGGATTAAGAAACTCTCTCAAAACCGGACAACTACATCGAAACTGAACAACCTGCTCCTGAAGGACTACTTGGTAAATAGCAAAATGAAGACAGAAATAAATAAGTTCTTTTAAACCAATGAGAACAAAGACACAACATACCAGAATCTCTGGGACACAGTGAAAGCATGTTTAGAGGGAAATTTATAGCAGTAAATGCCCAAAGAAAGCAGAAAGTATCTAAAATTAACAACCTAACATCATGATTAAAAGAACTAGAAGCAAGAGCGAACAAATTCAAAAGCTAGCAAAAGACAAGAAATAACTAAGATCAGAGCATAACTGAAGGAGATAGAGACACAAAATCCTTCAAAATATCAATGAATTCAGGAGCTGGTTTTTTGAGAAAATTAACAAAATAGATCGACCACTAGCCAGAATATAAAGAAGAAAATAGAGAAGATCAAATAGACACAACAGAAAATGATAAAGGGGATATCCACACTGATCCCACAGAAATACAAACTACCACCACAGAAGACTATAAACACCTATATGCAAATAAACTAGAAAATCTAGAAGAAGTTGATAAATTCCTGGACACATATACCCTCCCAAAACTAAACCAGGAAGAAGTTGAATCCTTGAATAACGAGTTCTGAAATTGAGGCAGGAATTAATAGCCTACCAACGAAACAAAGCCCAAGATCAGACAGATTCACAGCCGAATTCTAGCGGAGGTACAAAGAGGAGCTGGTACCATTCCTTCTGAAACTATTCCAAACAATAAAAAAGAGGGACTCCTCCTTAACTCATTTTATGAGGCCAGCATCATCGTGATACCAAAACCTGGAAGAGACACAACAACAGCAACAAAAATATTAGGCCAATATCCCTGATGAACATTGATGCAAACATCCTCAAAAAAATACTGGCAAACTGAGTCCAGCAGTGCATCAAAAAGCTTATCCACCATGATCAAGTCAGCTTCATCCCTGGGATGAAAGACTGGTTCAACATATGCAAATCAATAAACATAATCCATCACATAAACAGAACCAATGACAAATAGCACATGATTATGTCAATAGATGCAGAAAAGACACTAGATATAATTCAATACCCCTTCATGCTAAAAACTCTTAATAAATTAGATATCGATCGAACGTATTTTAAAATAATAAGAGCTATTTATGACAAGCCTGCAGCCAATATCATACTGAATAGGCAAAAACTGGAAGCATTCCCTTTAAAAACCGGCACCAGACAAGGATTCCCTCTCTCACCACTCCTATTCAACATAGTATTGGAAGTTCTGGTTAGGGCAATATGGCAAGAGAAAGAAATAAAAGTATTCGTTTAAAAAAAGAGAAAGTCAAATTGTCTCTTTTTGCAGATGACATGATTGTATACTTAGAAAACCAATCGCCTCTGCCCCCTATCTCCTTAAGCCTATCAACAACTTCAGCAAAGTCTCAGGATACAAAATCAATGTGCAAAAATTACAAGCATTCTTATACACCAATAATATACAAACAGAAGGCCAAATCATAAGTGAACTCCCATTCACAACTGCTACAAAGAGAATAAAATACCTAGGAATAAAACTTACAAGGGATATGAAGGACCTCTTTAAAAGAACTACAAATTACTACTCAAGGAAATAAGAGAGGACACAAACAAATGGAAAAACATTCCATGCTCATGGATAGCAACAATCACTATTGTGAAAATGGCCATATTGCCAAAAGTAATTTATGGATTCAATGATATTCCCATCAAGATACCATTGATTTTCTTCACAGGGATTAGAAAAAAACTACTTTAAATTTTACATGGAACCAAAAAAGGGTCCGTATAGCCAAGACAATCCTAAGCAAAAAGAACAAAGCTAGAGGCATCATGCTACCTGACTTCAAACAATACTACAAGCCTACAGTAACCAAAACATCATGGTACTGCTACCAAAACAGATATATACATCAATGGAACAGAACAGAGGCCTCAGAAATAATGCCACACATCTACAACCATCTGATCTTTGACAAACCTGACAAAAACAAGCAATGAGGAAAGGATTCCCTATTTAATAAATGATGTTGGAAAAACTTACTTGCCATAAGCAGAAAACTAAAACTGGACCCCTTCCTTACACCTTATACAATAATTAACTCAAGATGGATTAAAGACTTAAATGTAAGACATAAATCTATAAAAATCCTAGAAGAAAACTTAGGCAATACCATTCAGGATATAGGCATGGGCAAAGACTTCATGACTAAAACACCAGAAGCTATGGTAACAAAAGCCAAAATTGACAGTTGGAATCTAATTAAACTAAAGAGCTTCTGCAAAAATAAATAAATAAATAAATAAATAAATAAATAAATAAATAATAAAAACTATCATCAGAGTGAACAGGCAACCTACAGAATGGGAGAAAATTTTTGCAATCTATCTATCTGACAAAGGGCTAATATTCAGGATCTACAAAGAACTTAAACAAATTTACAAGAAGAAAACAAACAACTCCATCAAAAAGTGGGCAAAGGATATGAACAGACACTTCTCAAAAGAAAACATTTATGAGGCCAACAAACATATGAAAAAAGACTCATTATCACTGGTCATTAGAGAAATGCAAATCAAAACCACAATGAGATATCATCTCACGCTAGTTAGAATAGTGATCATTAAAAAAATCAGGAAACAACAGATGCTGGTGAAGATTTGGAGAAATAGGAACAATTTTACACTGTTGGTGGGAGTGGAAATTAGTTCAATCTTTGTGGAAGACAGTGTGGCAATTCCTCAAGGATCTAGAACCAGAAATACCATTTGACCCAGCAATCCAATTACTGGGTATATACTCAAATTTTTGTAAATTATTCTACTATAAAGACACATGCACACATATGTTTATTGCAGCACTGTTTACAACATCAAAGACTTGGTTCCAACCCAAATGCCCATCAATGATAGACTGGATAAAGAAAATGTGGCACATATGCACCATGCAATACGATGCAGCCATAAAAAAATGACGAGCTAATGTCCTTTGCAGGGACATGGATGAAACTAGAAACCATCATTCTCAGCAAACTAACACAGGAACAGAAAAACAAACACTGCATGTTCCTATTCATAAGTGGGAATTGAACAATTAGAACACATGGACACAGGGAGGGGAACATTACACATTATTGCCTCTCAGGGAGTGAGGGGCTAGGGGAGGGACAGCATTAGAAGAAATACCTAATGTAGATGACGAGTTGATGGGCGTAGCAAACCACCATGGCATGTGTATACCTACATAACAAACCTGAAATTTCTGCACATGTATCCCAGAATTGAACTTATAGTGTAATGAAAAAAAAAGGACATCAGAAGGGAACAGATGAAATAGCCAAAGGAATCAAGTTAGCTGATTAGAAATCTAAGTCATTGACAAGAAAGCCTCAGGGCCTCAACACACTTGAAGCCCTTCTAATCTAGGAAGTCTCCATAAGAGAAATTAAGCCTCAGTGCTCCCCTGCAGAAATATAATGGGCCACCTCTTGAAGGTACAGTTTCCAGCACTCAGAATGGCTACAGTCAGGGGATGACAAACTCCAGTTGCCAGCCTCGAGTCAGCGAAAAGTCCTTAATATCCTTCACCAAGCTTTTCACTTGGAAAAGGATAAACTTATCACTGTGCTCAAAGATTGTTTTCAGGAGAGAACTTGTTAAAAACAGTCAAACAGGTTGTTAATTCTTGTGAAGTCTGTCTTAACAATAATCCCCTAAACAGATAGCTTCTTCCTTTTCAAACTCCCAAAATGAAAAGCTATCTAGGGGAAAACTGGCAGATAGACTTCACCCACATCCCAAAGACCAAAGGCACCCAGTACCTCCTGTAATGGGTACTTTCACCCACTGGGTAGAAGCATTTCTATGCCATATATAAAAGGCCTCTGAGGTAATACAAGTATTAATTAATAAAATATCTCCCCACTTTGGTCTACCTAAGTACCTCCAAGTTACAACGTCCCCTTATTTAAGGCAGCCATCACACAGGGGGTCTCAAGGCACTATAAATACAGTATATCTATTGTTCTTGGAGATCCCAGTCCTCACGAAAGGTAGAGAAGACAAACAATATCATCAAAAGACACCTCAGAAAACTGTCTCTAGGAACTCACCTTCCTTGGGTCACTCTTCTTCCCATGGCTTTATTACAGGTCAGAAATCCCCCTTCAAAGTTAGGTCTGAGACCTTTTGAAATGCTGATGGATGGTATTTTCTTACCAGTGATTTTCTATTGGACCAAGAGGCTTCTGAATTGGTTAAGAATGTAGCTGCCCTAGCTCACTTCCAACAGAAATTAACACAACTAACAGAAGCCCAATCCCAAGAAATAGGACTATCTTTATTCAACCCAAATCTATCTTTATTCAACCCAGGAGATCTAGTACTAGCCCAGATTGGGAAGGCCTCGGTGGTGAAAGTTACAGGAATCAACACCTGGATACATCACACTTGAGTCAAAGCCTGAAAAGCTGGGGGAGCAACCCCTGAAAGCCTACAGAAACATCACAAATATTAATGCAAAGAAATAGGGGATTTTAAGCTGAAAATTATAAAGGATAAGTAAATGAGTGAGTGTTACTCATCCTACTTAGTCCCACCTCTACCTTAGCAGATACTTTCGGTCATTTCTACCTTTCCTCTCAAGGTGCGCCATCAGATATTAGAACTTCTTTTAGAAACATACTTGCAGGGAGATTTTGATTGCCCATGGAATTACATTTGTAACCTCATAGACCCCCAAAGGAAAATTTTACATCTTGATGAATAAAATTTTAGATGGAAATTATTTACTATTCCACACTTGTGGGAATTGCTATACTCGCTCTACTATTTGCGGTAGGGCTATATAGTGTAGCACTCCCAGAGTGGAATATTGGACAAAAAATCTCTAGAGTATTTTGCTTAATTATTATCTTTATAGCATGGGTAATAATTAAAGAAAAGAAGTGAAGACGAAAGTTTTACTATCATTGAGTCTGCTAGGACTTTTTATTGAGTGTAGTAATATGTCACATTGTTTAGCTACTACAATATCAGCCATTGCCCACTTATACAGTAAAACTAATTGATGGCTTTTTCCTGAACCGTTTGCTCAGTTCAATAACACCAAAGAACCTCTTGATGACCCAGAACTTATTGTCTTAGGATTCCTTTTGTTAGCTTTACCTTTAACCATTAAATACTTTTCAGGCATAAATGAAACATGGTATGGGGGCACTTTCAACTGGGTAACTAACTCCTCACAGGAAAACACTCCTCTCCCGGTGCCAGAAAACAATCTCCTCAAAAATAACCTTCAAATCCTCAGATTAGGAAAAGTTGACCGAGTAATAGCAAATGCCTCCCTCTGCTTTAGGAGCAGGGGAAAGGAACCATACTTGGGATATCTCAAACATTGTAACACATCACATTTGTATTTGGTGAAAGCTCAGAGGTATGGAAAAGAAAACACTATAGGGATGATCTAAAAAAGAAAATGGAAGCCCTACGCGGAGGGGCTTCCAGAATCTGGCCTCTCCTCCTGCTTGGAAGTCCCCGTGGGAATTACAGGCTCTAGGTAACTGCCTTGACACATGGTACTATGATATTAAAAAAAAACATAAGCCTTCCGAAATATGCCCCCTCATGAAATTCCAGATCCTTGTATGAGGCTTGCTGATAGTAGCGGCATGCAAATCTGTGGGCAAACAGGGGGCATCTGGACCGATGGCTCTTGCCACAAGGATTATCTAAGATATTGACCAGGACATATTGTGCCCCTGATCTTTTAAAACTTCATTTGACAGATGGACCCTTCTCATTTGGTGTGTAAAATTCCAAAGAGCATCACGAATGACTATCCTGAATATGAGTATCCCTATCCCAAAGATGCTCCTGTTATGTGTAAAAAGAGAAAGCTTCTAAGACATGAGAAAGATCTGCCTGTGTCTTTCATAAGCCACAACTTAGAACGGTCCTTTCAAAAAACAGGGCCATATTTCCTCTGTGGCTCCTAAATACACTTAATTCTCCATATGCACTGGAAGGAAACCTGAACTGTAGTAGCAGTGGTCCCCGAACTACTATTTTTAAATTTCACTGAAATGGCAGCATTATCTGGAGACATCCTTAACCTAAGATCTTTTCTAGAGACTGCACTATCTTGGATAAAACAAACAAAAAGATCTACCATTTCCATGACCTTGTATGGAGATTTAACTGAAAGAGAAGACTGGAGAGGATATGAACATGACAACTCTATCTTAGAAAAAACATGGATAGGGGATTCTATATCCAGAGGCCTATTCTGGTTTGCTAGTATTCCTCTCCTTGAAAGATTAGTACTTAATATTTCTATTATGATGCAATGAGGGTAGAAGGCAACAATAGGAGTCATAGAAGCAGAACAATTCATAGGCTCTTTAGCCTCAGTAGTAGCACAAAATAGACAAGCCCTAGATGTCCTTACGACTGAAGTAGGGGTACTTGTGCACTTTTAAATAAAACATGTTGCTTCTGGATCAACACCTCTAGTCAAATAGAAGAGAAGCTACAGGTGCTTAAAGATCAAATTAGAATCATTAACAGGTTAAGAGAAAATGTGGGCTCCAGTCCCAGGTGGCTACCATCCCTCCTTAATAAATTCCAGTCTTCTTTATGAAAATGGTTATCTCCTTTATTAGATTGTTTGCTCATGTGTTTTGAGCTAATATTTGGAACTTGTATACTCAATACTATAACTCAAATTGTTTTCTCTCACCTGGAAGCTATTAAACTCTAAATGGTGTTACATATGGAACCAAGCATAGACATGTCTTTTTTCCAAGGACCCTTAGATTGGCCCCCAGGAGGCGCCCTAGCTGCTGTTCCTGACACGACATCCCTCTCTAGCAAGAAGCAGCCAGAAGAGTTGTTTTCCAACACTCACCCCCAGCCAACAGCAATTAGTATTTCCACTCCAGGGGAGTGGGAATGATATAGAAGATAGAAAGAAATTATTTAGGCAGATAGTGAGGGAAAATAGTCCTTGGCAGAGCTTCCTTTCTCCCAAAAAGTGAACCAAGAAATAGTTTTATTTTCTAACAAATAGCAGCCTGAAAGAGTGAGCTGCAAACATAGATAAGAAAGCTGGAAGCTTGCATGGGGGAATGCCAGCAGCTGCACCAATAGAAAATGGCTACTTGAGGACCAGATATGTTCACCATGGAAGCTCCATCTTTCTATTTTTCTTAGCATGTGTACAGTTAGAAAGAAGTAGGCAACATGGAGAAGCTCAGGGACAGAACCGACCTGCATAATAAAACATTTGGATGGGGGTTCCAGAGATTTGCACCCTATGAAGATGGCACAACTGGTCCTAACCAGTTTCTTATACCCTATGTAGATCAGACACTAGCTCTTGTATAAAAATGCCTGAATTCATTATTGATTGGCAACAGATTTTTCTGGGATCCCCCTCTGTAGCAGAGAGCTACTATCTTTTTTTTTTTTTTTTTTTTTTTTTTTTGCCTATCAAATTTCTGCTCTTATCCTCACTCTTTGTATGTCCACATTCTTGATTTTCATGGTCATGAGATAATGAACTTCAGGTGTCATGCCAGACAACGAGGCTGCTTCATCAGTACCATCCAGGAAACATAAGTTCACCGATGAACTAAATAAGGCACCAGGGATCAATCCTGGAGACAGACCTATATGAACTTTCAGACATAGAATTCAAAACAGCAGTATTGAGGAAACTCAAAGAAATTCAAGATAATACAGAAAATAAATTCAGAATTCTATCAGATTAACAAAAAGATTTTACAAATTAAAAAGAATTAAGTACAGATGCTAAAATTGAAAAATGCAAGATGCAATAAAAAATGATAAAGGGCATATCACCACCAATCCCACAGAAATACAAGCTACCATCAGAGAATACTATAAACACCTCTACACAAATAAACTAGAAAATCTAGAAGAAATGGATAAATTCCTTGACACATACACCCTCCCAAGACTGAACCAGGAAGAAGATGAACCTCTGAATAGACCAAAAACAGGCTCTGAAATTGAGGCAATAATTAATAGCTTACCAACCAAAAAAAGTCCAGGACCAGACGGATTCACAGCCGAATTCTACCAGAGGTACAAGGAGGAGCTGGTACCATTCCTTCCAAAACTACTAAAATCAATAGAAAAAGAGGGAATCCTCCCTATCTCATTTTGTGAGGCCAGCATCATCCTGATAACAAAGCCTGGCAGAGACACAACAAAAAAAGAGAATTTTAGACCAATATCCCTGATAAACATCGATGCAAAAACCCTCAATAAAATACTGGCAAACCAAATCCAGCAACACATCTAAAAGCTTATCCACCATAATCAAGTGGGCTTCATCCCTGTGATGCAAGGCTGGTTCAACATACGAAAATCAATAAACACAATCCAGCATATAAACAGAACCAATGACAAAAACTGCATGATTATCTCAATAGATGCAGAAAAGGCCTTTGACAAAATTCAACACCCCTTCATGCTAAAAACTCTCAATAAATTAGGTATTGATGGGACGTATCTCAAAACAATAAGAGCTATTTATGATAAACCCACAGCCAATATCATATTGAATGGGCAGAAACTGGAAGCATTCCCTTTGAAAACTAGCGCAAAACAGGGATGCCCTGTCTCACCACTCCTATTCAACATAGTGTTGGAAGTTCTAGCTAGGGCAATCAGGCAGGAGAAGGAAATAAAGGGTATTCCATTAGGAAAAGAGGAAGTCAAATTGTCCCTGTTTGCAGATGACATGATTGTATATCTAGAAACCCCCATCATTTGAGCCCAAAATCTCCTTAAGCTGATAGGCAACTTCAGCAAAGTCTCAGGACACAAAATCAATGTGTAAAAATCACAAGCATTCTTATACACCAATAACAGACAAACAGAGAGCCAAATCATGAGTGAACTCCCATTCACAATTGCTTCAAAAGAATAAAATACCTAGGAATCCAACTTACAAGGGATGTGAAGGAACTCTTCAAGGAGAACTACAAACCACTGCTCAATGAAATAAAAGAAGACAAAAACAAGTGGAAGAACATTCCATGCTCATGGGTATGAAGAATCAATGTCGTGAAAATGGCCATACTGCCCAAGGTAATTTGTAGATTCAATGCCATTCCCATCAAGCTACCAATGACTTTCTTCACAGAATTGGAAAAAACTATTTTAAAATTCATATGGAACCAAAAAAGAGCCCTCATTGCCAAGTCAATCCTAAGCCAAAAGAACAAAGCTGGAGGCATCATGCTACCTGACTTCAAACTATACTACAAGGCTACAGTAACCAAAACAGCATGGTACTGACACCAAAACAGAGATATAGACCAATGGAACAGAAGAGAGCCCTCAGAAATAATACCACACATCTACAACTATCTGATCTTTGACAAACCTGACAAAAACTAGAAATGGGGAAAGGATTCCCTATTTAATAAATGGTGTTGGGAAAACTGGCTAGCAATACGTAGAAAGCTGAAACTGGATCCCTTCCTTACACCTTATACAAAAATTAATTCAAGATGGATTACAGACTTAAATGTTAGACCTAAAACCATAAAAACCCTAGAATAACACCTAGGTAATGCCATTCAGGACATAGGCATGGACAAGGACTTCATGTCTAAAACACCAAAAGCAATGGCAACAAAAGCCAAAATTAACAAATGGGATCTAATTCAACTAAAGAGCTTCTGCACAGCAAAATAAACTACCATCAGAATGAACAGGCAACCTACAGAATGGGAGAAAAATTTTGCAATCTACTCATCTGACAAAGGGATAATATCCAGAATCTACAAAGAATTCAAACAAATTTACAAGAAAAAAACAAAGAACCCCGTCAACAAGTGAGCAAAGGATATGAACAGACACTTCTCAAAAGAAGACATTCATGCAGACAAAAGACACATGAAAAAATGCTCATCATCACTGGCCATCAGAGAAATGCAAATCAAAATCACAATGAGATACCATCTCACACCAGTTAGAATGGCGATCATTAAAAAGTCAGGAAGCAACAGGTGCTGGAGAGGATGTAGAAAAATAGGAACACTTTTACACTGTTGGTGGGACTGTAAACTAGTTCAACCACTATGGAAGTCAGTGTGGCAATTCCTCAGGGATCTAGAACTAGAAATACCATTTGCCCCAGCCATCCCATTACTGGGTATATACCCAAAGGATTATAAATCATGCTGCTATAAAGACACATTCACATGTATGTTTATTATGTCACTATTCACAATAGCAAAGACTTGGAACCAACACAAATGTCCAACAATGATAGACTGGATTAAGAAAATGTGGCACATATACACCATGGAATACTATGCAGCCATAAAAAATGATGAGTTCATGTCCTTTGTAGGGACATGGATGAAGCTGGAAACCATCATTCTCAGCAAACTATGGCAAGGACAGAAAACCAAACACCGCATGTTCTCACTCATAGGTGGGAATTGAATAATGAGAACATCTGGACACAGGAAGGGGAACATCACACACTGGGGCCTGTTGTGGGGTTGGGGGAGGGGTTATGGATAGCATTAGGAGATATACCTAATGTAAATGACGAGTTAATGGGTGCAGCACACCAACATGGCACATGTATACATATGTAACAAACCTGCACTTTGTGCACCTGTACCCTAAAACTTAAAGTATAATAAAAACTAAATAAAATTATTAACATTAAAGAAATCATAGAAAAAAAAGATAGGAATAGAAAGGTTATTCAAAGGGATAATAAGAGAGAACTTCCGAAATCCAGAGAAAGATACCAATGTCCAAGTACAACAGGGTTCTATAACACCAAGCACATTTAATCCCCCCAAAAATACTATCTCAGAGAATTTAATAATCAAACACCCATAGGTTAAGGATAAAGAAAAGATCCTGGAAGCAGCAAGACAAAAGAAACAAATAGGATATAATGAAGCTCCAGAACGTCTGGTTGCTGACTTTTCACTGGAAACATTATAGACCAGAAGAGATGGGCATTACATATTTAAAATGCTGAAGAGAAAAATCTTTTACCCTAGAATAGTACATCCAGCAAAATTTTTCTTCAAACACAGAGCAGAAATAAAGACTCCTTCCAACAAACAAATACCGAGGCATTTCATCAACACCAGACCTGTCCTACAAAAAATGTTAAAGGGAGTAGTTCGATCTGAAAGAAAAGTATGCCAAAAAATAATAAGAAATCACCTAACCATGGAAAACTCACTGGTAATAGTAAGTACACAGAAAAACCCAGAATATTATAACAGTGTTAAACTGTGGTGTGCAAAGAACTGTTATTCTACATAGAAAATAATGAACTAATAAAAATAAGAACTAAAACAACATTTCAAGATACCAACAGGGCAAAAATATATAAGTAGAAATTAGAAATAGTTAAAAAGCAAGAGGACAAAATTAAGGCGTAGCATTATTAGGAAGTTTCTTTTTGCTTTTTGTTGTTTGGTTTATGTAAAATGTGTTAAGTTGTTTTCAGCTAAAAACACTGGGTTATAATTTGCAAGCCTCATGGGAACCTAAAACAAAAAAATATATAGAATAGATCCACAAAAAATAAAAAACCCAAGAAACTAAATTTCATCCCCAGAGAAAATTACCTTCCCTAAAAGAAGACAGGAAGGAAATAAAAAAAGAAGAGAAGACCACAAAACAACAGCAACAACAAAAAACAAACATGAAATTTTCAGGAGTAAGTCTTTACTTATCAATACAATTTTTGAATGTAAATGAACTAAACTCTACAATCAAAAGACATAGTGACTGAATGGATGAAAAAACAAGACCCACTGACCCCTTGCCTACAGGAAACACATTTCACATATAAAGACACACATAGACTAAAAATAAATGGATGTAAAAATATATTCCATGGAAATAGAGACCAAAAAAGAGCAGGAGTAGCTATACTTATATCAGACAAAGTAGAATCCAAGACAAAAATGGTAAGAATAGACAAAAAAAATTACTATATAATGATAAGGCGTGGTGGAGGGGCCAAGATGGCCAAATAGAAACAGCTCTGGTCTGCAGCTCCCAGTGAGAACAACGCAGAAAGTGGGTGATTCTGCATTTCCAACTGAGATACCCAGTTCATCTCATTGGAACTGGTTAGGCAGTGGATGCAACCCATGGAGAGTGAGCAGAAGCAGGGTGGGGCGTCACTTCACCCAGTAATGGCATGGAGTGAGGGGACTTCCCTCCCCCAGCCAAAGGAAGTGATGAGGGACTGTTCTACCCATCCCGGGCACTACACTTTCTCCATGGTTTTTGCAATCTGCAGGTCAGATTCCCTTGTGAGCCTACACCACTAGGGCCCTGGGTCTCAAGCACAAAACTGGGCAGCTGTTTGGGCAGGCACCAAGCTTCAGGGTTCTTTTATACTCTGGCAGCACCTTGAACTCCAGTGAGACAAGAGAACCATTCACTCCCCTGTAAAGCGGGCTGAAGCCAGTGAGCCAAGCTGTCCTGCTCAGCAGATTCCACTCCCACAGAACCCAGCAAGCTAAGAACCACTGGTTTGAAATTCTCACTGCCAGCACAGCAGTCTGGAGTTGATCTGGGACAATGAAGCTTGGTGCAGGGAGAGGTGACTGTCATTACTGAGGCTTTAGTAAGTAGTTTTTCCCTGACGGTGCTAAGGAGACTGGGAGGTTTGGACTGGGTGGAATTCACCACAGCACGGCAAAGCGGCTGTGGTGAGACTGCTTCACTAGATTCCTCCTCACTGGACAGGGCATCTCTGCAGGAAATACAGAAGAACCAGCCAGGGGCTTACAGATAAAACTCTAATCTTCTTGGGACAGAACACCTTGGAGGAAAGGTGGCTGCAGTCACAGATTCAGTGAGCTTAATCTTTTCTACCTGCCAGCTCTAAAGAGAGCAGCTGATCCTGAAAAGGGGAATTCTCCCAGCACAGTGCACTAGCTCTATTAAGGGACAGACTCCTTCTCAAGTGGGTTTCTGAACCTCATGCCTCCTGACTTGGAAAGACCTCTCAACAGGCGTTGACAGACACCTCATACAGGAGAGCTCCAGCTGGCATCAGGATGGTGCCCCTCTAGGATGAAGCTTCCAGAGGAAGGAGCAGGCAGCAATCTTTGCTGCTCTGTAGCCTCCACTGGTGATACCCAGGTGAAAAGGGTCTGGAGTAAACCTCCAGCAAATTGCAGCAGACGTGCAGAAGAGAGGTCTGACTGTTAGAAGAAAAACTAACAAACAGAAAGCAACAGCAACATCAACAAAAAGACTACCCAGAAAAACCCATCCAAAGCTAGTAAGGCTCAAAGATCAAAGATAAATGAATCCAAGAAGATGAGAAAAAAAAAAAAAAAACGAGGAAAAATGTTGAAAATTCCGAAAGTCAGAATGCTTCTTCTCCTCCAAAGGATCACAACACCTCTTCAGCAAGGGCGCAAAACTGGATGGATAATGAGATTGATGAATTGACAGAGGCAGGCTTCAGAAGGTGGGAATAGCAAAATCTTCTGAGCTAAAGGAGCATGTTCCAACCCAATGCATGAAAGCTAAGAACCTTGATAAAAGGTTACAGGAACTGCTAATTAGAATAATCAGTTTAGAGGGGAACATAAATAACGTGATGGAGCTCAAGAACACAGCATGAGAACATTGTGCAGCATACACAAGTATAAACAGGCAAATAGAGCAAGTGGAAGAAAAAACATCAGAGATTGGAGTCCACCTTGCTGAAATAAGGCATGCAGACAAGATTAGAGAAAAAAAGGAATGAACAAAGCCTCCAAGAAATATGGGACTATGTGAAAACACCAAACCTACAACTGATTGGTGTACATTAAAGTAACGGAGAGAATGGAACCAAGTTGGATAACACATTTCAGGATATTATCCAAGAGAACTTCCCCAACCTAGCAAGACAGACCAACATTCAAATTCACAAAATACACAGAACACCACTAAGATACTCTACAAGAATATCAACTCCACAACACATAATCATCAGATTCTCCAAGGATGAAATGAAGAAAAAAAATGTTAAGGGCAGCCAGAGAGAAAGGTCGGGTCACCTACAAAGAAAAGTCCATCAGAATAAGAGTGTATCTCTTAGCAGAAAACCTAAATGCCAGAAGATTGTTGGGGACCAATATTCAACATTCTTAAAGAAAAAGAATTTTCAACCCAGAATTTCATATTTAGCTAAATTAAGCTTCATAAGCAAAGAAAAAATAAAATCCTTTCCAGAAAAGCTTCTCTAGATTTCTCCTCACTGGGCAGAGCATCTCTGTAGGAAATGCAGCAGCCCCAGCCAGGGACTTACAGATAAAATGCTAATCTTCCTGGGACAGAGTTCCTGGGAGGAAAGGCGGCTGCAGTCACAGCTAAAAAATTTTGCTACCACCAAGTCTGCCCTGCCACAGCACCTGAAGGAAGCACTAAATATAGAAAGAGAAAACCAGTACCAGCCACTGCAAAAACACACCAAAATATCAAAACCAATGACACTATGAAGAAACTGCATCAAATAATGTGCAAAATAACCAGCTAACATCATAATGACAATATCAAATTCACACATAACAATATTAACCTTAAATGTAAATAGGCTAAAGTTCCCAATTAAAAGGCACAGACTGGCAAATTGGATAAAGAATCTAAACCCATTAGTGTGCTGTATTCAAGAGACCCATCACACGTGCAAAGACACAAAATAAAGGGATGGAGGAACATTTATGAAGCAAATGGAAAGCAAAAAGCAGGGGTTGCAATTCTAGTCTCTGATGAAACAGACTTTAAACCAACAAAGATCAAAAAAGACAAACTAGGGAATTACATAATGGTAAAGGGATCAACACAGCAACAAGAGCTAGCAATCCTAAATATATATGCACCCAACATTGGAGAACCCAGATTTATGTAGTTCTTAGAGAACTACAAAGAGAATTAGACACCCACACAATAATAATGGAAGACTTTAACACCCCACTGTCAATATTAGACAGATCAATGGGACAGAAAATTAACAAGAATATTCAGAACTTAAACTCAGCTCTGGATCAAGAGGACCTAATAGACTTCTACAGAACTCTCCACCCCAAATCAACAGAATATACATTCTTCTAAGTGTTATGTGGCACTTATTCTAAATTGACCAAATAATTGAAGGTAAAACCCTCCTCAGCAAATGCAAAAGAACTGAAATCGTAACAAACAGTTCCTCAACCACAGTGCAATCAAATTAGAACCCAGAATTAAGAAACTCACTCAAAACTACACAACTATATGGAAACTGAACAACCTGCTCCTGAATGACTCCTGTGTAAATAACGAAATTAAGGCAGAAATCAAGAAATTATTTGAAATCAGTGAGAACAAAGAGACAACATACCAGAATCATTGGGACACTGCTAAAGCAGTGTTAAGAGTAAAATTTATAGCAATAAATGCCCATATCAGAAGCTGGAAAGATCTCAAATCAGCTGGGCATGGTGGCTCACACCTGTAATCCCAGCACTTTGGGAGCCTGAGGTGGGTGGATCATGAGGTCAGGAGTTTAAGACCAGCCTGGCCAACATGGTGAAACCACGTCTCTACTAAAAATACAAAAAAAAGAGCCAGGCATGGTGGTGCATACCTGTAATCCCAGCTACTCAGGAGGCTGAGGCAGGAGAATTGCTTGAACCCAGGAGGCAGAGGTTGCAGTGAGCTGAGATCATGCCATTGCACTCCAACCTGGGTGACAGAGCAATACTCCATCTCGAGAAAAAAAAATCTCAAATCGATACTCTAACATCACAATTGAAAAAACTAAATAGGACGGGCAAGATGGCTCACCCCTGTAATCCCAGCACTTTGGGAGGCCAAGGTGGGTGGATCACCTGAGGTCAGGAGTTAGAGATAAGCCTGGCCAACATAGTGAAACCCAATCTCAACTAATAATATAAAAAACTTAGCCAGGCATGGTGGTGCACACCTGTAATCCCAGCTACCCAGGAGGATGAGGCAGAAGAATCACTTGAAACCAGGAGGTGAAGGTTGCGGTAAGCCGAGATTGTGCCATTGCACTCCAGCCTGGGTGAAAAGAGTGAAACTCTGTCTCAAAAAAAAAAAAAAAAAAAAAAAAAAAAAGGAACTAAAAAAAAGAACAAACAACTTCAAATACCATATTGAATAGGAGTAGTGAGAGAGGGCATGCTTGTCTTGTGCCGGTTTTCAAAGAAAATGCTTCCAGGTTTTGTCCATTCAGTAGGATATTGGCTGTGGGTTTGTCATAAATAGCTCTTATTATTTTGAGATACGTTCCACCAATACCCAGTTTATTGAGAGTTTTTAGCATAAAGGGGTGTTGAATTTTGTCTAAGGCCTTTTCTGCATCTATTGAGATAATCATGTGGTTTTTGTCACTGGTTCTGTTTATGTGATGGATTACGTTTACTGATTTGCATATGTTGAATCAGCCTTGCATCCCAGAGACCTCAGAAATAATGCCACATATCTACAACCATCTGATTATTGACAAACCTGAAAAAAGCAAGCAATGGGGAAATCATTCTCTATTTAATGAATAGTGCTGGAAAAACTGGCTAGCAGTATGCAGAAAACTGAAACTTGACCCCTTCCTTACACCTTATAAAAAATTAACTCAAGATGGGGCAAAGGCTTAAATGTAAACCCCAGGACCATAAAAATCCTAGAAGAAAACCTAGGCAATACCAGTCAGGACATAGGCATGGTCAAAGACTTTATGACTAAAACACCAAAAGCTACGTCAACAGAAGCCAAAATTGACAAATAGAATCTAATTAAACTAAAGGGCTTCTGCACAGTAAAACAAAACAAAACAAAAACTATCATCAGAGTGAACAGGCAACCTACAGAATGGGAGAAAGTTTTTGCAATCTATCAATCTGACAAAGGTCTAATATCCAGAATGGACAATAAACTTAAACATATTTACAAGAAAAAAACAAACAACCTCATCAAAAAATGGGCAAAGGATATGAACAGATGTTTCTCTAAAGAAGACATTTACGTGGCCAATGAACATACAAAAAAAAGCTCAACATCACTGATCATCAGATAAATGCAAATCAAAACCACAATGATTATCTCAATAAAAAAACCACAATGAGATGCCATCTCATGCCAGTTAGGATGGCAATTATTAAAAAGTCAAGAAACAATAGATGCTGGTGAAGCTGTGGAGAAATACGAACATTTTTACACTATTGGTGGGGATGTAAATTAGTTCAACCATTGTGGAAGACATTGTGGTGATTCCTCAAGGATCTAGAATCAGAAATACATTTGGCTGAGCAATTCCATTATAAGTATATACTCAAAGGAATTAAATAATTCTACTATAAAGACACATGCACATAAATGTTTCTTGCAGCACTATTTACAATAGCAAAGATATGGATCCAACCCAAATACTCATCAATGATAGACTGGATAAAGAGAATGTGGTATACATACACCATGAAATACTATGCAGGCATAAAAAAGAATGAAATGATGTCCTTTGCAGGGACATGGATGAAGCTGGAAGGCAACATCCTCAGCAAACTAACATAGGAACAGAAAACCAAACACAGCATGTTCTCACTCATAAGTGGAAGTTGAACATTGAGAACACATGGACACAGAGAGGGTAACAGCCCACACCAGGGCCTGTTGGGGGGTGGGGTTGAGGGGAGGGAACTTAGAGGACGGGTCAATAGGTGCAGCAAACCACCATGGCACATGTATAACTATGTAGCAAACCTGCACATTCTGCACATGTATCCTAGTTTTTTTTTTTTTAGAAATAAAAATGAAGACAATTATGCAGCCAACAAACATATGAAAAAAATCTCATAATTGGAGTCACTTCCAAGATGGCCAAATAGGGACTGGTCTGGTCTACAGCTCCCAGCAAGATCAATGCAGAAAATGGGTGAATTCTGCATTTCCAACTGAGATACGTGGTTCATGTCATTGGGACTGGTTTGACAGTGGGTGCAGCCCACAGAGGGTGAGCTGAAGCAGGGCAAGACGTCACCCCACCAGGGAAGTGCAAGTGGTCAGGGGATTTCCCATTCCAAGCCAAGTGAAGCCTTGAGTGACTGTACCTGGAGATACAGTACACTTCTGTCCAAATACTGTGCTTTCCCATGGTCTTTGCAACTGGTAGACCAGGAGATACCCTGCTGTGCCTGGCTCGGGAGGTCTCACACTCACAAAGCCTTGCTCACTCCTAGCATGGCAGTCCGAGATTGACCTGGGATGCTGGAGCTTGGTGTGAGGAGGGACATCAGCCATTGCTGAGGCTTGAGTAGGTAGTTGTATGCTCACAATGCAAACAAAGTGGCAGGGATGCTCTAACTGGGTGGAGCCCACTACAGCTCAGCAAGGCCTACTACCTCTCTAGATTTCACCTCTGGGGGCAGAGCATATCTGAACAAAAGGCAGTAAACAGCTTCTGCAGACATAATCGTTCCTGCCTGACAGCTCTGAAGAGAGCAGTGGTTCTCCTAGCACAGCATTCGAGCTCTGATAATGGACAGAATGCCTCCTCAAGTGGGTCCCTGACCCCAGTGTAGCCTGACTGGGAGACACCTCCCAGTAGGGGCTGAGAGACACCTCATAGAGGCAGGTGTCCCTCTGGTACAAAGCTACCAGAGGAAGGATTAGGCAGCAATATTTGCTGTTCTGCAGCCTCTCCTGGTGATACTCAGGCAAATAGGGTCTGGAGTGGACCTCCAGCAAACTCCAACAGACTTGCAGCAGAGAGGCCTATCTGTTAGAAGGAAAACTAACAAACAGAAAGGAATAACATCAACATCAACAACAACAACAGAAAAACATCCACACCAAAACCCCATTCGTGAGTCACCAACATCAAAGACCAAAGGTAGATAAAACCACAAAGATGGACAGAAACCATAGCAGAAAGGCTGAAAATTCCAAAAACCAGAATGACTCTTCTTCTTCAAAAGAAAACAACTCCTCACCAGCAAGGGAACAAAACTGGATGGAGAATGAGTTTGACAAGTTGACAAAAGTAGGCTTCAGAAAGTCAATAACAACAAACTTCTCCGAGTTAAAGGAGCATTTTCTAACGCATTGCAAGGAAGCTAAAAACCTTGAAGAAAGATTAGACAAATGGCTAACTAGAATAACAAGTGTAGAGAAGACCTTAAATGACCTGATGGAGCTGAAACACACACTACGAGAACTTCGTGAAGCATACACAAGTTTCAATAACCAATGTGATCAAGCAGAAGAAAGGATATCTGCGATTGAAGATCAAATTAATGAAATAAAGTGAGAAGACAAGATTACAGAAAAAAGAGTAAAAAGAAATGAACAAACCCTCCAAGAAATATGAGACTATGTTAAAAGACCAAATCTAAGTTTGATTGGTGTACCTGAAAGTGACGGGGAGAATGGAACTAACTTGGAAAACACTGTTCAGGATATTATCCAGGAGAACGTCCCCAACCTAGCAAGACAGGCCAACATTCAAATTCAAGAAATACAGAAAACGCCACAAAGATACTCCTTGAGAAGAGCACCCAAGACACATAATTGTCAGATATACGAAGGTCAAAATGAAGGAAAAAATATAAAGGGCAGCCACAGGGAAATGTCGGGACACCCACAAAGGGAACCCCATAAGACTAACAGCAGATCTCTCTGCAGAAACTCTACAAGCCAGAAGAGAATGGGGGCCAGTATTCAACATCCTTTAAAAAAAAAGAATTTTCAACCCAGAATTTCATATCCAGCCACACTAAGCTTCATAAATGAAGGAGAAATAAAATCCTTTGCAGACAAGCAAATGCTGAGAGATTTTGTCACCACCAGACCTGCCTTACAAGAGCTCCTGAAGGAAGCACTAAACATGGAAAGGAACAACCGGTATCAGCCACTGCAAAAACATGCCAAATTGTAAAGACCATTGATGCTATGAAGAAACTGCATCAATTAACAGGTGAAATAACCAGCTAGCAACATAACGACAGACTCAAATTCACACATAACAATATTAACCTTAAATGTAAGTGGGCTAAATGCCCCAGTTAAAAGACACAGACTGGCAAATTGGATAAAGAGTCAAGACCCATTGGTGTGCTGTATTCAAGAGACCCACCTCACATGCAAAGACACATATAGGCTCAAAATAAAGGGATGAAGGAAGATCTACGAAGCAAATAGAAAGCAAAAAAAAAAAAAAAAAAAAGCAGGGGTTGTAATCCAATCCTGGTCTCTGATAAAACAGACTTGAAACCAACAAAGATCAAAAGAGACAAAGAAAGCCACTACATAATGGTAAAGGGATCAATTCAACAAGAAAAGCTAACTATCCTAAACATATGCACCCAATACAGGAGCACCCAGACACATAAAGCAAGTTTTTATATACCTACAAAGAGACTTAGACTCCCACACTATAATAATGGGAGACTTTAACACCCCACTGTCAATATTAGACAGATCAACAAGACAGAAAATTAACAAGGATACCCAGGACTTGAACTCAGCTCTGCACCAAGTTTACCTAATAGACATCTACAGAACTCTCCACCCCAAATCAATAAAATATACATTCTTCTTAGCACCACTTTGCTCATATTCTAAAATTGACCAAATAATTGGAAGTGAAACACTCCTCAGCAAATGTAAAAGAACAGAAATCACAACAAACTGTCTCTCAGACCACAGTGCAATCAAATTAGAACTCAGCATTAAGAAACTCACTCAAAACCACAGAACTACATGAAAACTGAAAAACCTGCTCCTGAATGAATACTGAGTAAATAACGAAATGAAGGCAGAAATAAAGATGTTCTTTGAAACCTATAAGAACAAAGGCACAACGTACCAGAATCTCTGGGACATATTTAAAGAAGTGTGTAGAGAGAAATTTATAGCACTTAGTGGCCACAATAAAAAGCAGAAAAGATCTAAAATTGAAACCATTACATCACAATTAAAAGAACCAGAGAAGCAAGAGCAAAGAAATTCAAAAGCTAGCAGAAGACAATAAATAACTAACATCAGAGCAGAACTGAAGGAGATAGAGACAAAAACTCTTAAAAAAATTCATGAATCCAGGAGCTGTTTTTTTGAAAAGATCAACAAAATAGATAGACTGCTAGCCAGACTAGTGAAGAAGAAAAGAGAGAAGAATCAAACAGACACAATAGAAAATGATAAAAGGGATATCACCACTGATCCCATAGAAATACAAGCTACCATCAGAGAATAGTATAAACACATCTATGCATATAAACTAGAAAATCTAGAAGAAATGGATAAATTCCTGGACACATACACCCTCCCAAGACTAAACCAGGAAGAAGTTGAATCTTTGAATAGACCAATAACAGGTTCTGAAATTGAGGAAATAATTAATAGCCTACCAAGCAAAAAAATCCAGGACCAGATGGATACACAGCCGAATTGCACCAGAGGTACAAAGAGCGGCTGGTACCATTCCTTCTGAAACTATTCCAATCAATAGAAAAAGAGGTAATTCTCTCTAACACATTTTCTGAGGGCAGCATCATCCTGATACCATATTCTGGCAGAGACACAATAAAAAAAGAGAATTGTAGGCCAATATCCCTGATGAAAATCAATGGGAAAATCCTCAATAAAATACTGGCAAACCGAATACAGCAGCACATCAAAAAGCTTATCCACCATGATCAAGTTGGCTTCATCCTGGGGATGCAAGGCTGGTTCAACACACCCAAATCAATAAATGTAATCCATCACATAAGCGGAACCAATGACAACAACCATATAATTATCTCAACAGATGCAGAAAAGGCCTTTGACAAAATTCAACAGCCTTTTATGCTAAACACTCTCAAAAAACTAGGTATTGATGGAACATATCTCAAAATAATAAGAGCTATTTATGACAAACCCACAGCCAATATCATACTGAATGGGCAAAAACTGGAAGCATTTCCTTTGAAAACTGGCACAAGACAAGGATGCCCTCTCTCACCACCCCTATTCAACATAGTATTGGAAGTTCAGCCAAGGCAATCAGACAAGATAAATAAATAAAGGGTATTCAATTAAGAAAAGAGAAAGTAAAATTGCCTATCTTTGCAGATGACATGATTGTATACTTAAAAAATCCCATCAGCTCATCCCCAAATCTCCTTAAGCTGATAAGTAACTTCAGCAAAGTCTCAGGATACAAAATCAATGTGCAAAAATCATGCATTTCTATACACCAAGAACAGACAAACAGCCAAATCATGGGTGAACTCCCATTCACAATTACTACAAAGAAAATAAAACACCTAGGAATCCAACTACAAGGGATGTGAAGGACCCCTTCAAGGAGAACTACAAACCACTTGTCAACAAAATAAAAGAGGACACAAAAAAATGGAAGAATATTCCATGCTCATGGATAGGAAGAATTAATATCCTGAAAATGGCCATACTGCCCAAGTTAATTTATAGATTCAATGCCATCCCCATCAAGCTACCAATGACTTTCTTCACAGAATTGGAAAAAACTAAAGTTCATATGGAACCAAAAAGGAGCTCACATAGCCAAGGCAATCCTAAGCAAAAAGAACAAAGCTGGAAGCATCACACGACCTGACTTCAAACTATACTACAAGACTACAGTAACCTAAACAGCATGGTACTGGTAACAAGACAGATATATACACCAATGGAACAGAACAGAGGCCTCAGAAATAACACCACACATCTACAACCATCTGTTCTTTGACAAACTTGACAAAAATGAGAAATGGGGAAAGGATTCCCTATTTAATAAATGGTGCTGGGAAAAGTGGCTAGCCAGAAGTAGAAAGCTGAAATTGGATCCCTTTTTTACACCTTATGTAAAAATTAACTCAAGATGGATTAAAGACTTAAATGTAAGTCCTAAAACCATAAAAACCCTAGAAGAAAACCTAGGCAATACCATTCAGGACATAGGCATGGGCAAAGACTTCATGACTAAAACACCAAAACCAATGGCAACAAAAGCCAAAATTGACAAATGGGATCTAATTAAACTAAGGAGCTTCTGCACAGAAAAAGAAGCTATCATCAGAGTGAACACACAACCTACAAATTGGGAGAAAATTTTTGCAATCTATCCATCTGACAAAGGGCTAATATCCAGAATCTACAAAGAACTTAAACAAATTTACAAATAAATAAATAAATAAATAAACAACCCCATCAAAAAGTGGGCAAAGGATATAAACAGACACTACCCAAAAGAAGACATTTATGCAGCCAACAGACACATGAAAAAATGCTCATCATCACTGGCCATCAGAAAAATGCAAATGAAAACCACAATGTAATACCATCTCACACCAGTTAGAATGGCGATCATTAAAATGTCAGGAAACAACAGATGCTGGAAAGGATGTGGAGAAATAGGAACGCTTTTACACTGTTGGTGGGAGTGTAAATTAGTTCAACCATTGTGGAAGGCAGTGTGGTGATCCCTTAAGGATCTACAACTAGAACTACAATTTGACCCAACAATCCCATTACTGCGTATATACCCAAAGATTATAAATCATGCTACTATAAAGATACATGCACACGTATGTTTATTTCAGCACTATTCACAATAGCAAAGACTTGGAACCAACTCAAATGCCCATCAATGAAATACTGGATAAAGAGAATTTGGCACATATACACCATGGAATACTATGCAGCCATAAAAAGAATGAGTTTATGTCCTTTTCAGGGACGTGGGTAAAGCTGGAAACCATCATTCTCAGCAACCTAACAGAGAAACAGAAAACCAAACACCGCATGTTCTCACTCATAAGTGGGAGTTGAACAATGAGAACACGTGGACACAGGGAGAGGAACATCACACACTGGGGCCTGTTAGGGGTTGGGGGTCTGGGGGAGGGATAGCAATAGGATAAATACCTAATGTAAATGATGAGTTGATGGGTGCAGCAAACCAACATGGAACATGTATACCTATGTAACAAACCTGCTCATTGTGTACATGTACCCTAGAACTTAAAGTATAATAAAAAAAAGAACAAAAAATCTCATCATCACTGATCATTAGAGAAATGCAAATCAAAACCACAATGAGATACCATCTCACGCTGTCAGAATGGCGATTATTAAAATGTCAGGAAACAATAGATGCTGGTGAGACTGTGGAGAAATAGGAATGCTTTTACAATGTTGGTGGGAATGTAAATTGGTTCAAACACTGTGGATGACAGTGCGACAATTCCTCAAGGATCTAGAACCAGAAATACCATTTGACCCAGCAATCCCACTACTGGGCATATACCCAAAGGAATATAAATCATTCTACTATAAAGACAAAAATAGAATTCAAGACAACAGGGTGACCATAGTCTATAATAGCTTAAATATTTCTGCCCAAGATGGCTGACGAGAGGCAACCAGGGGTAACATCTCCTATGACATTGGGAAGACTGTATAATTCCTAGCAGATCTTCAGAGGGAAGGCATTGAGAGCAGAGGGATGAAAGAAAGAGTGTCTGAGATGAAGCGGGAGGAAGATGGAAGGCCTACTGGGACTTACACAACACTTGGAATCATTCTTGGCTCCCAATGACTCCTGTGCAAGGGGTTACCTTAACATGCAAGGAGCAACTTGCTCTTGCCAGGGGCCTCTGGAACCTCATCAGGAGGAGACCCCTCGACTACAACAGACACTTAAGTTGTCAGAGAAAGCTGCTTAGAGAAGTGGTAGGTGCAGAACTCCAGCCAGTGTGGAGCCCATAAGGGTTTGGTGCAGGAATATCTTAGTGGGGCACGGTCAGAGACACCCATCCCCCTAGACTCAACTTGCTCCCATAGGAGGCTTTAGCCCTTGGGGGACTATAGGGCCTGAAGTCTGCAGGGCGGTTTTGATCATGAGAAAGGATCACTGTGACATGAGTGACCCTCGGTCTACTGGCTGCTCCTGGGGCCCCAGCATGGCTGTGTCTGCTTGCAGTGTAGCCCCTAGGTGCCTCCTGGGGGCTCACATTATACCTCCTGCACTTGCAGACCATGCCTGACTGGCAGAGTGCTCCAGCATAGTGGCCCCAGCCGACATGCACCAGCTAGTCTGCGTCCTCCCCCATTGCAAACTCCCCTGTATCCCTTTGCCTGCAGTCACTCACCCATGGCCACCCCTCCACACCGCTTTGCTGGTGCGTGTGTGCATAGGGGCACGAAGCCCTCCTTTCTCTGCTAGCACGCGTGTGCGCATGCACTCTGCCGTGCCATTGCTATGGGCATGAGCGCACCTCCGCCAACTCCCCTCATCACACCACCATTGTCGTTTGAGCAGTGGCAGGTATGGAGCCGCCAGATCTGCCCGCGCCAGCATTCTGCTAACACTGCCTCCAGCAGGAAACTAGGCTTGGAAATCAGGGGACCTGCCCCTAGGCGGGAGCAGTGACCACCACCAGCGTGAGGGTGCACAGAGGGCTCACCGAATCCTGCACCCAACAGAACCCGGTCCACATGCTAACACCACCACTGGCATTAACGCGTGCACAGTCACCAGGGGAAGCCTCCCAGCCCCCAAGCTGTACTGCCTTGGCCACTGTTTCCAGTGCTCACACAGAGGTTCGCACCCTAGCACCTGCTAATATCCTGCTGCAGCCAAGGAGCGTACACCCAGCAATGCTGCATCTGCTGCTGCTGCCGGCATGTGCGAGCGAGGACAATTCCTGCTGCCACTGCCCACGAAGTGCTTTGGCTGGCACCACTCATCAGTGTTGTGACCAGTGGTCCTGGAGCACCTTGGCCCCTCCAGCACAGCATGTTTCTAACCTCGATAAGACAGATCAAAGCCAGGACCAGATACCAGTCCCCCAGAGTTAGAACACACAGTCCAGTAGTCCTGAGCTGAGCCTTGGTCTCCTAAAATCTTTCAGGAAAAAAGCCAGTAAACCGAATCCACTTACACCACAATCAAAACACCAAGGACATCAAATAAGATAAAATTTTAAAAAATATATTTTTTTCTTATTTTAATAGGTTTTGGGGTACAGGTGGTTTTTGGTTACATGGATAAGTTCTTCTGTGGTGATTTCTTAAATTTTAGTGCACCAGTCACTCAAGCAGTGTACACTGTACCCAATATGTAGTCTTTCGTCTCTCACTCCTCTCCCGACCTTCACCACCCTCTGAGTACATTATATCATTGTTAGCCTTTGCATTCTTATAGCTTAGCTCCCACTTCTAAGTGAGAACATGCAATATTTGGTTTTCCATTCCCGAGTTACTTCACCTCAGTGGACACAGCCAGGCCCCAGGAGAAGCCAGTAGACCGAGGGGTGCTCATGTCAAACCGACCCTGCAGAGTTCAGGCCCTATAGTTCTCCTAGGTCTAAAGTCTTCTATGGGAGTAAGTTGAGCCTAGGGGGATGGCCATCCCTGGTTGTGCTCCACTACAGAATAATAGCCTCCAGCAGCACCCAAGTTGCTGCAAAAAACATTATTTTGTTCCTTTTTCTGAGTGAGTCTAGGGGGATGGGCGTCCCTGGCCATGCTCCACTAAGAATAATGGCCTCCAGCAGCACCCAACTTGTGGCAAAAGACATTATTGTATTCCTTTTCCCGACTGAGTAGTATTCCATGGTGTATATATACCACATTTATTTTTATCTACTTGTTGGTTGATGGGCATTTGGTTGGTTCCATATCTATGCTCTTGTAAATTTTTCTGCTCTAAACATGTGTTTTTTTTTTTCTTCATATAATGACTTCTTTTTCTTCAGGAAGATATCCAGTAGTGGGATTGCTGGACCGAATAGGTCTACTTTTAGTTCTTTAAGGAATCTCCATACTGTTTTCCATAGTAATGGTAATTACTATGTAGTAATTTAAATTTCTACCAGCAGTATATATGTGTTCCCTTTTCCGCACATCCATGCCAACATCTATTGTTTGTTGACTTTAATTACAGTCATTCTTAAGGAGTAAAATGGTATCTCCTTGTGATTTTAATTTGCATTTTCCTGATGATTAGTGTTGTGAAGTATTTTTTTTTTTTGTATGTTTGTTGGCTGTTTGTATATCTTCTTTGGGGAAATGCCTGTTCATTTCTTTGGTCCACTTTTTGGTAAGACTGGTTTGTTGTTTGCTGATTTTTTTGAGTTTCTTGTAGATTCTGGATACTAATCTTTTGTTGGATGCATAGGTTGAGAATATTTTCTCATATCTTGTGGGTTGTCTCTTTACTCTGCTGATAATTTCTTTTACTATGCAGAAGATTTTTAGTTTAGTTAGGTAACATTTATTTATTTTTGTTTTTGTTACATTTGTTTTAGGGGCCTTAGTCATGAATTCTATGCTTAAGCTAATGTCTAGAAGAGTTTTTCTAATGTTGTGTTCTAGAATTTTTATGATTTTAGGTTTTAGGTTTAAGTCTTTGATCCATCGTGAGACGATTTTTGTATAAAGTGAGAGATGGTGTATTAGTCAGGGTTCTCTAGAGGGACAGAACAAATAGGATAGATGTATATATAAAGGGAAGTTTATTAAGGAGTATTGACTCACTCAATCACAGGGTGAGGTTCCACAATGGGCCTTCTACAAGCTGAGGAGCAAGGAAGCCAGCCCATGTCCCAAAGCAGAAATATTGGAGTGTGATATTCCAGGGCAGAAAGCATCCAGCACGGGAGAAAGATGTAGGCCAGAGGACTAAACCAGTCTAGTCTTTCCACATTCTTCTGCCTGCTTTTATTCTGGCTATGCTGGCAGCTGATTAGACTCTGCCCACCCAGATTGAGGGTGGGCCTTCCTTTCCCAATCCACTGACTCAAATGTTAATCTCCTTTGGCAACACCCTCAGAGACACACCCAAGCACTATACTTTGCATCCTTCAATCTAATCAAGTAGACACTCAATATTAACCATCACAAGTCCATCCCTTGTCAACTCGAACCCATACACATCTCCTGAAATCAGACATAATCTTCTAATAAAGAAAATAATAAGGTTGTAATTATGGCTAACATACTACAGCTATTTTTGTACAACTGGAAATGCACCAGTCCCCAACCCAAATGCTATTACATAAAGTTAATAACACTCAATTGCTGATATGAAGTCAATAAATCTCATGTCACGTGATAAAGAAAAAAGAAAGCAAATAAAATGATATTTTCTTAGTACAAGTGCATACATGCACAAATATGTTCTTAACAAAAAGAGGAGGAAATACTCATGACAATTAGTTCTCGTTTCTGCAACTGGTCACGTGATTGTAGCTGGTATTGATGACTGCCTTCTTCTACTACACATTCTGTATTACCTTTGCCTTCAGCAAGCACCTCAGCAGGTCGGTTTTTTTTTTGTTTTGTTTGTTTGTTTTTTGTAGTGTAGTGAACTAAACCTTCATTCCTGAAGGGTCTGGACCATTTGTAGTATTGCCTGGACTGGCCTGTTGTAGTTTCCCATAGACCTTGATCACAGGGCATAGTAATACTAAGAAATGCCCTAAGAGATCTCCTCTATAATATGCATACTCTCCCTTGCCTCTGTTGTGGAGTAGTAGACTAATTTCATCTTGATAGTCCAGGTAAATCACCCCAGGTGACACTGTAACCCCCTTCTTAGTCTCTGTCTCTTGACTTAGAGGTAAGAGGGGCCCAAAGTGGCCAGGTGGCAGTCTTAGCTTCCAGCTTAATGGAATTGTTGTTGTGTCTCCTGGTGGCAGTGTTCCTCCCTCTGTAACTAAGACATCTAGGCCAGCAGGACATAATGTTGTGGGAACAGGAAGCAAAACTTTTCTAGTGGGTCACTAGGGGTAATGGTGAGTGGTGTGACATCCACTTCCACTCCTCGATTCCTGGATCCATGAATTCTAGCTACGAGAGGAAGAGTACCATATATTGGATGCTGATCCAGAGCATACACAGCCTTCTGGAAAGCTTTGCCCTAGCTCTGCAAAGTATTGTCCACCTAGTTGGCATTGTAATTGTGACTTCAAAAGGCCATTGTACCATTCTATCAATCCAGCTGCTTCAGGATGATGGGGAATATAATAAGACCAGTGAATTCCATGAGCATGAGCCCAGTGCTGCCCCTCTTTAGCCATAAAGTAAGTGCCTTAGTAAGAGTCAATGCTATGTGGAATTCCATGACGGTGGATGAGGCATTCCGTGAGTCCACAGATGGTAGTCTTGGGAGAAGTATTGTGTGCAGGAGAGGCAAACCTGTATCTGGAGTAAGTATCTATTCCAGTGAGGACAAACTGCTGCCCTTTTCATAATGGAAGAAGTCCAGTATGATCAACCTGCCACCAAGTAGCTGGCTGATCACCCTGAGGAATGGTGCCATATCGAGGGCTCAGTGTTGGTCTCTGCTGCTGGCAAATTGGGCACACAGCAGTGGCAGTAACCAGGTCAGCCTTGGTGAGTGGAAGTTCATGTTGCTGAGCCCTTGCATAATCTCCATCCCTACCATCATGGTCTCTTTGTTCATGGGGCCATTGAGTGATGACAGGGGTGGCTGGGGAAAGAGGCTGAGTTGTGTCCACAGAATGAGTCATCTTATCCACTTGATTATTAAAATACTCCTCTGCTGAAGTCACCCTTTGGTGAGCACTCACATGAGATACAAATATCTTCACAGTTTTTGACCACTCAGAGAGATCCATCGACATACCTCTTCCCTAAATTTCTGTGTCACCAATTTTCTCATTATTCTTCTTCCAAGTCCCTGACCATCTAGCCAAACCACTGGCTAGAGCCTATGAATCAGTATATAATCGCACATCTGGACATTTCTCCTTCCAAGCAAAGTGCACAACAAGTTGCACTGCTCGAAGTTATGCCCACTGGGAAGATTTCTTTCACCATTGTCTTTCAGGGATGTCCTAGAAAGGGGCTGTAGTGCTGCAGCTGTCCACTTTTGGGTGGTGCCTGCATATCATACAGAGCCATTTGAAAACCAGGCCCTTGCCTTCTCTTCCTCTATCAACATATCACAGGGAACTCCCCGTGAGGCTTTCAGTGTAGGCTGGTGGAGAGAAGGCAGGGTACCAGGAGTG
The DNA here is from genome assembly GCF_000001405.40 of Homo sapiens. Classification (NCBI taxonomy): domain Eukaryota; kingdom Metazoa; phylum Chordata; class Mammalia; order Primates; family Hominidae; genus Homo; species Homo sapiens. The sequence goes on along the minus strand of NC_000023.11, from coordinate 76,515,828 downwards.
GAAACCATGGGCATTTGAGCCACTTCCTCATGTAAGTTTCTTGTGCCTTCAGGACCTGCTTGAGCCCGATCACATATAGACCACTTCCACTTGATAATGGAATGCGGCTGTGCATGCCCACGTTATGGCTAGATGGGTCAGAAAGAACCCAGTTCATATAGGCAGTTCAGGTCACACGATGACTTAATCACACATAGTCAAACGTTCAGTTTTTACTAAAGCCCAGTAACATGCCAAGAGCTGTTTCTGAAAAGGAGAGTAGTTATCTGCAGAAGATGGCAGGGCCTTGCATCAAAATCCTAAAGGCCTCCACTGTGATTCACCAATGGGCCTGCCAAAGGCTCCAAACAGCATTTTCATCTGCCACTGACACCTCAAGCACCATTGAATCTGCCGGCTCATATGGCCCAAGTGGCAGAGCAGCTTGCACAGCAGCCTGGATCTACTGCAGAGCCTTCTCCTGTTCTGAACCCCATTCAAAACTGGCAGCCTTTTGGGTCACTCAATAAATGGACCAAAGTAACACACTCAGATGAGAAATGTGTTGCCTCCAAAATCCAAATAGCCTGACTAGACATTGTGTCTCTTTCTTGGCTGTAGGAGAGGCCAAGTGCATCAACTTATTCTTCACCTTAGAAAGAATATCTCAACAGTCCCCACACCACTGAACCCCTAGAAATTATACTGAGGTAGAAGGTCCCTGAACTTTAGTTGCATTTATTTACCATCCTCTGGCATGCAAATGTTTCACTAATAAGTCCAATGTGTTTGCTACTTCTTGCTCACTGGATCCAATCAGCATAGTGTCACCAATGTAATGGACCATTGTGATGTCTTGTGAAAGGAAAAAGTGATCAAGGTTTCTCCAAATAAGATTATGACACAAAGCTGGAGAGTTGATATATCCCTGAGATAGGACAATGAAGGTATATTGCTAGTCTTGCCAGCTGAAGGCAAATTGCTTCTGGTAGGCTTTATGGATAGAAATGGAGAAAAATGCATTTGCCAAATTAATAGCTGCTTACCAGGTTCCAGGAAATGTGTTAATTTGCTCAAGCAATGAAACCATTTTTGGTACAGCAGCTGCAATTTGAGTCACCATTTGGTTAAGCTTATGATAATCCACTTTCATTCTCCAAGATCCATCTGTCTTCTGCACAGGCCAAATAGAAGATTTGAATAGGAATGTGGTGGGAATCACCACCTCTGAGTCTTCCAAGTCTTTTATGGTGGCACTAATCTCTGAAATCCCTCTAGGGATGCAATATTGTTTTTTATTTACTATTTTTTTTCTAGGTAGAGGCAGCTCTAATTGCTTCCATTTGGCCTTTCCCACCATGATATCCCTAATCCTACCAGTCAGGAAGCCAAAGTGGGGGCTCCACCAGCTGCTAAATATGTCTATGCCAATTATGCATTCTGGCACTGGGGAAATGACCACAGGATGAGTCTGGAAACCCACTGGACCCACTGTAAGTGGGATTTGAGCTGAAACATCATTAATTACCTGACTTCCTTAAGCCCCTACTTTAACTGGAGGACCACAGTGACATTTTGGGTCCCCTGGCATTGATGTCAGCTGAGAGTCAGTGTTTAGTAGTCCCTGACGGTTCTGATAATTTTCTTTTCCCCAATGCAGTTACCCTGGTAAAAGGCTGACGGTCTCCTTGGGGAAGGATGGTAGAAAGATTAATAGCATTACATTGTTGGTAGTGTAGTGGGATTCTTCCTCAAACGGACCCAGCCTCCCCTTCATTCAAGGGGTTCAAACTGGCTCAAGTCTGGAAATTGATTGAGGGACCGTGATTTTGTGTTTACAATTCAAATTAGGTTTTTGTCCACTCGACCTGGAAGTTTTCTGGTTATATAAATTAAGAATGCAGTAGGCTTCCTATCAATTTCACTTCTAGGGACTTCGTGGTTAATTAGTCAATGTCAGAGCTCTACATGAGTCAGACTATTCTGATTGCTGCTTTGTATCTGCTGTCTGTTATGGTAACTTAACCCACATTGCCTTTGATGAGTGAGTGCTGCCACTTTGCCACTGCCACCTTGGGATCCAATTATTCCCATTGCATTTAAATTTCATAATTGAGTGGCTGCAGTTCCTACTGTAATATCTGATATACAGAGAAGAGCAATAACAGAGCTCTTCAAGGTTGCAGGTGCTGTCCTCACAAACTTATTTTGCAAAGTATTCATCAAGGGTATATCTTCTGAACCCTCACAGCTGGGATGAGTAGGTCTAAAGTGACTAATCCACTCCAGCATCCAATCTCCCTATGCTTTTGGATCCCTTCCTCTACATTAAAATAAAGGAGATCAGGCATTTCCAGATTGCTCACAGTGGGCCATATTTTAATCCATATTTCTGCTAACCAAGCATATAAACTATTAGAATCTTTTGTAACTCCCTGAGCTGCAAGATTAAATGCAGAATCCTTGCTTAGTAGGCTCAAATCAGTAAATTCAGACTGATCCAACTCTGTGTTCCTTCCACCATTATCCCATACCCTTAACATCCATTTCCATGCCTGTTATCCAGATTTTTGCTTATATAAATTAGAAAACTCAAGCAGTTCTCCTGGAGTATGGCACACCTCCTCATGGGTCACACTCTGAACCTCCCCTCTAGGTGCCTGCAGGGACTTGAGTCTAGTAATAGGTCTAGGAGCAAACAGGAGGGTTGGGAGTGGCTCCTGAGAAGAATCAACATTGTCTTGCCTGGCAACGGACTTAGGGGAGGCCATCACTCTTGCCTCAAACAGCACAGAATTTATCTCTTCAGACAAAGGAATAAAGGCTGATGGCAACGTGTCTTGGGGAGAGGATGTTTCCACTACAGAGTATGGAAAAGCTGTTTCTTCTGGCAAAAAAGGCTCATCAAAGTTCACAAGCTCAGTGTCCCCAGCTTTATTAAGGTCCTCCCACACATCCCCATTCAAAGTTGGAGGGTCCCATTCTTTTTCCAATCAATGACCTCATTTTTACAATGGACACCTGGTGAAGCTGTGTGTGTACTTTTGTTGTAGGTCAGCCACTCACATGATAAGAACTTGTGTCTGATTTTCCACAATTTCAGCTATTTCTCTACAGGTGATAAGACTCTCACTCAGGGCAATCTTAGAAGATTAGAGGCTCAGTATCTGCTTCTAAAGCCAGGAGTTAGAATTTCTGAATTCATTATTTTCTCTCATCACTTTGTCCAGAGAACTTAGGAGCAACCAACCAACTTCATTATATTCCTTGGATCTCCACATATGGTCAAAGGTATTATGTATAGAGTCACTAAACTCCTTGCCTCTCAAGAGCAGTTTATCAAGATTAGCAAATGGATTTATTTTGCACAACTGTCTAAATAGTTCATACCATGGATTATCAGTTTTCTCCATACTATTAGAAGTAGAGCCCTTAGCATTTTGGGGTCTAATCATATTAAGTAGCCAAATCCAGAAACCCCAAAACTGACTAAATAACTCCATCCTTAATATTTTGTTTCTCTAGAACCACTCCTGGTATGAAAATCTGTATTAGTCAGGGTTTTCTAGAGGAACATAACTAATAGGATAGATGTATATATAAAGGGGAGATTGGTAAGAAGTATTAATTCACAAAATGACAAGGTAAGGTCCCACAATAGGCTGTCGGCAAGTTGAAGAGCAATGAAGCCAGTCCAAGCCCCAAAGCTAACTTGGAATGTGATGTTCAAGGGCAGGAAGCATCCAGCACGGGAGAAAAATGCAGTCCAGAAGACTAAACCAGTCTCATCTTTCCACATTCTTCTGCCTGCTTTTATGCTGGCTGCGTTGGCAGATGATTAGATTGTGCCCACCCAGATTGAGGGTGGGTATGCCTTTTTTAGTCCACTAACTCAAACGTTAATCTACTTTCACAACACCCTCATGGACATGCCCAAGAATAATACTTCGCATCCTTCAATCCAATGAAGTTGACACTCAATATTAACCATCACAGATGAGAATCCAGTTTTATTCTACTACATGTGGCTTACCAGTATTCCCAGCACCATTTATTGAATGGCGTGTTCTTTCCTCAATTTATATTTTTGTATGCTGTGTCAAAGATCAGTTGACTGTAAGTATTTGGCTTTATTTCTGGATTCTCTATTCTGCTTAATTAGCCTAAGTGACTATTTTTATACCGGTATCATGCTGTTTTGGTAACCATAGCCATCTAGTATAATTTCAAGTAAGGTAATGGGATACCTCCAGATTTTTCTGTTTACTTAGTCTTAGTTTAGCTATATGGGTTCCTTTTTTGGATACATATGAATTTTAAGATTTTTTTTCTAGTTCTGTGAAGAATGATGATAGTATTCTGATAAGAATTGCATTGACTCTGTAGGTTGCTTTGGGCAATATGGTTATTTTCACAATATTGATTCTTTCCATCCATGAGCATGGAATGTGTTTCCATTTGCTTTTGTCATCTATAAAATTTTTTTAGCAGTGTTTTGTAGTTTTCCTTGCAGAGATCTGTCACCTCCTTGGTTAAGTTATATCCCTAGGTATTTTTTGTAGCTGTTGTAAATAGATTGAGTTCTTGATTTGATTTTCGGCTTAGTCTTTGTTGGTGTATAGCAGTGCTACTGATTTGTGTACACTGATTTTGTAACCTGAGACTCTACTGAATTTGTTAATCAAATCTAATTGTCCGTTGGTGGAGTCTTTAGGATTTTCTAGGTATACAATCATTTCAACTGTGAACAGTGATAGTTTGATTTTCTATTTTCTAATTTTGATTCCCTTCATTTCTTTCTCTTGTCTGATTGCTCTGAAAAGGATTTCCAGTACTATGTTTAATAAAAATGGTGAAAGTTATCATTCTTGTCTTGTTCCATTTCTCAGGAAGAATAATTTCCACTTTTCCCCATTTAGTATAATGTTGGCTGTGGGTTTGTAATATATGGCTTTTGTTACTTTCAGGTAAGTCTCTTCTATGCTTATTTTGTTGGGGTTTTAATCATAAAGTGATGATGAATTTTATCATATGATTTTTCCATATCTATTTAGATGATCACATGATTTTTGTTTTTAATTCTGTTTTTGTGATGTATCATATATACTGACCTGTATGTTAAAGCATCCCTGCATCCCTAGGATGGAACTCACTTGTTTATGATGTATTCCCTTTTTGATATACTCTTGGATTTTGTTAGCTAGTATTTTATTGAGAATTTTTGCATTTATGTTCATCAGGAATATTGGTCTGTAGCTTTCTTTTGTGTTATGCAAAAGACAGAAACTTCAAAGGCTGAAGGAACATCAGCCCCAAAAGATGAGAAGAACCAGTATAAGAAATGTCAATTCAAAAAGCCAAAGTGTCTTATTTCTTCCAAATGACCACACTAATTTTCCAGAAAGAGTTCTTAACTGGGCTGAGACAGCTTAAATGACAGAAATAGAATTCAGAAAATGTATAGGAAAGATAATCAAGATTAAGGAGAAAATTGAAATAGAATCTACAGAAGCTAAGGATCACAATAAAATGGTAGAAGAGCTGAAAAAATAGCCAGTATAGAAAGAATGTAACTGATCAGACCGAGCTGAAAAATACTCCAAAAGAATTTTATAATACAATTGAGAGTACTTTTTCTTTTATTTCCATCTTTCATTTTAAGTTCAGGGGTACATTTGCAGGATGTGCAGGTTTGTTCCATAGATAAATGTGTCATGATGGTTTGCTGCACAGATTATCCCATCACCCAGGTGTTAGACCCAGAATCTATTTGGTATTAAGCCCAGCATCTTCCTGATGCTCTCCCTCCTCCTACACCTCAATCTCTGACAGGCCCCAATATGTGTTGTAGGCCCCATCATGTGTCCATGTGTCCTCATCATTCAGCTCCCACTTATAAGTGAGAACACACAGTACAAGCAGAAGTATTAATAGCAGAATAGGCCAAGCTGAGGATGTAATCTGAGATTGAAGACTGGCTTTCTGAAATAGGATAGTCAGAAAAGAATAACTAAAAAAGAATTAAAAGGAACAAATAAAATTTTTGAGAAATATGGGATTATGGAGAAAGACCCAATCTACTACTCCTTGGTATATCTGAAAGAAATGGAGATAATGGAATAAACTTGGAAACATAGTTCAGGATATCTTTTGTGTAAACTTTTCTAGTTTAGCCCACATAAAAATTCAGAAAATTCAGAAAATCCTTGCAAAATACCTCGCATAAAGCACTACATATGAAAAGAAAATATTGCTACTAAAAAAACACACTTAAGTGCACAGACCAGTAACACTATAAAGAAACCACACAAACAAGTCAGCATAATAAACAACTAATAACATGATGACAGAAACAAATTCACACATATCAACACTAGCCTTGAATGCCCAATTGAAAGACACAGAGTGACAAGCTGAGTAAAAAAGCAAGAACCAGTAGTACAGTGTTCAAGAGATGAATCTCACATCCAATGACACCCATAGGCTAAAAATAAGGGAATGAAGAAAAATTTATTAAGCAAATGGAAAACAGAAAAAAAGCAGAGGCTGAAATTCTAATTTTAGACAAAACAGATATTAAACCAACAAAAATTTTAAAAGACAAACAAGGGCATTACATAATGGTAAAAGTTTCAATTCAAAAAGAACACCTAACTATCCTAAATGTATATGCATCCAACACAGGAGCATGAAGATTCATAAAGCAAGTTCCTAGAGATCTTCAAAGAGACACAAACTTTCACACAATAATAATGGGAGACTTCAACACCCCACTGACTGTATGAGACTTATCACCAAGGCAGAAAATTGACAAAGACATTCAGAATCTGAACTTAACACTGGACCGAATGGATCTGATAGACATCTACAGGACTCTCTTCCCCAGAACAATAGAACATACATTTTCCTCATCTGCACATGGCACATACTCTAAAATCAACTACATGAATGGGCCTAAAACAATTCTCAGCAAATGCAAAAAAAAAAAAAAAAATTATACCACCCACTCTATTGGACCACAGCACAATAATAATAGAATTGAAGACTAAGAAAATTGCTAAAAACCATACAATTACATGAAAATTAAACCACTGGCTTCTGAACAAATTTTGGGTAAGTAATAGAATTAAGGCAGAACTCAAGAAGTTCTTTGAAACTAATGAAAACAAAGATACAATCTATCTATTTTTCTCCATGCAAGGACACCAATTTAGCAACTATCTACAGACAAAAAAAGACCTTTGTAAAAACCACAAATCAAGTAATTATGCTCAGTACTTGATTTTTACTTTATATCATTGAAAGAGGTACTAAAATGGTAGAAAAATAGTTTTGAATCGCGGACACCGCCTCTTTTTATTTCCTTGAAGAGGCAGAATGATGTGGAGAGTGCTTCTGTTTGCTGGAGAGTAGGGGGGAAACTAGCAATTGTGAGACATTGAACTCGGTGCTATTCTTGTCATAAAAGAAATCGAAACAAGACCAAACTCAGTTGATGTCTGCCACAGAGAGTGCATTTAAACTAGCCCTAGCCAGAGAAGAATCACCAATCCTAGTGGTCAGAATTTGTATTCCCACAAGCCTCACCAGCATGGGCTAACGTGCTCTGGGTCCTCAAACATACTTGAAAGGCAGTCTAGGCCACAAGGACTGTCACACCTGGGTGAGTCCTAGGGCTGAACTGGGCCAAGAGACAATGGACTGGGATGGCATGTGACCTGAGACATCAGTCAGGAAGGCGAAGGGAGAGCTGACATCACCACTCTCTTAACTCCAGGCTGCACAGCTCATGGCTCCCAAAAAGACCCCTTCCTTTCACGTGAGGAGAGAAGACAGAAAAGTGGGACATACTTTGTCTTGCATCTTGGATACCAGCTCAACCACAGTAAGACAGGGCACCAGTCAGAGTCATCAGACCCCTTTTCAACTGCTGAACATTTCCAGATACATTCTGAGCCAGAAGAGAACCTGCAGCCTTGAAGAAAAGGAGCCAGTCCTGGCAGCATTTATCACCTGCTAACTGAAAAGCCCTTGGATCCTGAATAGTCAACAGTGATACCCAGGTAATACATCAAGAGCCTTGAGTTAGCTTCTTAGACTTGCTAGCTTCAGGGAAGACTTAGCACATTCCCAGCTGTAGTGGCTATGGGGTGAGTCTACTACTGCTTGAGAAAAGCAGAGGGAAAAGTAAAGAGGACTTTGTCTTGCACCATAGGTACCAGCTTGGCCACAGATGGTAGAGAATCAAACAGGTTCTTAAGGTCTTCAATTCCTGAGCTTGAATCTTTGATGGCATTTCTGGACCTATCCTGGGAGAGAGGGGAGCCCACTCGCATGAAGGGTGAGTCCCAGGCCAGCCAGCATTTACTACAAGCTGACTGAAGAGTCCGTGGGAATTAAGAAAATGTCAGCATTAGGACACCAGGTAGACTTCTAAGGTTTTTGACTCTCATCACTGGCTCCCAGACAATACCTCTGGGCCTAACTGGGGCCTGGGGATACTGGCCACCCTGAAAGGAAGGACACATACCTTGCTGGTTTGTCTGCCTACTGATTGTAAAGCCCCAGGGTGTTGAGCGAACATACAAAGTAGCCAGAGAGTGGTTACAGCAGGCCTTGAGTGAGTTCCAATACAGTGCTGGCTTCAGGTCTGACCCAGTGCAGTTTAAGGGGTAGTGGCCACTGGGGTGCTTGTGTCAATCCATCCCAATTTCTACATGGCTCAGAGCAATGAGAGAAACTCTGTGATTTTGAGAGGAAATAAGAAAACAGAACAACATTTTTTGCCTGATAATTTAGAGAATTCTTCTGGATCTTGTCCAAGACCATAAAGACAGTACCTCTATAGGTCTGCAAGAATCACAGAACTACTGAGCTTGCACTCTCCCCTAAAGCATATACAGCCTAGATCAGCACACCTAAATCTTTCTGAATATTTGGAAAGCCTCCCCAAAGAGGACAAGTACAAATAAGCCCAGATTGTAAAGAGTACAATAAAAACCTAACTCTTCAATGCTCATACACAGAAAAACATCTACCAGTATTAAAATAAGCCAGGAAAAGGTGAAGGTTAAAATGGCAATAGGAGGAAGAACTAGCTTGCAGCTCCCACTCAAACAGACAGAGGAGTGTGTGGAGATGCATATTGTGAACTTTTTTTTCAAGAACTACCAAAGGAACATACTAGGAAAGCCGAGAAAAACCACAGACCCTTTGAAGAAATTGGATCACCATTTCAGACTCCCTGAGATGCTGAAAAACTGTGAATCTGCTTGCTTTCTCAAGGGGGATGCTCGTGGTTTGGGGCAAGGGATCAGCCCTGGTCACTGGCTGCCAGAAAATAGACTTGGTTCTGTTAGAAGGGGCACAGTGGAAGTGACACTGGCCTTTAGGACTATGAGCTCCATGGGGGAGGGATGAGGCCTGTGACTGTTGGCTTTCTTCCACTTTCTTGGCAGCCTGTCTGACGCAGCAGAGGCTCCCATAATCCCCCTGGGAAAATAACTCCATTGGACTGGGGAGAAAGAGGGTTCATCATGGCGGACGGGAGGCAGGACTAGATTGCAGCTCTGACTCAGATGGACAGAGCAGCATTCAGAGGCTCACATTAAGAACTCTAGCTCCAGATTGACTGCAAGACAAACCAGCAATCACAAGAGGACCCACAGACCCTATGAAGGAAGTGGACTGCTTCTACAGGATCTGGGAGACACCCCAAATACTGTGAGTGCCCCAACAGCAGTACTGGGAAAGGGAGATCCTCCTCTCCTGAAGACACTCCCACACTGGAGAAACTGAAAGTCTGTTTATAGGAGAAGTTTCTGACATTATCTGGAGCTAAATCAATTTAGAGATCAGAGAAAAGTACAGGAGTAGAAGGAGCAGCAGAAAGGTCCTGGGAGCTCGCTGGGTCCCCAAGCAGTAAATTCCTGCCTAGTACCAGAGGGATCCACTGGGAGACCGGACAGAGGAGCCAGGGGTGGGGGTGGGGGTGGGGGTTGGGGGCAACTCCATAGGGAGAAGAAAATCTCCAGCTCAACTTTGTAACAGTTTGAATGGGGAGAGAAGCCTCCTTGCTAGAACTCAGGGGAGTGTGTGGATCTGACGTGCAAACTCCACTGGTTGGGGAAGAACCAAGCCCTTTTCCTTTGCAGCTGGGAGGCAGGTAAGTGGGGCAAATTTTCAAGCCCAGGTTGCCCACTTCCTGGGATCAGACTCAGCGCTCTTGGGGGCGCATGGTAGGAGTGAGACTGGCTCTTTGGTATGTGTGGGAGCTGGGTGAGGCCTGTGACTGCTGGCTTTCCCCCACTACCCTGACAACCTGCATGACTCAGCAGAGGCAGCCATAATCCTCCTAGCTACAGAACTCCAGTGATCTGGGAATCTCAGCCCCATCTTCCACGGCAGCTACAGCAAGACCCACCAAAGGAGAGCCTGAGCACAGACATGCCTAGCCTTGGCCCCAACCAATGGTCCTTCCCTACCCACCTTGGTAGCATAAGACAAAGGGCACATAATCTTGGGAGTTCTAGGGCCCCACTCACTGTGGGATCCTTTTAATACTACCACAGCTGATGCTCTCTGAAGTGCCACCTCCTGGCAAGAGGCCAACCAGCACAAAAATAGAGCATTAAACCACCAAAGCTAAGAACTCTCATGGAGTCCATTGCACTCCACCACCACCTCCACTGGAACAAATGCTGCTATCCATGGCTGGGAAACCCATAGAAGGTTCACATCACAGAACTCTGTGCAGACAACCCCCAGTAAGAGCCCAGAGCTGGGTACACTTGCTGGCTGGCTAAACCCAGAAAAGAGAGAAAAATCACTCGAGTTCAACTCCCAGGAAGCCAAATCCATAGGGAAAGGGAGAGCATACTATAGGTAACACCCCATGGGACTCAAAGAATCTGAACAACAGTCTTGAGCCTTAGACCTTCCCTCTGACAGAGCTTACCCAAATGAGAAGAAACCAGAAAACCAACTCTGGTAATATGACAAACAAGGCCTTTAACTCCCCCCAAAAATCACACTAGTTCACCAGCAATGGATTCAAACCAAGAAGAAATCCCTGATGCCTGAAAAATAATTCAGGAGATTAGTCATTAAGCTAATCGGGGAGGCACCAGAGAAAGGTGAAGCCCAATAAAAGAAAATAAAAAAAAAAAGATAAAAGAAGTGAAGGGAGAAATATTCAAGGAAATAGATAGCTGAAAGAAAAAAAACCAAAACTTCAGGAAACATTGGACACACTTACAGAAATGCAAAATGCTCTAGAAATTCTCAGCAATAGAATTGAACAAGTAAAAGAAAAACAATTAGAGCTCGAAGACAAGGTCAAATTAACCCAATCCAACAGAGACAAAGGAAAAAGAAAAAAATTATAAACAAAGCCTCCAGGAAGTCTGGGATTATGTTAAATGACCAAACCTAAGAATAATTGGTGTTCCAGAGGAAGAAGAGAATTCTAAAAGCTTCAAAAACATATTTGGGGGAATAATTGAGGACAACTTCCCCAGCCTTGCTAGAGACATAGACATTCAAATACAAGAAGCTCAAGGAACACCTGGGAAATTCATTACGAAAAGGTCATCGCCTAGGCACACTGTCATCAGTTTATCCAAAGTTAAGATGAAGGAGAAAATCATAAGAGCTGTGAGGCAAAAGCATTAGGTAACCTATAAAGGAAAACATATCCGATTAACAGCAAATTTATCAGAAGAAACCCTACAAGCTAAAAGGGATAGGGGCCCTATCTTCAGATTCCTCAAACATAACAATTATCAGCCAACAATTTTGTATCCAGCAAAATTAAGCATCATTTATGAAGAAAAGATACAGTCTTTTTCAGACAAACAAATGCTAAGAAAATTCATCAGTATGAAGCCACAACTACAAGAACTGCTAAAAGAAGCTCTAAATCTTGAAACAAATCCTGGAAACACATCAAAACAAAACCTCTTGAAAACATAAATAACACAGGACCTGTAAGACAAAAATACAAGTTAAAAAGCAAAAACAAAAACCAAAAAAGCCAAAGTACACAGGCACCAAATAGCATCATGAATGCAATGGCACCTCACATCTCAATACAGACTTTGAATGTAAATGGCATAAATGTTCCACTTAAAAGATACAGAACCACAGAATAGATAAAAACTCACCAACCAAGTATCTGCTGTCTCAGGAGACTCACCTAACACATAGGGACTCACATAAACTTAGAGTAGAGGGGTGGAAAAAGGCATTTCATGCAAATGGACACCAAAAGCAAGCAGGAGTAGCTATTCTTATATGAGACAAAACAAACTTTAAAGAAACAGCAGTTAAAAGAGACAAAGAGGGACATTACATAATGGTAAAAGGCCTTGCCCAGCAGAAAAATATCACAATCCTAAATATATGTGCACCTAACACTGGAGCTCCCAAATTTATAAAACAATTGCTAATAGACCTAATAAATGAGATAGCAACACAATAATAGTGGGGGACTTCAATATTCCACTGACAACACTAGGCAGGTTATCAAGACAGAAAGTCAACAAAGAAACAATGAATTTGAACTATACATTGAAAATGGACTTAACAGATATATACACAACATTTTATCCAACAACAACAGAATACACAGTTTATTCAACAGTACATGGAACTTTCTCCAAGATAGACCATATGATAGGCCATTAAATGAGTCTCAATACATTTAAGATAATTGAAATTACATCAAACGCTCTCTCAGACCACAGTGGAATAAAAGTGGAAATCAACTCCAAAAGGAACTTTCAAAACCATGCAAATACATGGAAATTAAATAATATTTTTCTGAATGATCCAAGATAAAAAATTAAATCAAGATGAAAATTAAAAAATTATTTGAACTGAATGATAATGATGACACAACATAGCAAAACCTCTGGTATACAGCAAAAGGCGGTGCTAAGAGGAAAGTTCATAGTCCTAAATGCCTACATCAAAAAGACTGAAGAAGCACAAAGAGAGAAGCTAGGGTCACACCTCAAGTAACTAGAGAAACAAGAACAAACCAAACCCAAACCCAGCAGATGAAAGGAAATAACCAAGATTACAGCAGAACTAAATAAAATTGAAACAAAGAAAACAATATGAAAGATAAATGAAACAAAAATCTGCTTTTTAAAAAGATAAAATTGATAAATCATTAGCAAGATAAACCAAGAAAACAAGAGAGAAAATTCAAACAACCTCATTAAGAAATGAAACAGGAGATAGTACGACTGACTCCACTGAAATACAAATGATCATTCAAGGCTACTATGAACACCTTTACACACATAAACTGGAAAACCTAGAAGAGTTGGATAAATTTGGGAAAAATACAACCCTCCTAGCTTAAATCAGGAAGAATTAGATACCCTGAGCAGACCAATAACAAATAGCAAGATTAAAATGGTAATTTTTCTTGTTTGTTTGGACTTTGAATTTCTGAAAATACAAGTAGTTAAGGCATGGGGTTATTCCCAAGCTCTTGATTGTCCTTTATTTATTGTTTTATTACTATACTTTAAGTTCTTGGATACATGTGAAGAATGTTGAGGCTTGTTATATAGGTATACACGTGCCATGGTGATTTGCTGCACCCATCAACCCATCATCTACATTAGGTATTTGTCCTAACGTTATCCTTCCTGAAGACCCCCACACCCTGACAGTCCCCAGTGTGCAATGTTCCCTTCCTTGTGTCCATGTGTTCTCACTGTTCAACTCCCACTTATGAGTGAGAACATGTGGTGTTTGGCTTTCTGTTCCTGTGTTAGTTTGCTGAGAATGATGATTTCCAGCTTCATCCATGTCCCTGCAAAGGACATGAACAAAAATTACCCACAAAAATAAGGTCAGGATCAGAAGAATTCACAGCAGAATTTAACCAGATATTAAAAAAAGGTACCAATCCTTTTGACACTATTCCACAATATAGAGAAAGGAGGAACCCTCCTTAAATTATTCTATGAAACCAGCACCCACTAATACCAAAACCAGGGAAAGACATAACCAAAAAAGACAACTACAAACAAATATCTCTAATAAACAGAGACGCTAAGATCCTTAACCAAATACTAGCTAACCAAATCCAAAAATATATCAGAAAGATAATCCACCATGATCAAGTGGATTTCATACCAGGGATGCAGGGAGGCTTAACATATACAAGTCAATAAATGTGACACACCACATAAACAGAATTAAAAACACGTATCACATGATCATCTGAATAGATGCAGAAAAATCATTTGACAAAATTCAGCATTCCTTTATAATTAAAACTCTCAGTAAAATCAGCATACATGGGACGTACCTCAATGTAATAAAAGCCATCTATGACAAACCAAAAGGCAACATAGTACTGAATGGGGAAAAGTTGAAAGCATTTTCTCTGAGAACTGGAAGAAAAGGATGCCCACTGTAACCACTTCTCTTTAACATAGTACTTGAAGTCCTAGCCAGAGCAATCAGACAAGAGAAAGAAAGAAAAGGCATTGGAATTGGTAAAGAGAAACTCAAATTGGCACTGTTTGCTGATGATATGATCGTTTATTTTGAAAACCCTAAAGACTCCTCCAGAAAGCTCCTACAACTGATAATAAATTTCAGCAAAGTTTTAAGATACAAGATTAATGTACACAAATCAGTAGCTCTTCTATACCAAAAGAGTAACCAAGCAGAGAATCAAATCAAGAACTCAACCCCTTTTAAAATAGCTGCAAAAAAATAAAATACTTAGGAATACACCTAACAAAGGAGTCAAAAAATCTCTACAAGGAAAACTACAAAACATTGCTGAAATGAATCATAGATGACACAAACAAATAGAAACACATCCCATGCTCATGAATAGGTAAAATCAGTACTGTGAAAATGGCCATACTGCAAAAAGTAATCCACAAATTTAACAAAATCCCCATCAAAATACCACCATCATTCTTCACAGAATTAGAAAAAAAAATTCTAAAATTCATATGGAACCAAAAAATAGCCTGCAAAACTAAAGCAAGAATAAGCAAAAGGAACAAATCTGGAGGTATCACGCTACCTGATTTCAAACTATACTATAAGGCCATCGTCACCAAAACAGCATGGTACTGGTATCAAAATAGGTATTTATACCAATGGAACAGAAGCGCAAACCCAGAAATAAAACCAAATACTTAAAGCCAACTGATCTTTGACAAAGCAAACAAAAACATAAAGTGGGGGGATAGGACACCCTTTTCAAAAAATGGTGCTGAGATAATTGGCTAGCCGCCTGTAGGACAATGAAAGTGGATCCTCATCTCTCACCTTATACAAAAATCAACTCAGCCTGGCACTGTGGCTCATGCCTGTAATCCCAAAAGTTTGGGAGGTCAAGTCCGGTGGATCACCTGAGGTCAGGAGTTCGCGACCAGCTTTGCCAACATAGTGAAACCCCATCTCTACTAATAATACAAAATAATTAGCTGGACTTGGTGGTGGGCGCCTGTAATCCCAGCTACTCAGGAGGCTGAGGCAGGAGAATTGCTTGAACCCGGAAGGTGGAGGTTGCAGTGATCCAAGATTGTGCCATTGCCCTCCAGCCTGGGTGACAAGAGCAAAACACTGTCTCAAAAAAAAAAGTCAACTCAAGATGGATTAAGGACTTAACCTAAGAACTGAAACTATAAAAATCCTAGAAAATTACATGGAAAAAAAACCCTTCTAGACATTGGCTTAGGCAATTAATGACCAACAACTCAAAAACAAATGCAATAAAACAAAGATAAATAGTAAAGATCTAATTAAACTAAAAAGCTTTCACACGGCAAAAGGAACAGTCAGCAAACAGACAACCCACGGAGTGGGAGAAAAATCTTCACAATCTATAGAACTGGCAAAGGACTAATATCAACAATCAACAACAAACTCAAATGAATCTGTAAGAAGGAAATAAACAATCCCATCAAAAAGTGAGCTAAGAACATGAATAGACAATTCTCAAGGGAAGATAAACAAATGGCCAACAAACATATGAAAAAATGCTCAACACCAGTAATGATCAGAAAAATGCAAATCAAAACCACAATGTGATATCACGTTACTCCTGCAAGAATGGCCATAATCAAAAAGCAAAAACCAGTAGAGGTTGGCGTGAATGCTGTGATCAGGGAATGCTTCTACACTGCTGGTGTGAGTGTAAACTAGCACAGTCACTATAGAAAGTGGAGTGGAGATTCCTTAACGAACTCCAGTCTACTTTCTATTTGATCTGGATCAATTTGATCCAGCAATCCCACTACTGCATATTTGCCCATGAGAAAAGAAGTCATTATTCGAAAAAGAAACTTGCACATACATGTTTATAGCAACACCATTTATAATTGCAAAATCGTGGAAACAACTCAAATGCCCATCAATCAACAAGTGGATAAAGTAACTGTGATATGTATATATATATGAATACTACTCAGCCATAAAAAGGAATGAATTAGCAGCGTGTGCAGTGACCTGGATGAGATTGGAGGCTATTATTCTAAGTGAAGTAACTCAGGAATGGAATAGGAAATACTGTATGTTCTCATTGATATGTGGGAGCTAAGATATGAGGATGCAAAGGCATAAGAATAATACAATGAACTTTGGAGACTTGGGAAGAATAGTTGAGGGGAGGGATAATAGACTATAAATATGGTGCTGTGTATGCTGCTTGGATTATGGGTGAACCAAAGTCTCAAAAATCACCACTAAAGAATTTACACGTGTAACCTAATAACAACTGTTCCCGAATAATTCATAAAATAAAAAATCCATTGGACAGAGAACCACACCCTCATCCACCACAGCAACCACAGCAACCACAGCAAGCCCCACCCAAGGAAAGGCTAAGGGTAGACAGGCCTATCCCTGGCCCCACCTGATGGTCTTTCTCTATTCACCCTGGTAGCCAAAGACAAAGGTCACAATCTTTTGGGAGCTCTAAGGGGTTGTCCACCTTCTGAGAAACCCAAATACTTAACTAGGTGTCCCTAGGAAAAGGTTGCATCCCCCTATAGTACTATAGCAGCTAATGCACTATTTTTTCTTTTTTATTAAACTTTAAGTTCTGGAAAACATGTACAGAACATGCAGGTTGTTACATAGGTATACAGGTGCCATGGTGGTTTGCTGCACCCATCAACCCATCATCTAGGTTTTAAGCCCCACATGCATTAGGTATTTGTCGTAATGCTCTCCCTCCCCTTGCCCACCACAACCCAGAAGGCTCTGGTGTGTGATGTTCCCCTCCTTGTGTCCATGTGTTCTCATTGTTCAACTCCCACTTATGAGTGAGAATATGCAATGTTTGATTTTCTGTTCCTGTGTTAGTTTGCTGAGAATGGTTTCCAGCTTCATCCGTATTACTGCAAAGGACATGAATTCATTCCTTTTTATGGCTGCATAGTATTCCATAGTGTATATGTGCCACATTTTCTTTATCCAGTCTGTCATTGATGAGAATTTGAGATGGTTCCAAGTCTCCACTACTGTGAATAGCACTGCAATAAGCATACGTGTGCATGTGTCTTTATATTAGAATAATTTATATTCCTTTGGGTATATACCCAGTAATGGGATTGATGGGTGAAATGTTATTTCTGGTTCTAGATCCTTGAGGAATCACCACACTGTCTTCCAAAATGGCTGAACTAATTTACACAACCACTAATTGTGTAAAAGGGTTCCTATTTCTTCATGCTCTCTCCAGAATCTATTGTTTCCTATTTTTTTTAATGATCACCATTCTAATTGGTGTGAGATAGTATCTCATTGTTGTTTTGATTGGCATTTCTCTAATGACCAGTGGTGACGAGCTTTTTTTCATGTGTTTTTTTTGGCCGCATAAATGTCTAATTTTGAGAAATGTCGGTTCATATCCTTCGTCCATTTTTTGATGGGGTTTGTTTCTTGTAAATTAGTTTAAGTTCCTTGTGGATTCTGGATATTAGACATTTGTCAGATGGATAGATTGTAAAAAGTTTCTCCCATTCTGTAGGTTGCCTGTTCACTCTGATGATAGTTTCTTTTGCTGTGCAGAAGCTCCTTAGTTTAATTAGATCCCATTTGTCAATTTTGGCTTTTGTTGCCATTGCTTTTGGTGTTTTAGTCATGAAGTCTTTTCCCATGCCTATGTCCTGAATGGTATTGCCTAGGTTTTCTTCTAGGGTTTTCATGGTTCTAGGTTTTACATTTAAGTCATTAATCCATTTTAATTTTTGTATAAGGTGTAAGGAAGGGGTCAATTTCAGTTTTCTGCATATAGTTAGCCAGTTTCCCAGCACCATTTATTAAATAGGGAATGATTTCCCACTGCTTGTTTTTGTCAGGTTTGTCAAAGATCAGATGGTTGTAGATGTGTGGTGTTATTTCTGCAGTGTCTGTTCTGTACAATTGGTCCATGTATCTGTTTTGGTACCATTACCATGCTGTTTTGGTTACTGTAGCCTTGTAGTATAGTTTGAAGTCAGGTAGGGTGATGCCTCCTGCTTTGTTCTTTTTGCTTAGTATTGTCTTGACTATACAGGCTCTTTTTTGGTTCCATATAAAATTTAAAGTAGTTTTTTCTAGTTCTGTTAAGAAAGTCAATAGTAGCTTGATGGGAATAGTGTTGAATCTATAAATTACTTTGGGCTGTATGGCCATTTACACGATATTGCTTTTTTCAATCCATGAGCACGGAATGTTTTTCTGTTTGTTTGTATCCTATTTTTTCCTTGAGCAGTGGTTTGTAGTTATCTTTGAAGAGGTCCTTCATGTCCAGTGTAAGTTGTATTCCTAGGTATTTTGTTTTCTTTGTAGCAATTGCGAATGGGAGTTCACTCATGATTTGGCTCACTGTTTGTCTATTATTAAAGTATAGGAATTCTTGTGATTTTTGCACTTTGTTTTGTATCCTGAGACTTTGTTGAAGTTGTTTATCAGGTTAAGGAGTTTTGGGGCAGAGACAATGGGGTTTTCTAAACATACAATCAGGTCATCTGTAAACAGATAATTTGACTTCCTCTCTTCCTATTTGAATATGCTTTATTTATTTTTCTTTCCTGATTTTCCTGGCCATAACTTCCAGTACTATGTTGAAAAGGAGTGATGAGAGAGGGCATACTTGTCTTGTGACAGTTTTCAATGAAAGTGCTTCCAGCTTTTACCCATTCAATATGACATTGGCTATGGGCTTGTCATAAATAGCTCTTATTATGAGATATGTTCCACAAATACCTAGTTTATTCAGTGTTTTTAGCATGAAGGGGTGTTGAATTTTATTGAAGGCCATTTCTGAGTCTACTGAGATAATCATGTGTTATTTGTCATTGGTTTTGTTAATGTGATGGATTATGTTTATTGATTTCCATATGTTGAACCAGCCTTGCATTTCAGGAATGAAGCTGACTTGATCCTGGTGGATAAGCTTTTTTGATATGCTGCTGGATTCAGTTTGTCTGTATTTTATTGAGGATTTTTGCATCGATGTTCATCAGGGCAATTGGCCTAAAGTTTTTTTTTTGTTGTTGTGTCTCTGCCACATTTTGGTATCAGGATAATGGTGGCCTCTTAAAATGAGTTGGGGACAAGTCCCTCTCTTTCTGTTGTTTGGAATAGATTCAGAAGGAATGGTACAAACTTCTCTTTGTGCCTCTGGTAGAATTCGGCTGTGAATCTATCTGGTCCTGGGCTTTTTTTGGTTGTTAAGCTACTGATTTCTGCCTCAATTTCAGAACTTGTTATTATTCTATTCAGGGATTCAACTTCTTCCTGGTTTAGTCTTGTAAGAGTGTATGTGTCCAGGAATTAACCATTTCATCTAGATTTTCTAGTTTATTTGCATGGAGGTGTTTATAGTATTGTTTGAGGGTAGTTTATATTTCTGTGGGATCAGGGATGATAACTCATTTATCATTTTTTATTGCGTCTATTTGATTCTTCTGTCTTTTCTTCTTTATTAGTCTGGTTAGGGATCTATTTTGTTAATCTCTTCAAAAAACCAGCTCCTGGATTCATTCATTTTTTGAAGTTTTTGTTTCTATATCTCCTTCAATTCTGCTCAGATGTTAGTTATTTCTTGTCTTCTGCTAGCTTTTGAATTTGTTTGCTTTTGCTTGCCTAGTTCTTTTAATTGTGATGTTAGGGTGTCAATTTTAGATCTTTCCCACTTTCTAAGGTGAGCATTTAGTGCTATAAATTTCCCTCTTAACACTGCTTTAGTTGTGTCCCAGAGATTCTGGTATGTTGTGTCTTTGTTCTCATTAGTTTTAGAGAACTTATTTATTTCGGCCTTAATTTCATTATTTACTCAGTACTCGTTCAGGAGCAGGTTTTTCAGTTTCCATGTAGTTGTGCAGTTTTGAGTGAGTTTCTTAATCCTGAGTTCTAATTTGATTGAACTGTGTTCTGAGAGACTGTTTGTTATGATTTCCGTTCTTTTGTATTTGCTGAGGAGTGTTTTATTTTCAATTATGTGGTCAACTTTAGATTAAGTGCTACGTGATATTGAGAACAATGTATATTCTGTTGATTTGAGGTGGAGAGCTCTGTAGATGTCTATTAGGTCTGCTTGGTCCAGAGCTGATTTCAAGTCCTGAATATCCTTTTAAATTTTTTTGTCTAATATTGACAGTGGGGTTTTATAGTCTCCCACAATTTTTGTGTGGGAGTCTAAGTCTCATTGTAGGTCTCTGAGACCTCACTTTATTAATCTGGGTGCTCCTGTATTGAGTGCATATATATTTAGGATAATTAGCTTTTCTTATTGCATTGATCCCTTTACCATTATGTAATGCCTCTCTTTCTCTTCTTTGATCTCTGTCATTTTAAAGTCTGTTTTTATCAGAGAGTAGGATTGCAATCCTTGCTTCTTTTTGCTTTCCATTTCCTTGGTAAATATTCCTCCATCCCTTTATTTTGAGCCTATGTGTGTCTTTGCACATGAGATGGGTCTCAAATACAGCACACCAATGTGTCCTGACTCTTTATCCAATTTGCAAGTCTGTGTCTTTTAATTGGGGCACTTAGCCTATTTGCATTTAAGTTTAATATTGTTATGTGTGAATTTGATGTTGTCATCATGATGCTAGCTGTTTATTTTGCACATTAGTTGATGCTGTTTCTTCATAGTCTCGTTGATCTTTATATTTTGGTATGTTTTTGCAGTGGCTATTACTCGTTTTCCCTTCCCTTATTTAGTGCTTCCTTAAGGAGATCTCGTAAGGCAGGCCTGGTGGTGACAAAATATCTCAGCATTTGCTTGTCTGGAAAGGATTTTATTTATCCTTTGCTTATGAAGGTTAGTTTGGCTGGATGTGAAATTCTGGACTGAACATCCTTTTCTTGAAGAATGTTAAATATTTACCACCACTCTTCTCTGGCCTGTAGGATTTCTGCAGAGAGATCCACTGTTAGTATGATGTGCTTCTCTTTGTTGGCAACCCGATCTTTCTCTCTGGCTGCCCTTAACATTTTTTTTCCTTCATTTCAACCTTGGAGAATCTGACAATTATGTGTCTTGGGCTTCATCTTCTTGAGGAGTACCTTAGTGGTTTTCTCTGTATTTCCTGTATTTGAATGTTGGTCTGTCTTGCTAGGTTGGGAAAATTCTCCTGGATGATATCCTGCAGAGTGTTTTCCAACTTGGTTCCATTCTCCCTGTCACTTTCAGGTACACCAATGAATCGTAGGTTTGGTCTTTCACATAGTCCCATATTTCCTGGAGGGTTTGTTCCTTTTCATCTTTTTTTTCCTAATCTTGTCTTCACACTTTACTTCATTAAGTTGATCTTCAATCTCAGATATTCTTTCTTCTGCTTGATTGATTCCACTATTGCTACTTGTGTATGCTTCACGAAGTTCTTGTGCTGTGTTTTTCAGCTCCATTGGGTGAATTACGTTCTCTAAAATGGTGTTTTCTAGATAGCAGTTCCTGTAACATTTTATCAACATTCTTATCTTCCTTGCATTGGGTTAGGACATGCTCCTTTAGCTCAGAGGAGTTGGTTAGTACCCACCTTTTGAAGCCTACTTCTGTCAATTCATCAAACTCATTCTCTGTTCAGTTTTGTGCCCTTGCTGGAGAGGAGTTGCAATCATTTGGAGGAGAAGGGGCATTCTAATATTTGGAATTTTCAGGATTTTTGCACTGTTTTTTCTCATCTTCATGGATTTACCTATCTTTGATCTTTGAGTCTGATGACCTGTTGGATGGGGCTTTTCTGTTGTCATTGTTTTTGTTGATGTTGATGTTATTGCTTTCTGTTTGTTATTTTCTTTTCTAACAGTCAGGCCCCTCTTCTGCTGAAGTTTGCTTCAGGTCCACTCCAGACGCTGTTTGCCTGGGTATCACCAGTGGATGCTGCAGAACAGCAAAGATTGCTGCCTGCTCCTGTCTCTGGAAGCTCATCCCAGAGGGGCACCTGGCTGATGCCAGCTGGAGCTCTCCTGTATGAGGTATCTGTTGACCTCTGCTGGGAGGTGACTTCCAGTTAGGAGTCATATGGGACAGGGGCCCACTTGAGGAGGCAGTCTGTCCTTTAGCAGAGCTCAAGTGCTGTGCTGAGAGATCTGCTGCTATCTTCAGTGGCAGCAGACGGGAACATTTAAGTCTATTGAAGCTGCACCCACATCTGCCCCTTCCCCAAGGTGCTCTGTCTCAGGGAGATGGGAGTTTTATCTATAAGCCCCTGACTGGCTGCTGCTTTTCTTTCAGAGATGCCCTGCCCAATGAGGAGGTATCTAGAGAGGCAGTCTGGCTCCATGCACTTTGCCATGCTGTGGTGAGTTCTGCACAGTCAGTTAACACTGCAAGGGAAAAACCAGCTACTCAAGCCTCAGTAATGGTGGACACCCCTCCCTCACTGAGCTCGATTGTCAGAGGTTGACTTCAGACTGCTGTGCTGGCAGCAAGAAATTCAAGCCAGTGGTTCTTAGCTTGTTGGGCTCTGTGGGAGTGGGACCCTTTGTGCAAGACCACTTGGCTCCCTGGCTTCAGTACCCTTTCCAGGGGAGTGGACAGATCTGTCTCACTGGTTTCCGAGGTGCCACAGGGCAAAAATAAAAAAATAAAAAATAAAAAAAATCATGCAGCTAGCTCAGTGTCTGCCCAAACAGCTGCCCAGTTTTGTGTTCTAAACTCAGGGCCCTGGTGGTGTAGGCACACAAGGGAATCTCCTAGTCTAGGGGTTGCAAAAACTGTGAGAAAAGCATAGTATCTGGGCCAGATAGCACAATCCCTCATGGCACAGTCTCTCACAGATTTCCTTGACTAGGGGAGGGAGTTCCCCATCCCCTTGCACTTCCCAGGTGAGGCAACACCCCACCCAGTTTCTGCTCACCCTCCTTGGGCTGCACCCACTGTCTAACCAGTCCCAATGAGATGAATTGGGTACCTCAGTTGGAAATGCAGAAGTCATCCTCTTTCATTGGTCTCACTGGGAGCTGCAGACTGGAGCTGTTCCTATTCAGCCATCTTGCCAGCTCTCCCCACTAATGCACTCTTGAAAGTGCCACTTTTTGGCTGGAGGCCAACCAACACAAAACCGGTACAATAAACAAAATCACAACCAATGACCCTCACAGAGTCCACTTCACTTCCCTGAGAAGTCCACTGGAGCAGATGCTGGTATTCACAGCTGCAAGACCTGAAGACAGATCACATCACAGGACTCTTTGCAGACACTCCATATTATCAGCCTGGAGCCCAGTAGCTCTGCTGGGTGTCTAGACCCAGAAGAGCAAAAACAATCCCTGCAGTATGGCTCTCAGGAAACCCCATTTCTAGGGGAAGGGGAAGAACACCAAATCAAGGGAGCACAAAAGAATCTGAACAGCAGGGCCTGAATCCTAAATCTTCTCTTTGACATAGTCTACCCAAATGAGAAGTATCCAGGAAAACAGTACTGGTAATATTACAAAACAAGGTTTTTTAACACCTCCAAAAGATTATACAAGCTCACCAGTAATAGATCCAAACCACGATAAAATAACTGAATTGCCAGGAAATGAATAGAGATGGTCAATTATTAAGCTAATAAAGGAGGGGCCAGACAAATGTGAAGTCCAACTTAAAGAAATCAAAAGACATGATACAGAATATAAAAAGAAAATTCTTAGTGAAATATAGATCATAAATAAAAAGCCATCAAAACTTCTGAATATCAGGAACACACAAAAAATGCCAAATGCACTGGTAATTCTCAGCAATAGAATTGAACAAGCAAAAGAAAAACCTTGGAGCTCAAAGACAAGGCTTTCAAATTAACTCAATCTGACAAAGAAAAAAAAAGTACAAAAATGAGCAAAGCCTCCAAGAACTTTTGGGCTATGTTAAAACCTAAGAATAATTTTTGTTCCCAAGGAAGAAGAAAAATCTAAAATTTTAAAAATATATTGGGGGAATAATAAAAAAATAAAACTTCTGCCATCTTGCTAGAGATCTAGACAACCTAACACAAGAAGCTCAGAGAACACCTGGGGAATTCATTATAGGAAGATCATCAACTAGGCACATAGTCACCAGGTTATCTAAACTCAAAACCACGAAAAAAATCTTAAGAGGCAAAAGCATCAGGTAGCCTATAAAAGAAAACCAATCAGATTAACACAGATTTCTCAGCAGAAAACTTACAAGTAGAAGGAATTGGAGTCCTATTTTTAGCCTCCTCAACAAAACTAAATTATCAGCCCAGAATATAGTATCCAGCAAAACTAAGCTTCATAAATGAAAGAAAAATATAGTTTTTTTTAAGAAAAACAAATGCTGACAGCATTCACCACTACCAAGCCAGCACTACAAAACTGCTAAAAGGAGCTCTAAATTTTTAAACAAATCCTCAAAATAAACCAAAATAGAATCTCCTTAAATTACAAATCTCACAGGACTTATAACAATAACACAGAAAAATAGCATAATGAATAGAATATTGCCTCACATCTCAATACTAACATTGAATGTAAATGGCCTAAATGCTCCACTTAATGATACAAAATGGAAGAATGGATAATAATTCACCAACCAAGTTTCTGCTGTTTTCAAGAGACTCGTATAACACAAAAGGACTCATATAAACTTAAGGTAAATAGGTAGAACAAGATATTCTATGCAAATGGTCACCAAAAGTGAGCAGGAGTAGCTATTCTTTTATCAGATGAAACAACCTTTAAAGCTACAGCAGTTAAAAAACAGACAAAGAGGGACATTATATAATGACAAAAAGACTTGTCCAACAGGAAAATATATCACAATTCTAAATATATATGCATCTAACACAGGAGCTCACAAATTTACAAAACACTTACTACTAGACCTAAGAAATGAAACTTGGGCAGCACAATAATACTGAGGAGCTTTAATACTCCACTGACAGCACTAGCCATGTCATAAAGAGAGAAAGTAAAAAAAGAAACAATGGACTTAAACTATTTTCTAGAACAAGGGACTTAACAGATATTTACAGAACATTCTACCAAGAAATTGCAGAATATACATTTTATCCCTCAGCACATGCAATATTCTCCAAAATAGACTATATAAATGGTTGCTTCTCATTTGGGTAGACTATGTCAGAGAGAAATTTAAAAAATCAAAAGTATAACAAATACTCTCTCAGACCACAGTCAAATAAAATTAAAAATCAACTCCAGGCCGGGCGTGGTGGCTCACGCCTGTAATCCCAGCACTTTGGGAGGGTGAGGTGGGCAGATCACAAGGTCAGGAGATCGAGACCATCCTGGCTAACACGGTGAAACCCCTTCTCTACTAAAAAATACAAAAAAAAATTAGCTGGGCGTGGTGGCAGGCACCTGTATTCCCAGCTACTTGGTAGGCTGAGGCAGGAGAATGGCATGAACCTGGGAGGTGGTGCTTGCAGTGAGCCGAGATCGCACCACTGCACTCCAGCCTGGGTGACACAGTGAGACTCTGTCTCAAAAAAAAAAAAAAAAAAAACTCCAAAAGGAACCCTAAAAACCATGCAAATACTTCAAAATTTAATAACCTGCATATGAATAATCATTAGGTCAACAATGAAATCAAGATGAAAATTTAAAAAATCTTTAAACTAAATGATAATAGTGGCACAATTTATCAAAACCTCTGGGATACAGCAAAAGCAATGTTAAGTGGAAAGTTCATAACATTAAACACCTACATCAAAATGTCTGAAAGAGCAGAAACAGACAATCTAAGGTCACCCCTTACAGAGCTGGCAAAACAAGAATAAACGAAACACAAATCCAGTGGAAAAGAAAAAAAAATAACCAAGATCACAGCAGAATAAAATGAAATTGAAACCAAAAAATCCACAAAAAAATAAATGAAACAAAAAGCTGGTTCTTTGAAAAGATAAATGAAATTGATAGACCATTAGTGAGATAAACAAAGAAAAGAAGAGAGCAGATCCAAATAAGCTAAATTAGAAATAAAATAGGAGATATTACAACTGACACCACAGAAACACAAAAGATTACTCAAGGCTACTAAAAACACATTTATGCACACAAATTAGAAAACCTAGAGAGGATGGATGAATTTCAGGAAATATACAACCCTTCCAGATTAAACCAGGAAGATATAAACTTATGAACAAGCAGCAAATTGAATTGTTTTTAGAAAACTGTCAACAACAAAAATAAAGTTTAAGACCAGAAGGGTTCAAAGTCGAAATCTGTCAGACGTTCAAAGAAAAATTGGTACCAATCTCAGTGACACTGTTCCACATGATTTAGAGATAGGAAATCCTTCCCAAATCATTCTATGAAGCCAATATTACCCTACTGCCAAAACCAGAAAAGGACATAATAAAAAAAGACAACTGCAGACCAATATCTCTAATAAACATAAATGCAAAAATTTTCAATGAAATGCTAGTGAATTGAATACAACAGTATATCAAAAAAATAATCCACCATGATCAAGTGGGTTTTATACCAGTGATGCAGGGTTGGTTTGACATATGTAAGTCAATAAATGTGATACACCACATAAAGAGAATTGAAAACAAAAATCACATGATGATCTCAATAGACACACAAAAAAGCATTTGACAAAATGCAGCATCTTTCCATAATTAAAACCCTCAGCAAAATCAGCATAGAGGGGACATACATTAAGGTAATAAATGCCATCTTTCAAAAACCCACAGCCAAGGGGGCAGTTCCAAGATGGCTGAATCGGAACAGCTCCAGTCTACAGCTCCCAGCATGAGTGATGTAGAAGACGGGTGGTTTCTGCATTTCCAACTGAGTTACTGCATTCATCTCACTGGGCCATGTTGGACAGTGGGTGCAGGACAGTGGGGGCAGCCCACGGAGTAAGAGCCGAAGCAGGGCAAGGCATCACCTCACCCAGGAAGAACAAGGGGTCAGGGAATTCCCTTTCCTAGCCATGGAAAGCCATGAGAGACAACACCTAGAAAATTGGGACACTCCCACCCTAATACTGCACTTTTCCAATGGTCCCAGGAAATGGCATACCAGGAGATTATATCCTGTGCCTGGCTTGGAGGGTCCCACGCACATGGAGCCTCGCTCATTGCTAGCACAGCAATCTGAGATCTAACTGCAAGGTGGCAGCGAGGCTGGGGGAGGTGTTCCCGCCATTGTGAGGCTTGAGTAGGTAAACAAAGCAGCCAGGAAGCTCGAACTGGGTGGAGCCCACCACAGCTCAAGGAGGCCATGCTGCCTCTGTAGACTCAACCTCTGGGGGCAGAGTATAGCTGAACAAAAGGCAGCAGAAACCTCTGCAGACTTAAATGTGCCCTGTCTCATGGTTTTGAAGAGAGTAGTGGTTCTCCCAACATGGAGTTTGAGATCTGAGAACGGACAGACTGCCTCCTCAAGTGGGTGCCTGACCCCCAAGTAGCCTAACTGGGAGGGACACCCCAGTAGGGGCAGACTGACACCTCACACAGCCAGGTACCCCTCTGAGATGAAGATTCCAGAGGAACAATCAGGCAGCAACATTTGCTGTTCAACAATAATCGCTGTTCTACAGATTCTGTTGCTGATACCCAGGCAAACAGGGTCTTCAGTGGACCTCTAGCAACCTCCAACATACCTGCAGCTGAGGGTCCTGACTGTTAGAAGGAAAAATAACAAACAGAAAGGACGTTCACACCAAAACCCCATCTGTACGTCACCATCATCAAAGACCAAAGGTAGATAAAACAACAAAGATGGGGAAAAAACAGAGAAGGAAAGCTGAAAAATCTAAAAATCAGAGCACCTCTCCCCCTCCAAAGGAACGCAGCTCCTTGCCAGCATCAGAACAAAGCTGGACGGGGAATGACTTTGATGAGTTGAGAGAAGAAGGCTTCAGACGATCAAACTTCTCTGAGCTAAAGAAGGAAGTTTGAACCCATTGCAAAGAAGCTAAAAACCTTGAAAAAAGATTAGATGAATGGCTAACTAGAATAACCAGTGTAGACAACTCCTTAAATGACTTGATGGAGCTGAAAACCATGGCACGAGAACTACGTGAAAAATGCACAAGCTTCAGTAACTGATTCAATCAACTGTAAGAAAGGGTATCAGTGATGGAAGATCAAATGAATGAAATGAAGCAAGTAGAGAAGCTTAGAGAAAAAAGAGTAAAAAGAAATGAACAAAACCTCCAAGAAATATGGGACTATGTGAAAAGACCAAATCTACGTCTGATTGGTGCACCTGAAAGTGACGGGGAGAATGGAACCAAGTTGGAAAACACTCTGCAGGATATTATCCAGGAGAACTTCCCCAATCTAGCAAGGCAGGCAGACATTCAAATTTGGGAAATACAGAGAATGCCACAAAGATTATCCTCGAGAAGAGCAACTCCAAGACACATAATTATCAGATTCACCGAAGTTGAAATGAAGGAAAAAATGTTAAGGGCAGCCAGAGAGAAAGGTCGGGTTACCCACAAAGGGAAGCCCATCAGACTAACAGCTGATCTCTTGGCAGAAACTCTACAAGCCAGAAGAGAGTGGGGGGCCAATATTCAGCATTCTTAAAGAAAATAATTTTCAAACCAGAATTTCATATCCAGCCAAACTAAGCTTCATAAGTGAAGGAGAAATAAAATCCTTCACAAAAAAGCAAATGCTCAGAGATTTTGTCACCACCAGGCCTGCCCTAAAAGAGCTCCTGAAGGAAGCACTATAAACATAGAAAGGAACAACTGATACCAGCCACTGCAAAACATGACAAATTGTAAATTCCATTGATGCCAGGAAGAAACTGCATCAACTAACGAGAAAAATAACCAGCTAACATCATAATGCCAGGGTCAAATTCACGCATAACGATATTAACCTTAAATGTAAATAGGCTAAATGTTCCAATTAAAAGACACACACTGGCAAATTGGATAAAGAGTCAAGACCCATCAGTGTGCTGTATTCAGGAAACCCATCTCACGTGCAGAGACACACATAGGCTCAAAATAAAAGGATGGAGGAAGATCTACCAAGCAAATGGAAAACAAAAAAAGGCAGGGGTTGCAATCCTAGTCTCTGATAAAACAGACTTTAAACAAACAAAGATCAAAACAGACAAAGAAGGCCATTACATAATGGTAAAGGGATCAATTCAACAAGAAGAGCTAACTATCCTAACTATATATGCACCCAATACAGGAGCACCCAGATTCATAAAGCTAGTCCTTAGAGACTTACAAATAGACTTGGACTCCCACACAATAATAACGGGAGACTTTAACACCCCACTGTCAACATTAGACAGATCAATGAGACAGAAAGTTAACAAGGATATCAATGAATTGAACTCAGCTCTGCACCAACTGGACCTAATAGACATCTACAGAACTCTCCACCCCAAATCAACAGAATATACATTCTTCTCAGCACCATATCACACTTACTGTAAAATTGACCACATAATTGGAAGTAAAGCACTCCTCAGCAAATGTAAAAGAACAGAAATTATAACAAACTGTCTCTCAGACCAAGTGGGCTTCATCCCTGGGATGCAAGGCTGGTTAAACATACGAAAATCAATAAACATAATCCAGCATGTAAACAGAACTAAAGACAAAAACCACATGATTCTCTCAATAGATGCAGAAAAGGCCTTTGACAAAATTCAACAGCCCTTCATGCTAAAAACTCTCAATAATTTTGGTATTGATGGGACATATCTCAAACTGATAAGCTATTTATGACAAATCCACAGCCAATATCACACTGAATGGGCAGAAACTGGTAGCATTCCCTTTGAAAACTGGCACAAGACAGGGATGCCCTCTCTCACCACTCTTATTCAACATAGTGTTGGAAGTTCTGGCCAGGGCAATCAAGCAGGATAAAGAAATAAAGGGTATTCAATTAGGAAAAGAGGAAGTCAAATTGTCCCTGTTTGTAGATGACAGGATTGTATATTTAGAAAACCCCATCATCTCAGCCCAAAATCTCCTTAAACTGATAAGCAACTTCAGCAAAGTCTCAGGATACTAAATCAATCTGCAAAAATCACAAGCATCCTTACACACCAATAACAGACAAACAGAGAGCCAAATCATGAGTGAACTCCCATTCACAATTGCTTCAAAGAGAATAAAATACCTAGGAATCCAACTTACAAGGGATGTGAAAGACCTCTTCAAGGAGAACTACAAACCAGTGCTCAACGAAATAAAAGAGGACACAAACAAATGGAAGAATATTCCATGCTCATGGATAGGAAGAATCAATATCATGAAAATGGCCGTACTGCCCAAGGTAATTTATAGATTCAATGCCATCCCCATCAAGCTACCAATGACTTTCTTCACAGAATTGGAAAAAACTATTTAAAGTTCATATGGAACCAAAAAACAGCCCACATTGCCAAGACAATCCTAAGCCAAAAGAACCAAGCTGGAGGTATCATGCTACCTGACTTCAAATTATACTACAAGGCTACAGTAACCAAAACAGCATGGTACTGCTACCAAAAACAGAGATATAGACCAGTGGAACAGAACAGAGCCAACAGAAGTAATACCACACATCTACAACCATCTGATCTTTGACAAACCTGAGAAAAACAAGCAATGGGGAAAGGATTCCCTATTTAATAAATGGTGCTGGGAAAATTGGCTAGCCACATGTGGAAAGCTGAAAATGGATCCCTTCCTTGCACCCTATACAAAAATTAATACAAGATGGATTAAAGACTTAAATGTTAGACCTAAAACCATAAAAACCCTAGAAGAAAACCTAGGCAATACCATTCAGGATATAGTCATGGGCAAGGACTTCATGACTAAAACACCAAAAGCAATGGCAACAAAAGCCAAAATTGACAAATGGGATCTAATTAAACTAAAGAGCTTCTGCACAGCAAAGGAAACTACCATCAGAGTGAACAGAATGGGAGAAATGGGAGAAAATTTTTGCAATCTACTCAGCTGACAAAGGGCTAATATCCAGAATCTCCAAAAACTCAAACAAATTTACAAGAAAAAAACAAAAAAAAAACATCAAAAACTGGGCGAAGGAAATGAACAGACACTTCTCAAAAGAATACATTTATGCAGCCAAAAGACACGTGAAAAAATGCTCATCATCACTGGCCATCAGAGAAATGCAAATCAAAACCACAATGAGATACCATCTCACACCAGTTAGAATGGCAATCATTAAAAAGTCAGGAAACAACAGGTGCTGGAGAGGATGTGGAGAAATAGGAATGTTTTTACACTGTTGGTGGGACTGTAAACTAGTTCAACCATTGGGGAAGACAGTGTGGTGATTCCTCAAGGATCTAGAACTAGAAATACCATTTGACCCAGCCATCCCGTTACTAGGTATATACCCACAGGATTATAAATCGTGCTGCTATAAAGACACATGCACACGTATGTTTATTGTGGCACTATTCACAATAGCAAAGAGTTGGAAGCAACCCAAATGTCCAGCTATGATAGATTGGATGAAGAAAATGTGGCACATATACACCATGGAATACTATGCAGCCATAAAAAAGGATGAGCTCATGTCCTTTGTAGGGACATGGATGAAGCTGGAAACCATTATTCTCAGCAAACTATCACAAGGACAGAAAACCAAACACTGCATGTTCTCACTCATAGGTGGGAATTGAAAAATGAGAACACTTGGACACAGGAAAAGGAACATCACACACTGGGGACTGTTGTGGGTTGGGGAGAGTGGGGAGGGATAGCATTAGGAGACATACCTAATGTAAATGATAAGTTCATGGGTGCAGCACACCAACATGGCACATGTATACATATGTAACAAACCTGCACGTTGTGCACATGTACCCTAGAACTTAAAGTATAATTTAAAAACAAGAAAAAGAAACCAACTAAAAAAAAAGAAAGAAAAACTCATAGCCAACATTATACTGAATGGGGAAAAGTTGAAAGCATTCCCCCTAAAAACTGGAAGAAGACAAGGATGCTAAATTTTACCACTTATATTCAATATGATGCTGGAATTCCTAACCAGAGCAATCAGACAAGAGAAAAAAATTAAGGGAATCCAAATTGGTAAAGAGGAATTCAAACTGTCACTGTTTGCTGATGACATGATTGTGTACCTAGAAAACCCTAAAGACTTGTCCAAAAGGCTCCCAAAACTGGTAAATGAATTCAACAAAGTCTCAGGATAAGAAAAATTAATGTACACAAATCAGTGTATAGCTCTGCTACACAC
The DNA here is from genome assembly GCF_000001405.40 of Homo sapiens. Lineage (NCBI taxonomy): Eukaryota > Metazoa > Chordata > Mammalia > Primates > Hominidae > Homo > Homo sapiens. The sequence continues at coordinate 76,483,180 of NC_000023.11, read as the reverse complement.
CCACAGCAACCAAGCTGAGTATTATATCAAGAACTCAACCCCTTTCATAATAGCTGCAAAAAAATTAAATCCTTACAAATATACCTAATCAAGGAAGGGAACCACCTTCATAAGGGAAACTAACATTGCCAAAAGAAGTCAGAGAGGACAAAAATAAATGGAAACACATCCAATGCTCATAGATGGGTAAATGAATATAATAAAAACGATCATTCTGTCAAAAGCAATCTACAAATTCAATGCAATTCCCATCAAAATATCATAATCATTCTTTACAGAACTAGAAAAAAAAATCTTAAAATACATATGAAACTAAAAATGAATCCGCATAGCCAAGGCAAGACTAAGCAAAAAGAACAAATCTCGAGGCATAACATTACCAGATTTCAAACTATACTATGAGGGCATAGTCACCAAAATGGCATGTACTGGTTTAAAAATAGGCACGTAGACCAATGTAAGAGAATAAAGAACACAGAAATAAACTTAAATACATATATCCAAGTGATCTTTGACAAAGCAAGCAAAAACATTAAGTGGGGAAAGAGCACCTTATACAACAAATGGTACTGTGATAATTGACAAGCCACATGTAGAAAAGTAAAACTGGATCTCATCTCTCATCTCATACAAAAATTTTTCACAGAATAGGAAAGAACTACTTTAAAGTTCATATGGAACCAAAAAAGAGCCCGCATCACCAAGTCAATCCTAAGCCAAAAGAACAAAGCAGGAGGCATCACGCTACCTGACTTCAAACTATACTACAAGCCTACAGTAACCAAAACAGCATGGTACTGGCACCAAAACAGAGATATAGATCAACGGAATAGAACAGAGCCCTCAGAAATAATGCCACATATCTACAACTATCTGATCTTTGACAAACCTGAGAAAAACAAGCAATGGGGAAAGGATTCCCTATTTAATAAATGGTGCTGGGAAAACTGGCTAGCCATATGTAGAAAGCTGAAACTGGATCCCTTCCTTACACCATATACAAAAATTAATTCAAGATGGATTAAAGACTTAAATGCTAGACCTAAAACCATAAAAACCCTAGAAGAAAACCTAGGCATTACCATTCAGGACATAGGCATGGGCAAGGACTTCATGTCTAAAACACCAAAAGCAATGGCAACAAAAGTCAAAATTGACAAATGGGATCTAATTCAACTAAAGATCTTCTGCACAGCAAAAGAAACTACCATCAGAGTGAACAGGCAACCTAGAAAATGGGAGAAAATTTTCGCAACCTACTCATCTGACAAAGGGCTAATATCCAGAATCTACAATGAACTCAAACAAATTTACAAGAAAAAAACAAACAACCCCATCAAAAATTGGGTGAAGGATATGAACAGACACTTCTCAAAAGAAGACATTTATGCAGTCAAAAGACACATGAAAAAATGCTCATCATCACTGGCCATCAGAGAAATGCAAATCAAAACCACAATGAGATACCATCTCACACCAGTTAGAATGGCAATCATTAAAAAGTCAGGAAACAACAGGTGCTGGAGAGGATGTGGAGAAACAGGAACACTTTTACACTGTTGGTGGGACTGTAAACTAGTTCAACCATTGTGGAAGTCAGTGTGGCGATTCCTCAGGGATCTAGAACTAGAAATACCATTTGACCCAGCCATCCCATTACTGGGTATATACCCAAAGGACTATAAATCATGCTGCTATAAAGACACATGCACACGTATGTTTATTGCAGCTTTATTCACAATAGCAAAGACTTGGAACCAACCCAAATGCCCAACAATGATAGACTGGATTAAGAAAATGTGGCACATATACACCATGGAATACTATGCAGCCATAAAAAATGATGAGTTCATGTCCTTTGTAGGGACATGGATGAAATTGGAAATCATCATTCTCAGTAAACTATCGCAAGGACAAAAAACCAAACACCGCAAGTTCTTACTCATAGATGGAAATTGAACAATGAGAACACATGGACACAGGAAGGGGAACATCACACTCTGGGGACTGTTGTGGGGCGGGGGGAGGGGGGACGGATAGCATTCGGAGATATACCTAATGCTAAATGACGAGTTAATGGGTGCAGCACAACAGCATGGCGCATGTATACATATGTAACTAACCTGCACAATGTGCACATGTACCCTAAAACTTAAAGTATAAAAAAAAAAACTCAAGATGGATTAAAGACATAAATCTAAGACCCGAAACCATAAACATTCTAGAAAATAACATCAGAAAAATCCTTCTAGAAATTAGCTTGTGCAAAGACATCACGACCAAAACCCAAAAGCAAATGCAAACAAAAAATAAATAAATAAATAGATGGGACTTAAATAAACGAAAAATCTTCTGCACAACAAAAGAAATAATCAGCAGAGTAAACAGACAACCCACAGAGTGGGAGAAAATTTTCATAATGTATACTTCCAACAAAGGACTAATATTTAGAACCTACAAAGATCTCAAACATATCAACAAGAAAACAAAACAATCCCATCAAAAAGTGGGCTAAGGACATTAATAGGGAAGTCTCAAAAGAAGATATACAAATGGCCGAAAAGCATACGAAAAAAATGCTCAACGTCACTAATGATCAGAGAAATGTAAATCAACTCCACAATGCAATACCATCTCACTCCTGCAGGAATGGCCATAATCAAAAAATCAAAAAATAACAGAATTTGGCAAGGATGCAGTGAAAATGAAACACTTTTATATTGTTGGTGGGAATGTAAACTAGTAAACTCTTATGAAAAACAGTGAAGAGATTTATTAAAGAAGTAAAAGTGGATTTGCCATTTGATTCAACAATCCCACTACTAGGTATCTACCCAGAGAAAGGAAGTCATTATACAAAAAGATACTTGCACACACATGTTATAGCAGCACAATTTGCGATCGCAAAAATATGGAACATATATATATGTGTATATATACGTATGTTTATATATTATATATATGTGTATATATATGTGTATATATGTATATATGTGTGTGTATATATATATATATACTGCTAAATATGGAACCAAATATATATACATATGAATACTACTCAGCCATAAGAAGAAATAAAATAATGGCATTTGCAGCAACCTGGATGGAATTGGAGACTATTAGTCTAAGTGAAGTGACTATGAATGGAAAACCAAACACAGTTTGTTCTCCCTAATATGTGGGAGCTAAGCAATGAGAATGCAAAGGCATAAGAATAATACATTAATCTTTGGGTACCTGGGGTAAAGTTTGGGGGTGGCAAGAGTTAAAAGACTACACACTGGGTAGATTTTACACTGCTCAGGTGATGGGTGCACTAAAATCTCAGAAATCACCACTAAAGTACTTATTCTTGTAACCAAACATAACCTGTTTCCCCAAAATCTATTGAAATTAAAAAAAAAAAAACACAAATCTTTTTAAAAGACAATCCAGGAAAACATGTTCTCACCAAATGAACTAAATAAGTCACCAGGGAACAATCTTGGAGAAACAGAAATATGTGATCTCTCAAAAAAAAAAAAAAATCCAAAATAGCTGTGTTCAAGAAATGCAAAGAAGTTCAAGATAAAACACAGAAGGAATTTAGAATACTATCATGTAAATTTAACAAAAAAATTTAAATAATTAAAAATAAGCACAAATTCTGTAGTTTAAAAATGTAATTGGCTCACTGAAATAATAATTTGCACTGTGTCTTTTAATTGCATAATTGGCCAAGCAAGCAGAAGAAAAAAATATTAAGCTGGAAGAGAGGCTAACTGAAAATACACAGCAAAAAGAGATGAGGAAACAAAACCAAACAATGACGAAGCTAGCCTACGGGATTTAGAAAATAGCCTCAAAATAGCAAATATAAGAGTTATTGGCTTTAACGAGGAGGTAGAGGAAGTAATTGGGCTAGGAAGTTTACAATACGCAATGATAATAGAGAACTTCTCAAACCTAAAGAAAGATATCAATATACAAGTATAAGAAGGCTAGAGAACACTAAGCAGATTTAACCCAATGATGCTTACCTCAGGACATTTGGAAAGTAAACTCTCAAATATTAAGGATAAAAAAATCTAACAGAAGGAGAAAAGAAACAAATAAGACACAATGGAGCTCCAATAAGTCTAGCAGCTGACTGTTCAATGGAGACATTACAGGCTGGGAGAGAGTAGTATTACATATGTAAAGTGCTGAAAAAAAATTACCCTAGCATTGTAAGGTATATATATGCAGCAAAATTTTCTTTTAACATGAAGGAGAAAGAAAGACATTTCCAGACAAATAAAAAACATTAGAATATTTTTCAACACGAGACCTATTCTACAAAAAATGCTAAAGAGTGTACTTTAGTCAGAAAGAAAAGAACATTAATGAGTAATAATAAATCATCTGTAGGTACAAAACACACTGATGGCAGAAGATATTCCATGCAAACAGAAACCAGAAAAAGGAGTAGCTATACTTATATCAGACAAAACAGATTTCAAGATGAAAGCTATAAAAAGAGGCAAAAAAAGTTACCATATAGTAATAAGAGGGTCAATACAGAAAGAGTATATAAGAATTTTTAATATATATGCACCCAACAATGGAGCACCCAGATATATAAAGCAAATATTATTAGAGCTAAAGAGAGAGATAGACCTCACTACAATAATAGCTGGAAAATTCAAAACTGCACTTTCAGCATTGAACAGATCTTCCACACATAAAGTAAGAGCAAAAACACAGAAAATGGTAATAGTAAGTACACAGATAAACAGAATATTATAACACTGTAAATATAATGCATAAGCTACCCTTATCTTCAGTAGAAAGGGTAAATGATAAATCAATTAAAAATAATAATTATAGAAAATCTATAATTGTTTAAAATAGAAATAATGAAAAGTTAAAGAGCAAGGCAACAAAGTCAAGGCATAGAATCTTTATTAGTTTTTTGTTGCTTCCTTGTTTGTTTATGCAAACAATGTTAAGTTGTTGTCAGCTTAAAATATCAGGTTATGTGATGGTATTCTCAAGTCTCATGGTAACCTCAAACCAAAAAACATACAATAGATACACAAACAAATAAAAAGAAAGAAACTCAATTGCATCACCAGAGAAAATCACCTTCATGAGGCAGGTAGAAAAGAAAGTGGAATAGAAAATTACCAAGCAATCAGAAAACAACACAATGCCAGAAGTAAGTAATTACTTATCAATAATAATATTGAATGTAAATGAACTAAACACTCCAATCAAAACACATAGGGTGCTGAGTGCATTAAATACAACACCCATTGATCTGCTGCTTATAAGAAAAAAGCTTCACCTATAAAGATAAATTTATACTAAATTCCCTTTATTGGGAAGGAAAAATATAGTTCATGGCAATGGAAACCAAAAAGAGCAGGAGTAGCTATACTTATATTAGACAAAATAGATATCAAGACAAAAACTATAAGAAGAGACAAAGAGGGTCTCTATATAATGATAAACGGGTCAATGCAGCAAGAGGTTATAGCAATTTTGAATATACATGCACCTAAAAGTGGAACACCTAGTATATAAAGCACATATTATTACAACTAAAGAGAGAGATGGATCCTAATACAATACTAGCTGGAGGCTTCAACATCTCACTTTCAGCACTGGACAGATCTTCCACACAGAAAATCAACAAAGAAAAACATTGAACTAATCTGCACTGTAGACCAAGTAGATGTAATAGAACTTTACAGAATATTTAACCCAATGGCTGCATATTACAAATTCCTTTCTTCAGCGCATAGCTCACTCTCAAAGGCAGAGTTTATATTAGGGAACAAGCAAATCTTTTTTTTTTAAATTATACTTTAAGTTTTTAGATACATGTGCAGAATTTGCAGGTTTGTTACACAGGTATACATGGGCCATAATGGTTTGTTGCATCCATAAACCTGTCATCTACGTTAAGTATTTCTCCTAATGCTACCCCTACCCTAACCCCCAACCCCCTAACAGGTCCTGGTGTGTGGCGTTCCCCTCCCTGTGTCAATGTCTCATTGTTCAACTCCCACTTATGAGTGAGAACATGCAGAAGTTTTCTGTTCCCATGTCAGTTTGCTGAGAATGATGGTTTTCAGCTTCATCTATGTCCCTGCAAAGGACATAAACTCATCCATATTTACGGCTGCATAGTATTTCGTGGTATATATCTGCCACATTTTCTTTATCCGGTCTATCATTGATGGGCATTTCGGTTGGTTCCAAGTCTTGATATTGTGAATAGTGCTGCAATAAACGTAAGTGTGCCTGTGTCTTTACAAGAGAATGATTTACAATTCTTTGGGTATATACCCATAATGGGATTACTGGGTCAAATGGTATTTCTGGTTCTAGATCCTTGAGAAATTGCCACACTGTCTTCCACAATGGTTAAACTAATTTACACTCCCACCAACAGTGTAAAAGCATTCTTATTTCTCCACATCCTCTCCATCATCTGTTTTTTCCTGATTTTGTAACGATTGCCATTCTAAATGGCATGAGACGGTATATCATTGTGGTTTTGATTTGCATTTCTCTAATGAGTAGTGATGATGAGCTTTTTTCATATGTTTGTTGAATGCATAAATGTTTTCTTTTGAGAAGTGTCTGTTCATATCCTTCATCCACTTTTTATGGGGTTGTTTTCTTCGTGTAAATTTGTTTAAGTTTCTTGCGGATTCTGAATCTAAGCCCTTTGTCAGATGGACAGATTGCAGAGATTTTTCTCCCATTCTGTAGGTTGCCTGCTTACTCTGATTATATTTTCTTTTGCTGTGCAGAAGCTCTTTAGTTTACTTAGACTTCATTTGTCAATTTTGGCATTTGTTGCCATTGCTTTGGGATTTTAGTCATAAAGTCTTTGCCCATGTCTATGTCCTGACTAGTATTGGCTAGGTTTTCTTCTAGAGTTTTTATGGTTTTAGGTCTTATGTATAGGTCTTTAATCCATCTTAAGTTAATTTTTCTATAAGGTGTAAGGAAGGGGTCCAGTTTCAGTTTTCTGCATATGGCTAGCCAGTTTTTCCAACACCATTTATTAAATAGGGAATCCTTTCCCCATTACTTGTTTTTGTCAGGTTTGTCAAAGGTCAGATGGTTGTAGATGTGTGGCATTATTTCTGAGGCCATTGTTCTGTTCCGTTGGTCTATATATCTGTTTTGGTACCAGTACCATGCTCTTTTGGTTACATTAGCCTTGTAGTATAGTTTGAAGTCAGGTAGTGTGATGCCTCTAGCTTTGTTCTTTTTGCTTAGAATTGCCTTGGCTTTATGGGCTCTTTTTGGTTCCATATGAAATTTAAAGTAGTTTCTTCTAATTCTGTGAAGAAAGTCAATGGTCACTTGAAGGGGATAGCACTGATTCTATAAATTACTTTGGGCAGTATGGCCATTTTCACGATATTGATTCTTCCTATCCATAAGCATAGAAAATTTTTCTATTTTTTTGTGTCCTCTCTTATTTCCTTGAGCAGTGGTTTGTAGTTCTCCTTGAAGAGTTCCTTCACATCCTTTGTAAATTGTATTCCTAAATATTTTATTTTCTTTGTAGCAATTGGGAATGGGAGTTTAATAATTTGGCTCTGTGTTTATCTATTATTAAGGTATAGGAATGCTTGTGATTTTTGCACATTGATTATGTATCCTGAGACTTTGCTAAGGTTGCTTATCAGCTTAAGGAGTTTTTGGCCTGAGATGATGGGGTTTTCTAAATATACAATCATGTCATCTGCAAACAGAGACAATTTGACTTCCTCTCTTCCTATTTGAATACACTTTATTTCTTTCTCTTGCCTGATTGCCCTGGCAAGAACTTCCAAAACTATGTTGAATACGAGTGGTGAGAGAGGGCATCCTTGTCTTGTGCTGGATTTCAAAGGGAATTCTTTAGCTTTTGCCCATTCAGTATGATATTGGCTGTGGGTTTGTCACAAATAGCTCTTATTATTTTGAGATATGTCCCATCAACACCTAGTTTATTGATAGTTTTTAGCATGAAGGGGTTTTGAATTTTATTGAAGGCCTTTTCTGCATCTATTGAGATAATCATGTGGTTTTTGTCATTGGTTCTGTTTATGTGGTGGATTACGTTTATTGATTTTCATATGTTGAACCAGCCTTGCATCCCAGGGATGAAGCTGACTTGATTGTGGTGGACAAATTTTTGATATGCTGCTGGATTCAGTTTGCCAGATTTTATTGAGGAGTTTTGCATCACTGTTTCTCAGGGACATTGGCCTGAAATTTTCTGTTTGTTGTTGTTGTTGTTGTTGTTGTTGTTTGTGTGTGTGTGTGTGTGTGTGTGTGTGCGTGCGTGTGTCTGCCAGGTTTTGGTATCAGGATGATGCTGGCCTCACAAAATTAGTTAGTGAGGAGTCCCTCTTTTTATCTTGTTTGGAATAGTTTCAGAAGGAATGGTACCAGCTCTGCTTTGTATCTCTGGTAGAATTTGGCTGGGAATCCATCTGGTCCTGGGCTTTTTTTGGTTGGTAGTCTATTAATTACTGCCTCAATTTCAGAACTAGTTATTGGTCTATTCAGGGATTCAACTTCTTTCTGGTTTTGACTTAGGAGGGTGTATGTATCCAGGAATTTATTCATTTCTTCTAGGTTATCTAGTTTATTGAGTAGAGGTGTTTATAGTCTCCTCTGTTGGTAGTTTGTATTTCTGTGGGATCAGTTGTGATATCCTCTTTATCATTTTTATTGGGTCTATTTGATTCTTCTCTCTGTTCTTATTTGTGTGGCTATTGGTCTCTCTATTTTGTTAATCTTTTCAACAAACCAGCTCCTGGATTCATTGATTTTTTGAAAGGTTTTTCATGTCTCTATCTCCTTCAGTTTGGCTCAGATGACACTTATTTCTTGTCTTCTGCAAGCTTTTGAATTTGTTTGCTCTTGCTTCCCTAGTTCGTTTAATGGTGATGTGAGGGCATCGAATTTAGATCTTTCCTACTTTCTCCTGTGGGCATTTAGGGCTATAAGTTTTTCTCTAAACACTGCTTTAGCTGTGTCCCAGAGAATCTGGTACATTGTGTCTTTTTTCTCACTGGTTTCAAAGGACTTATTTATTTCTGTCTTAATTTCATATTTACCCTGTAGTCATTCAGGAGCAGGTTGTTCAATTTCCATGTAGCTGTGCAGTTTTGATTGAGTTTCTTAATCCTGGGTTCTAATTTCATTGTACTGTGGTCTGAGAGACTGTTTGTTAGGATTTTCATTATTTTGCATTTGCTGAGAAGTGTTTTACTTTCAATTATGTCAGTTTTAGAATAAGTGAGATGTGGTGCTGAGAAGTATGTATACTGTGTTGAGTTGTGGTGGAGAGTTCTGTAGTTGTCTATTAGGTCCGCTTTGTCCAGAGGTGGGTTCAAGTCCTGAATATGCTTGTTAATTTTTTGCCTCATTGATCTAATATAGACAGTGGGGTGGTAACGACCCCCATTATTATTGTGTGGGAGTCTACATCTCTTTGTAGGTCTCTAAAAACTTGCTGTATGAATCTAGGTGCTCCTGTATTGGGTGCATATATATTTAGGATAGTTAGCTCTTCTTGTTGCATTGATCCCTTTATCATTATGTCATACAATTCTTTGTCTTTCTTGATCTTTGTAGGTTTAAAGTCTGTTTTATCAGAAACTAGGATTGCAACCCCTGCAATTTTTTTCTTTCCATTTGCTTGGTAAATATTTCTCCATCCATTTATTTTGAACCTATGTGTGTCTTTGCACATGAGATCAGTCTCCTGAATACAGCACATCAATGGGTCTTGATTTTTTATCCAATTTACCAGTCTGTGTCTTTTAATTGAGGCATTTAGCCCATTTACATTTAAGGTTAATATTTTATTGTGAATTTGATCTTATTATGATGCTACCTGGTTATTTTGCCCATTAGTTGATGGAGTTTCTTCAAAGTATTGATGGTCTTTTCAATTTGGTATGTTTTTGCAGTTGCTGGTACCAGTTTTTCCTTTCCATATTTAGTGCTTCCTTCAGGAGCTCTTATAAGGCAGGCCTGGTGGTGACAAAATCTCTCAGCATTTGCTTGTCTGGAAAGGATGCTATTTCTCCTTCACTTATTAAGCTTATTTGGCTGGATATGAAATTCTGGATTGAAAATTCTTTCTTTAAGAATGTTGAATATTGGTCCCCACTCTCTTCTGGCTTGTAGGGTTTCTGAAGAGAGATCCACTGTTAGTCTGATTGGCTTCCCTTTGTGGGTAACCTGACCATTCTCTCTGGCTGGCCTTAACATTGTTTCCTTCATTTCAACAATGGTGAATCTGATGATTGTGTATCATGAGGTTGCTCTTCTCTAGGAGTATCTTTGTAGTGTTCTCTGTATTTCCTGAATTTGAATGTTGACCTGTCTTACTAGGTTGGGGAAGTTCTCCTGGATAATATCCTGAAGAGTGTTTTTCAACTTGGTTCTAATCTCCCCATCACTTTCAGATACTCCAATTAAATGTAGGTTTGGTCTTTCACATAGTTACATATTTCTTGGAGGCTTTGTTTGTTCCTTTTCATTATTTTTTCTCTAATCTTGTCTTCATGCTTTATTTTATTAAGTTGATCTTCAATTTCACATATTCTTTCTTTCACTTGATCAGTTTGGCTATGGATACTTGTGTATGCTACCTTCTCTAAACTGGTTATTCTAGTTAGTAATTCCTCTAACCTTTTTTCAAGAGTCTTAGCTTCCTTGCTTTGGGTTAGGACACGTTCCTTTAGCTTGGAAGAGTTTGTTTTTACCCAGCTACTGAAGCCTACCTCTGTCAACTCATCAAACTCATTCTCTGCCTAATTTTGTTCCTTTGCTGGTGAGTATTTGTGATCCTTTGGAGGAGAAGAGGCATTCTTGTTATTTGAATTTTTAGCCTTTTTGAGCTGGTTTTTCCTTATCTTCGTGGATTTATCTACCTTTGATCTTTGATATTGGTGACCTTCGGAAATGGTTTATGTGTGGACATCCTTTTTGTTGATGATGTTGCTATTCTTTTCTGTTTGTTAGTTTTATTTCTAACAGTCAGGCCCCTCTGATGCAGGTCTGCTGGAGTTTGCTGGAGGTCCACTCCAGACCCTGTTTGCCTGGGTATTACCAGTGGAGGCTGCAGAACAGCAAAAAATGCTGCCTGTTCCTTCCTCTGGAAGCTTCATCCCAGAGGGGCACCCACTAGGTGCCAGCCAGAGCTCTCCTGTATGAGGTGTCTGTTGACCTGTGCTGGGAGTTGTCTCCCAGTCAGAAGACGTGGGGGTCAGGGACCCACTTGAGGAGGCACTCTGTCCCTTAGCAGAGCTTGAATCCTGTGCTGGGAGATGTGCTGCTCCCTCCAGAGCCAGCAGGCAAGAACATTTAGTCTTCTGAAGCTGCACCCACAGCCATTCATTCCCCCAAGTGTTCTGTCTCAGGGAGAAGGGAGTTTTATCTATAAGCCCCTTACTGTGGCTGCTGCCTTTCTTTTAGAGATGCCCTGCTGAGAGAGGAGGAACCTAGAGAGGCTGTCTAGCTACAGCAGGTTTGCCAAGCTGCAGTGCACTTTGCCCAGTTAGAACTTCTGGGTAGCTTTGTTTACACTTTGAGGGAAAAACTGCCTACTCAAACTTCAGTAATGGCGGATGCCCCTCCCTCCACCAAGCTTGAGTGTCCCAGGTCGACTTCAGACTGCTTTGCGTGCAGCAAGAATTTCATGCCAGTGGATCTTAGCTTGCTGGGCTCTGTGGGGAGGGGAGTCTGCTGAGCTAGACCACTTGGCTCCCTGGCTTCAGCCCCCTTTCCCAGGCAGCAAACAGTTCTGTCTTGCTGGCATTCAAGGCGCCACTGGGTTAAGAAAAAAAAAAAAAAATCCTGCAGCTAGCCTGGTGTCAGCCCAAATGGCTGCCCAGCTTTATGCTTGAAATCCAGGGCTCTGGTGGTGTAGGCACCTGAGGAAATTTCCTTGTCAGTGGGTTGAGAAAATCATGGGAAAAGCATTGTATCTGGGATGGAATGCACCATTTCTCATGACATAGTTCCTCATGGCTTCCCTTGGCTAGGGGAGGGACTTCCCTGACCCCTTGTGTTTCCCAGGTGAGGTGAATTCCCACCCTGCTTTGGCTCACCCTCCATGGGCTGCACCCACTATCTAACCAGTTGCATTGAGATGAGCCAGGTACCTCAGTTGGAAATGCAGAAAGCACCCACCTTCTGCACTGATCTTCCTGGGAGCTGCTGATCAGAGCTGTTCTTATTCAGCCATCTTGCCAGCCCAGATCCAAAGCAAGTCTTAAAACATTCAAATTAAAATAATATGAAGAATCTCCTCTGACCACAATAATATAATGCTAGAAATTAAGGATAATTTTGGAAACTATGCAAATACGTAGAAATTAAATAATATACTCCAGAATGACCAGTGGAATGATAAATAATTTTTAAAAAATTGAGAAATTTTATGAAACACTTGATAGTGAAAACACAACAACGGAATATAGCAAAAGCAGTACTAAGAGGAAAATGTATATTTACATCAAATAAAAACTTCAAATAAACCACCTATTTATGCATCTAAAGAACAAGAAGAGTAACAGCAAACCAAATCCATAATTAGTAGAAGAGAAAATATAGTGAAGATCAGAGCATAAAAAATGAAATGGAAACAAACAAAACAATACACAACATCAATGAAACAAAAAGTTTGTTGTTTTAAAAGCTAAACAAAATAGACTAAACATTAGCCAGACTAACTACAAAGAAGATCCAAATAAATAAAATCAGAGTTGACAAAAGATACATTAGAATTGATACTGCAGAAATTCAAAGAGTTATCACTGGCTACTACAAGCAACTATATACTAATAAATTAGAAACTCTGGGGGTAATGGATAAATTCTTAGACAGATGCAACTTATCAAGATTAAACCATGAAAAAAAAATCTAAAATCTAAACAGAGCAATAAGAGGTAATGAGATTGAAGACATAATAAAAACTTTCCAAATAAATAAAAGCCCAGAACCCAATGGCTTCACTGAAGAATTCTACCAAACATTTAAAGATAAACAAACACTAATTCTTCTCAAACTATTCCAAAAAGTACAGGAGGAGGAAATACACTCAAGGCCATTCTATAAAGCCAGTATTATCCTGATACCAAAGAAAAAGACATATCAAAATATGTATACACTAGACAAAGACATATCAAATAAAAAGAAATCTCCAGGCCAATATCTCTGACAAATATTGACAGAAAAATTCTAACAAAATACTAGCAAACAGAATTCAACAATACATTAGAAAGATCATTCATCATGATCAAATAGGGTTTATCCCTGAGATGCAAGTATGGTTCAGCATATGCAAATGAATCAATGATACACCTTATATCAACAGAAAAAATGAGAAAAACCATATAATAATTTCCAATATTGCTGAAAAAGAATTTTATAAAATCTAACATCCCTTCATGATAAAAACCCTTAAAAAATTGGTATAGAAGGAATATACCTCAATGTAATAAAAGCCATATATGACAGTTCAACAGCTTGTATCACACTGAATTTTAAAAAAACAAATTTTTTCCTCTAAGATCTGGAACAAGACAAAAATACCCACTTTCACAACTGTTATTCAACATAGCCCTGGGAATTCTAGCTACAGCAATCAAACAAAGAAAAAAATAATCATCATCTAATTTGGAAAGCAAGATGTCAAATTATCCTTGTTTGCTGATGATATAATCTTATATTTGGAAAATTTGAAATATTATGCCAAAAAACTATTAGAACTAAAAAAAAAAGTTAAATAGAGTTGCGAGACACAAAATCAACATACGACAATGAGTAGCATTCTGGATGTTAACAGTGAACAAACTGAAGAAAAAAATTTTAAATAGTCCTATTTACAATAGCCACAAATAAATTTAAATACTTAGGAATTAACTTAAGTAAAAAAGTCAAAGATTGTTGTAATAAAAACTATAAAACACTGATGAAAGAAATAAAAGAACGCACCCCAAAGTGGAAAGATATTTTATGTTCACTGATTAGCAGAATCAATAATGTTAAAATGTCCATACTACCTAAAGCAATTTACAGATTCGGTGCAATCCCTATCAAAATACCAATTACCTTTTTCAGGAAAATAGAAAAAAGCAATCCTAAAATGTATATGGAACCACAAAAGATCCAAAATAACCAAAGCTATCCTAAGCAGAAAGAACAAAACTGAAGGAATCATATTACCTGACTTCAAATTATGCTACACAGCTATAGTAACCAAAACAGCATGGCACTGACATAAAAACAGACATATAGGCCAATAGAACAGACTGTTTTCCATTTGTATATCTTCTTTAGAAAAATGTCTATTTAAATATTTTGCCCATTTTAATTGCATAATTATAATTTTTCCTATACAGTTGTTTGAACTTTATACATATTCTGATTATTAAACCCTTGTCAGATGGGTAGTTTGAAGATATTTTCTCTCATACTGTGAGTTGTTTCTTCACTTTGTTTGTTTCCTTTGCTGTGCAGATTTTTAACTTGATGTGTTCTATATTTTTTTTTATTTTTGCTTGCAGTGCCTGTGTTTGTGGGATATTACTCAAAATATCATTTCCAAGACTGATGATGCTCTGGAGAGTTTCTACAATGTTTTATTATACTAGTTTTATAGATTGAGGTTTTACATTTAAGTAGTTAATAATTTTTATTTGATTTTTGTATATAATGAGATATAAGGTCTAGTTTTATTCTTCTACATATGGATATTGGCTTTTCCCAGCATCACTCATTGAAGAAAAGTTGCTCAACATAATTGATCATCAGAGAAATGCAAATCAACACTGCAATGAGATATCATCTCATCCCAGATAAAATGGCTTATATCCGAAAGACAGGAAATAACAAATGCTGTTGTGGAGAAAATGGAAAGTTCATATACTGTTGGTTGGAATGTAAGTTAGTACAACCACTATAAAGAACAGTTTAGAGGTTCCTCAAAAAACTAAAAGTAGAGACATTATAGAATCCAGCAACCCAACTCCTGGGTATATAACTGAAAGAAAATCAATATATCTAAGATGTATCTGCACTCTTATTTTTGTTTCACCTCTGTTTACAATAATCAAGTTCTGAAAGCAACCTAAGTGTTCATCAACAGGTAAATAGATAAAGAACATGTGGAGAAAAAAAATGGTGGTTCAGTGGTAGGACTAACTTGCAGCTCCCACTTAGATGAAAAGAGTAGCATGTGGAAACTCACATCGTAAACTTTTGCTTCAGGAACTACTACAAGAACATACCAAGAAAGCCAATAGAATCCACAGACTTTTTGAAGGAGGTGGATTGCCACTGCAGGCTACATGGGACAGCTGAGGAACTGTGAGTCTGCTTGCTTTCTGAGTTGGGAGGCTTGAAACCTGAAGCGAGGTCTCAGCTCTGCTCCCTGGCTGCCTGGAAATAAATTCGGTGCTGTTGGGGGAGGCATGGTGTGAGATTGGCTTTTGGGGCTGTGGGCTGTGTAGTAGCTGGGTTTCTACCACTTCCTTGGTGACCTGTGTGACCCAGCAGAGGCAGCCATAATCTTCCTGGGAACATAACTCAATTGGTCTGGGAACCACAACTACACTCCCCACCAGCAGCCACAGAAAGCCCTGCCAAAGGAGAATCTGAGCTCAGACACACCTAACTTTTGATAGTCTTTACTCAACCTGATAGCCAAAGACAAAGGGACATAATCTCCTGGGATATCCATGGCTCTACACACTGCCTGACCCTAGGGCAAACTTGTATCTTCCTTATACTACTGCAGCTAATGTGCTCTTGAAAGCACCACCTCCTAGCTGGAGGCCAAGCAACACAAAACCCTTGCAATTAACAAAAATACAACCAAGGACCATCACAAAGTCCACTTCACTCTCCTGCTACCTTTAGTGATACAATTGCTGGTATCCATGGCTGAGAGACCTGAAGATGAATCACATCACAGGACTCTTTACAGACACTCCCCAGTATCATCCTGGAGCCTGGTAGCTCCTCTGAGAGCCTAGATCCAGAAGAGAAATAACCATCACTGAAGTTCGACTCTCAGGAAACCCCATCCCTAGGGGAAAGGGAAGAATACCACATCAAGTAAACAGTCCATGAGACAAAGGAATCTGAACAGCAACCCTTGAGTGCCAGATCTTCCTTCTGACATAGTCTATTCAAATAAAAAGGAACCAGAAACACAATTCTGGTAATATGACAAAACAAGGTCTTTAACACCGCTAAAATATTACACTAGCTCACTAACATAAGATCCAAACCAAAAAGAAATACCTGAATTGCCAGAAAACAAATTGAGAAGGTGGATTATTAAGCTAATCAAGGAGGCACCAGATAACAGTGAAGTCCAAATTAAAGAAACAAAAAAACACAGGATGCAAATGGAAAAATCTCAAGTAAAATTGACAGCATAAATAAAAAACAATCACAACTTCTGAAATGAATGAAACATTTAGAGAAATGCAAAATACACTGGGCAGTCTCAACAATAGAATCAAACAGGTAAAAGAAAGAACTTCAGAGCTCAAAGACAACACATTCAAATTAGCCCAATCTGACAAAGCGTTGGGAGAAAAGAATTACAAAATTGAAAAAAGCCTCAAAGAAGTTTGGGATTACGTTAAACAACCAAACATAAGAACATTTCACGTTCCTGAGAAAGAAAAGAAATCTAAGAGTTTGAAAAATACATTTGAGGGAATAATCAAGGAAAACTTCCCCAGCCTTGCTAGAGATCTAGACATCCAAATACAAGAAGTTCAAAGAACACTCGGGAAATTCTGTGCAAAAAGATCATCACCTTGGCACATTGTTATCAGGTTATCTAAAGTCAAGACAAAGGAAAAAGTCTTAAGAGATGTGAGGCAAAACATCAGGTAACCTACAAAGGAAATCTATCAGATTAACAGCAGATTTCTCAGCAGAAACTCTACAAGCTAGAAGGGATTAAATTCCTATACTTAGCCTTCTTAAAAAAAAAAAACAATTATCAGCCAACAAAAGTTTTATATCCAGTGAAATTAAGCTTCATAAATAAAAAAGTGATATTTTGTGAAAAAATAAATGATGAGAGAATTCATCTCTACAAAGCCAGCACTACAAGAACTGTTAAAATGAACTCGAAATCTGGAAAAATATCCTGAAAATACTCCAAAATGGAATCTCCTTAAAGCATAAATCTCACAGGACCTATATAACAATAACACAATAAAAATCAAGGTATTCAGGCAACAAATAGTGCAATGAATAGAATAGTACCTCATATCTTAATACTAAAATTAAATGTAAATGGCCTAAATGTTCCACTTAAAAGATACGAAATAGCAGAATAGAAAATAATTCACCAACCAAATATCTGCTGTTTTCAAGAGACTCACCTGACACATAAGGACTCACAGAAACTTAAGGTAAAGGGACAGAAAAAAGATGCTCTATGCAAATAAACACCAAAAGCAAGCAGGAATAGCTCTTCTTCCATCAGACAAAACAAACTTTAAAGCTACAGCAGTTAAAAAAAGACAAAGAGGGACACTATATAATGATAAAAGGTCTTGTTTAAAATGAAAGTATCACGATCCTAAATACATATGCACCTAGCAATGGAGCTTCCAAATTTATAAAACCATTACTACTAGACCTAAAAAATGAGATAGCAACACAATAGTGGGGGATGTCAATACTCCACTGACAGCACTAGACAGGTCATCAAGACAGAAATTCAATGAAGAAACAATGAACTTAATGTATGCCCTAGAACAAATGGACTTACTAGATATTTACAGAACATTCTACCCAACAAATACAGAATAAACATTCTATTCCTCAGCACACAGAACATTCTCCAAGATAGACCATATGATAGGCCACAAAACTAGTCTCAACAAATCTAAGAAAATTAAAATTATACTAAGTACTCTTTTAGACCACAGTTGAATAAAATTGGAAATCTACTCTAAAAGAAGCCCTCAAAATCTTGCAAATACATGGAAATTAAATAACCACCTACATAATGATAATTGGGTCAACAATGAAATCTTGATAGAAATTTAAAAATTATTTGAACTGAATGATGATAGTGACATAACCTATCTAAACCTCTTGGATACAGCAAAAGCTGATGCTAAGAGGAAAGTTCAAAGCATTAAATGCCTACATCAAAAAGTCTGAAAGAACACAAATAGACAATCTAAGGTCACACCTCATGGAACTAAAGAAACAAGAGGAAACCAAACCCAAACCCAGCAGAAGAAAGGAAATAACAAAGATCAAACCAGAACTAAATGAAATGAAAACAAAACAAAACAAAAACACAAAAGATAAATGAAACAAAAAGCTGGTTCTTTGAAAAGATAAATAGAATTGATAAAACACTAGTAAGATTAACCAAGAAAATAAGAGAAAATATCTAAATAAGCTCAATTAGAAATAAAATAGAAGGTATTACAACTGATATCATAGAAATACTAATTACCATTCAAGGCCACTATAACACCTTTACACACACAAACTAGAATACCTAGAAAAGAATAATAAATTCCTGAAAATAAATAACTCTCCTAGATTAAACCAGGAAGATATAGAAACTCTGAACAGACCAATAACAAGCAGCAAGATTAAAGTGGTAATTAATGTTAGCAATAAAAAAAAAAGCCCAGGATCAGATGAATTCACAACTGAATCTATCAGACATTCAAGGAAGAATTGATGGCAATTCTAATGACATTATTTTAAAAAATAGAGAAAGAGAAAATCCTCTCTAAATCATTCTATGAAGCCAGCATCACTCTACCACCCAAACCAGGAAAGGATATAACAAAAAAAGGCAACTACAGACTTATATCCCTGATGATCATAGATGCAAAAATCCTCAACAAAATACTAATGTGCCAAATACAACAGCATATCAAAAGGATAACTGACCATGATCAAGTGGGTTTCATTCAAGTTATGCAGGGATGGTTTAACATATGCAAGTCAATAAATGTGATACACTACGTAAATATAATTAACAACAATAATCACATGATCACCTCAATAGATGCAGAAAAAGCATTTGACAAAACCCAGAATCCCTTTATGATTAAAACCCACAGTAAAATTGGCATAGAAGGCACATACCTTAAAGTAATACAAGCCATCTATGACAAACCCACAGTCAACATTATACTGAATAGGGAAAAGTTGGAAGCATTCCTCCTGAGAAATGGAGCATGACAAGATGCCCACTTTCACCACTTATATTCAACATAGTACTGGAATTCCTAGCCAGAGCAATCAGACTAGAGAAAGAAATAAAGTCATCCAAACTGGTAAAGAGGAAGTCAAACTGTCACTGTTTGCTGATAACAATTGTATACCTAGAAAACCCTAAAGACTCATTCAAAAAGCTCCTAGAACTGGTAAATGAATTCAGGAAAGTCTCAGGATAAAAATGTAATGTACACAAATCAGTAGCTCTTCTATACACCAACAGTGACCAAGCTGAGCATCAAGAACTCAACCCCTTTTACAATAGCTGCAAAAGAGTAAAATACTTGCACATATACCTAATGAAGGAGGTAAAGGACCTCTATAAAGAAAACTAAAAAACACTGCTGAAAGAAATCATAGATGACACAAACGAATGGAAACACATCTTATACTCATGGATGGGTAGAATCAACATTTTGAAAATAACCACACTACCAAAAGCAATCTACAAATTCTATGCAATTCTCATCAAAATACCACCATCATTCTTCACAGAACTAGAAAAAAAAATCCTAAAATTCATAGGAAACCAAAAAAGACCCTTCACGGCCAAAGCAACACTAAGCATAAGGAACAAATCCGGAGGCATCACATTATCTGACTTCAAACTATACTATAAGGCCCTAGTCACCAAAACAGCATGGGACTGGTATAAAAATAGGCATATATACCAATGGAACAGAATTGAGGATTCAGAAGTAAACCAAAATACTTATAGCCAACTGACCTTCAACAAAGCAAACAAAAACATAAAGTGGGGAAAGGACACCCTATTAAACAAATTGTGCTGAGATAATTGACAAGCCACATATAGAAGAATGAAACTGGATCCTCATCCCCCACCTTATACAAAAATCAACTCAAGATGGATCAAAGACTTAAATCTAAGACCCAAGACCATAAAGATCCTAGAATATAACATCAGAAAAACCCTTCTAGATGTTGGATTTGGCAAAGACTTTATGACCAAGAACCCGAAAGCAATACAATAAAAACAAAGATAAATAGATGGGACTTAATTTAACAAAAAAGCTTCTGCACAACAACAAAAAAAGTAATAATAATCATCATCATCATCAGCAGCAGCAGAGTAAACAGACAACCCACAGAGTTGGAGAAAATCTTCACAATCTACCGTTCTGACAAAGGACTAATATCTGACTAATATCTGACAAAGGACCAGAATCTACAAGGAATCCAAACAAATCATCAAGAAAATAATAATAATAATAATCCGATCAAAAAGTGAGCAAACGACATGAATAGAAAATTCTCAAAAGAAGATAAACAAATGGGCCACAAACATATGAAAAAGTGCTCAACGTTACTAATTATCACGGAAATGCAAATCAAACCCACAATGCGATACCATCTCACTCCTGCAAAAATGGCAATAATCAAAAAATCAAAAAATAATAGATTTCACCATAGATATAGTGAAAAAGGAATACTTTTACAACGTTTGTGGAAATGTAAACTAGCACAACCATTATGGAAAACTGTGGAGATTCCTTAAAGAAATAAACTAGAACTACCATTTGATCCAGCAATCTCGCTCCTGTGTATCTACCCATAAGAAAAGTCATTTCAGAAAAAAGATACTTGCACACACGTTATAGCAGCACAATTTGCAATTGCAAAAATATGGAACCAGCCCAAATGCCCATCAGTCAATGAGTGGATAAAGAAAATATCACACACACACACACACACACACACACACACACACACACACAGTGGAATACCACTCAGCCATAAAAAGGAACAAAAAATGGCATTCACAGAAACCTGGATGGAATTGGATACCAGTATGCTAAGTGAAATAACTCAGTAGTGGAAAACCAAAGAGTGTATGTTCTCACTCATAAGTGAGAGCTAAGCTATGTGGATGCAAATATGAATGATACAATAGACTTTGGGGACTCAGGGGAAAGGATGGGAAGGGGTGAGGAATAAAAGACTATACATTGGATACAGCTTGAGTGATAGGTGCACAAAAATCTCAGAAATCACCAATAAAGTGTTTATTCATGTAAAAAATCAACACTTAAATAAAACTATTGCATCATTCTTTAAAAAACAAAAAAAAGGCGGGGGGCACATATACACCCTAGAGTTCTATTCAGTCATAAAAAATGAGATTCTGTCATTTGCAACAACATGGTTGAAACCGTAAGTTACTATGTTAAGTAAAATAAGCCAGGTACTAAAAGACAAACATTGCCTGTTTTCACTTATTTGTGGGGTCTAAAAATCAGCACAATTGAACCCATGGAGATCAGGGAGTAGAAGGGTGGCTACCAGATACTATGAAGGGTATCAGGGAGCTACTGGGAATGTGGGATAGTTAATGGATACACAAAATAGTTAGAATGAATAAATAAGGCCTGCTGTTGACAGAACAATAGGTCCAGTATAGTCAGAAATAATTTAATTGTACATTTAAAAATAACTATAGGAGTATAATTGGATTGTTTGTTACACAAAAAATAAGTGCTTGATTGGATGGCCTCACTATCTTCCATAATGTAATTACTATGCATTGCATGCCTGTATCAAAACATCTCATATACCCAAAAATATATAGACCTACTACGAACCTGTAAAAAATAAAAATAAAACAATATATACTTGCCAAAAGTTGACTTCAGTACATGATTTTTAAAACTCTGAAATAAATAGGTATAAAAATAACTCAACATAATAAATAGCGTATATAAAAATCCCATAGCTTACATCATACTCAGTGATAAAAATCTGAAAGCTTTTCTGCTAAGATCAAAAGGAAAAAGTGAAATTATCTCTGTTTGCAGATGACATAACCTCAGATGTATGAAACCCTAAAGACTCCACCAAAACACTTTCAGAATTAATAAATGCATTCAGTAAAGTTGCAGGATATAAAATTAGCATCCAAATTCTGTTGAACTTATTTTACCTGTTTTATAATTTCAGCTTTCATGTTAGATTCAGGGGGTACATGTGCAGGTGTGTTATATGGGTACACAGTGTGATGCTAATGTTTGGGATACAAATAATCCTGTCACACAGAGAGTGAACATAGTACTAGAAGCTAGTTTTTAAACCCTTACCCTTCCCTCCCTCCTTCTTCTAGTAGTCCCCAGTGTTTGTTGTTGTCACCTTTTCATCCATGGGTACCCAAAATTTAGCTCTTGCTTACAAGTGAGAACATGTAGTATTTGCCTTTTTGTTCTGAGGTTAATTTGCTTAGAATAATGGTCTCCTGCATCCATGTTGTGGCAAAAGATATGATGTCATTCCTCTTTATGGCTGTGTAGTATTCCATGGTGTATATATACCACATTTTTAAAAATCCACTCCACCATCGATGAGCACCTACATTGATCCCTTATCTTTTCTATTGTGAATAATGCTGTGACAAACATGAGTGCATAGCTTTTTTTTAGTAATTTTTTTCAGGATATATACCCAGTAATGAGATTGCTGAGTAAAATGGTAGTTTTGTTTTAAGTTCTTTGATAAATCCCCAAACTTCTTTCCACAGTGGCTGAACTAATTTACATTCCCACTAACAGTATATAAGCATTCCCTCTTCTTTGCAGCCTCACCAGCATCTGTTGTTTTTTGACTTTTTAATAATAGCGATTCTTGGCCAGACATGGTGGGTCATGCCTGTAATCCCAGCACTTTGGGAGGTTGAGGCTGGTGGATCATTTGAGGGCAAGAGTTTGAGATGAGCCTGGCCAACATAGCGAAACTCTGTCTCTACTAAAAATACAAAAAAATTAGTTGTGTGTGGTGGCATGCACCTGTAATCCCAGACACTCAGGAGGCTGAGGCATGTTAATTGATTGAACCTGGGAGGCAGATGCTGCAGTGAGCCAAGATAGTGCCACTACACTCCAGCCTGGGTGACAGAGTGAGACTCTGTCTCAAATACTAAAATAATAAGTAATAATAATAATAGCGATTTTGACAGATGATGTTAGATGGTGTCTCATTGTGGTTTTGATTTGCATTTTCCTAATGATTAGTGATTTAGAACTTTTTTCATATGATTGCTGGATGCTTGTAGGACTTCTTTTGAGTAGTGTCCATGCCTTTTGACCATTTTTATTAGGATTAATTGGTTCTTATTGTTTAATTGTTTAAGGTCTTTCTAGATTCTGGATAATAGACCTTTGTTGGATACATAATTTATGAATAGTTTCTGGTACTGTGTAGATTGCCTGTTTACTCTGTTGAGAGTTTCTTTTGATGTTCAAATGTTTTTTAGTTTAATTAGGTCCCACTTGTCAATTTTTGTTTCATTGCAATTGCTTTCGGGGACTTACAAACTATTTGCTAAGTCCAGTGTCAAGAATGGTATTTCCCAAGTTGTCTTGTAGGATGTTTGCAGTTTGAGGTCTTACCTTGAAATCTTTAATCAATTTTCAGTTAATTTTGTGTATACTGAAAGGTAAGGGTCCAGTTTCGTTCTCCTGTCTATAGCATAGCAGTCATCTCAGCACTGTTTATTGAATAGGAAGTCCTTCACCCATTGTTTTTGTCAGCCTTCTTGATGGTTAGATGGCTGGAGGTGTACAGCTTTATTTCTGTGTTTTCTATTATCTTCCATTGGTCTATGTGTCTGTTTCTGTGCAAGTACCACGTTGTTTTGATTACCACAGCCTTATAGTATAGTTGTAAGTTGGGTAGTGTAATGTCTCAAGGTTTGTTCTTTTTGCTTAGAATTGTTTTGGTTATCCAGTCTCCTTTTTGGTTCCACATAAATTTTAGAATAAATTTTTCTAAATCTTTGAAGAACAACAATGGTATTTGGGTAAGAATAGCATTAGATATGTAGATTGGTTTAGGCAGTATGGCCTTTTAAGAATATTGACTCTTTCAATCCATTAGCATAATTTTTTTTCATTTATTTCTGTTGTTGCTGATTTCTTTCAGCAGTGTTTTGTAATTCTTTTTGTAGAAATCTTTCACCTTCTTGGTTAGCTATTTTTATAGTTATTTCTTTTTTTGTTGCTATTATAAATAAAATTGTTTTGTGGATTTGACTGTCAAACTGGATAATACTGGTGCATAGAAATGCTACTAATTTTTGAATATTAATTTTGTTTTGTGAAACCCTACTAAAATTGTTTACCAACTCCAGTAGCCTTTTGGCAGAGTCTTTTGGGTGTTCTAGGGATGGAATTATCTCACCAATGAAGAGAGAGAGCTTGACTTTTTTTTTTTTCCTATTCGGGTGCCTTTTATTTTTTGTTCTTGCCTGATTGCTCTGGCTGGGGCTGCCAGTACCATGTTAAATAGGAGTGGTGATAGTGGGCTTGTTTCAGTCTTGATACAGTTCTGAAAGGTAATGACTCTAGCTTTTGCCCTTTCAGTAGGATGTTGGCTGTGGGTTTGTCATAAATGACTCTTATTGTTATGAGGTATGTTCCTTCAATGCCTAGTTTGTTGAAGGTTTTTATCATGAAGAGATGTTAGGTATTATCAAAGGATTTTTGAGATGATCACATAGTTTTTGTTTTTAACTTTGTTTCTGTGATAAATCACATTTATTGACTTGCATATCTTGAACCAACATTGCATCCTAGGAATAAAGACTATTTAATTATAGTGAATTAACTTTTTCATGTGCCACTCGTTTCACTTTGCTAGTATTTGTTGAGGATTTTTGCATATATATTAATCATGAATGTTGGCTTGTAGTTTACTTTTTCATGTGTGTTTGTCAGACTTTCGTATTAGGATGATGCTGGTTTTGTAGAATGAGTTAAGGAAGAGTCCCTCTGCCTAAATTTTTAAAAATAGTTTAAGTAGAGTTGGTATCAACACTTTTTGTACATCTGGTAGAATTTAACTATGAATCCATGTGGTCCACAGCTTTTTTGGTTGGTATTTATGCCAGATTCAATTTTGGAACATGTTATCAGTCTGTTCAGGGTTTCAATTTCTTCCTGATCCTATATTAGTAGGCTGTGTGTTTCCAGACATTTATCCATTTTATCTAAATTTTCTAGTTTCTGTGCATAGAGGTGTTCATCATAGTTTCTGAAGACCTTTTGTATTTCTGTGGGATCAGTTATAATGTCACCTTTGTCATCTGATTGGGCTTATTTGGATCTTCTCTGTTTGGTTTCATTGATCATTTTTATAAATTTTTATGTCTCAATTTCATTCCACTCTGCTCTGATTTCAGTTGTTTATTTTATTCTGCTAGCTTTGGGGTTAGTTTGCTCTTTCTTTCTAGTTCTTCTAGGTGCAACGTTAAACTGTCAATTTGTGACTTTTCTAACTTCTTTATGTAGGCATTTGGTGCTACAAACTTTGATCTAAACACTGCTTTTGTTGCAAGAGATTTTTTGTTGTATCTCTGTTTTAATTTATTTCAAAGAATTTGTTGACTTCTGCCTTAATTTTCTTGTTTACCCCCAAAGTCATTTGGGAACAAGTATTTCAGTTTCCAATTAATTTTGTGGTTTTTGAGAGATCTTCTTGGTATTTATTTATATTTTTATTCCATTGTGGTCTGAGATTATGCTAGGTATGACTTTTTAAAAAATTTATTGAGACTTGCTTAATGGCTGAGCATGGGATCAATCTTGGAGTACATTCTATGAGCAGATGAGAAGAATGTATATTCTGTGAATGATGGGTGAAATATATATATTAGTTCCCATTTGCCAAGTGTCTAATTTAAGTGCAGACTTTCTTTGTCAGTTTTCTGCCTTGATAATCAACCTAATATTCTCAGTATGGTGTTGATGTCCCCCACTATTATTCTGTGGCTGTCTAAGTCTTTTTCTAGTTCTAGACATACATGTTTTATTAAACTGGGTGCTCTAATGTTGGGTGTATGTATACTTAGAATAGTTAAGTCTTGTTGAATTGAGCCATTTATCACTACGTAATGCTCTTATTTGTCCTTTTTTTAACTGTTTTTGTTTAAAGTCTGTTTTATTTGATATAAAAATAGTGATCCCTGCTTTTTTTTTAAAGCTCTTTCTCCACCCCTTTACTTTGCACCCATTGGTGTAGTTACATGTGAGATGGGCCTCTTGAAGACAGCAATAATTGAGTCATAGTTTTATTCAATTTGCTACTCTCTGTTTTTTTTTTTTTTAAGTGGGGCATTTAGGCCATTTACATTCAAAATTGATATTGATATATGAAATTTTGATCCTGTTGTGATTTTAGCTAGTTGCTTTGTAGTCTTGATAGTGTAGTTGCTTTACAGCATCTCTGGGCTATGTATTTAATTGTGTTTTTGTTATAGCAAGTATTGTTCTTTTGTTTCCATCTTTAGAACTCCCTTAAGAATCTTTTAGAAGGCTGGTTTAATGGAAACAAATTCCCTTAGTTATTCCATGTATGAAAAAGTTTTTATTTCTTCTTTTCTTATGAAGCTTAGTTTGTAGGAATATGAAATTCTTTGTTGGAATATGTTTTCTTCAAGAATGTTGAAAATAGGCCCTCAATCTCTTCTGTCTTATAAGCTTTCTGCTAGTAATTCCACTGTTACCTTGATGGGGTTCCTCTTGTAAATGATTTGACCCTTTTCTCTAAATTTCTTTAAGATTTTTTTCATGCTGACCTCGGAATGTCTGATGACTACATGTCTTGGAGCAGTCATCTTGTATAGTATGTCTCAGGGGTTTTCTGAATTTCTTGAATTTGAATGTCAACTTCTGTAGAAAAATTGGAGGAATTTTCATGGGCCATATCCACAAATATGTTTTCCAAATTGTTTACTCTCACATTTTCTCTTAGATATGGTAGTGTGTCAATATATTACTGATAGAAGGTGTCCAAGTTCTTGGCATCTCAAACAAAGAATTGGATAAAATGCAAAAATGAAGTGAGGAAAGCAAAAGTAGGGATTTATTGAGAACAAAAATACACTCCACAGTGTGGGAGCAGGCCCAAGCATGGAGGCTCAAGAGCTCCACTTACAGAATTTTCTGGGGTTTCAATACTCTAGTGGTTTCCCATTGGTTACTTGGTGAATATTCTATGTAAATGAAGAGAATGAAGTGAAGTCACAAAGTCATTTACTCAGAATGCACCCTATTGTAAATGGAGAAGCTGTTACTTGGTGTGTGTGGTCTATGTAAATGGAGAGGATAAATATGAAGTTGCAAAGTGTAAAAGGAGAGCATGTTACCTGGAGCATGTGGTCTATGTAAATGGTGAGGATGAATGTGCAGTTACAAAGTGTAAATGGCGTGAATAGAGAGGATGAAGTGAAGTTACAAAACCATTCACATTCCTGTCATTGCTAAAGTGCTTTCATTTGCTTTAGTTCTAGGAAGTCAGCATGGATTGGTCCCATATTCCCTGCCTCCAGGCCCTATTCTGCTGCCTCAATAGGTTTGGTTTGTTTACATAATCCCAAATTTTTTGAAGGCTCTGCTCATTTTTCTGTTCTTTTTTCTTCACTTTGGTCTGACTGGGTTGATTCAAAGAAAGAGTATTCAAGCTCTGACATTCCTTCTTCTACTTGTTCTAGTCTAATTTTAAGTCTTCCAACTATACTTTGACATTTCTGTAGTAAATTATTAAGTTTCAGAAATTTAGTTTACTTATTTTTTAAAATGTCTATGTCACTTTTCAACTCTGGGATCATTTTACCTACCTCCTTTGATTAGATTTCAACTTTCTCTTAAATCTCATTAAGCTTCCTTGACATCTACAGTCTGAATTCTATGTCTGTCACTTCAGACATTTCAACATGGTTAGAATCCATTGCTAGTGAGCTAATGCAATCCTCTAGTAAAGAACAACACTATGACCTTTTAAGTTGTTTGATTTCTTGCACTGATTCCTTCTCATCCGAAGGGGTTAGTGTTCCTTTTTCTTTTTAAATTGTTGTTGTTTAAATTAAAATTTTGGTTTTTATATTCTTTTTTTCTCTTGAGGGTTTGACTGTGGTGTATGTTGGGTATAGTCAATTTGCTTTATTTCTGGGTTCTCTCAGAAAGCCAAGGCATATGAGCATCTTAGTTGTAGCTGGCTTTCTGAATTGGGTTTTACCGGCATTGACTGGGTGCTGAAGGAATTTGTTTTTGCTTTGTGGTGTAATGCAGGCTACAATCCAGTAGATGGTGCTTAAGAGTAAGTATCCGCAGAGAGATTCTTAGCTTCATGCCTCTTTTCTATTTCAATGCATATGCAGCACTGCTCTGGGAAGGGGCAGTTGGGGGATGGGGATGAGAGATTACCCCCTCGCCAAGTCTGTTCCTAGGCCTGGGGAGAGCCCCTTTGATCACTGGAGCTGCACCCACATTTCTTTACCTTCAAGGGGACCCCTATGGGCTGCACTCCCCCTTCACTTGGGGTGACTTGAGCTGAAGGTTAGGCCACTGGGAGACCTGCAACTCCTCAGTGATCCACTGGTTCTCTCAACTTGGCAGGGTCACAGTGGGTTGTGGAGTATGTCTGTGAGTGGTCTGGTGATGCAGTGTATAAAGGGCAGAGAATTCATAGGTAGGGTGGTGGTTCTGTAGGTTTGCATCTAGTGTAGCACCTGCAGCCTGGGGATTTTTTTTTCCCAGCAGATGGCTGTGGGTTCCTCCAAGCTTGCAGTTTTCTGTCTGAGTCTCCCTTTGGTGTCTCCTCATGTGCAGGCTTGACCAGCTAGATTTGTCCCAGGCCTTCTGTGCCCAGATCGCTGAGTTGTTCCAGGTGTTCTGGTTCACATGGCTCCCTCAGACAAAAGCTGTAGCTGGCCAACAGGCCAACCCAGGCCAGTCTTGCAGAGGAAGGAATGCCTAGCTCCTATTTCAGCACACAAACACATTCCTTATGCTTTGCAGTGTTCTGAAACAGGGGGCTCTTCTCTGGCTCAAGCTCAGGCCACAGATCTCAGCTCAATAACCCTGGGCTGTGTGCTCAAACACTAGAGGGTTGGGACTGGGCCTGTGGCATTTTCTTCTGGGTCCTTGGGGTCAAACACTAGCTGTGTTGGTGGAGCCAAACTGCTCCCAAGCCACCAACAACACACGAAGGTGAGGCAGTGAATTGTGTGCTGTGTGCATCCTCTTGCAGAAGCAGCCAGGCAGGCTACCTTAGGAAGGGCCAGCAGAGAAGGGGACATGTAGATAAAATGTGCCCTGGTCTAACAGGAAAGGAAGGCCTGCTTTTTCCTGGCCTAACAGACAGCTGGGGCTACAGCCACTTAGATAAAAATGGAAAACCTTGGCAAATGGACACCTATGGTCGCATTTTGCTGCAGCTCCTCTGCATGCCATAAAATCTTCTGGAGTCTGCACATGTTTGAGCTCTGCCTTCACCTACTCTCCATGCAGTTTGCTCTGTCAATTCAAATGTTTATGTGGGTCATGGGATGTCTTGTATTTAGGATTTCAGAGATCCACTGTGGGAGTGTGGTGCCCCACTGTTTCTTCACTCATCACTTCCTTAGGACCTGTTAAGGACTGTGAGCTGGTCTTGGTGCTTGGTGACTGGATGTGAGTTTCCTAGCTTCCTCCCTCTTCAGCCTCAGTGTCTGTATCACCTATCTATTGACTTGCAGTATTTTCTCTCAAAATGTCTGTTCAAAGTGTGATGGTTTACTAAATATTTTGCTTTCTTTTGGTGTAAGAGGTGCTTCCTTGCTTTATCTAGCCAGTCATCTTGTTCCTTCCCTTGAACTACAGTTTAGATAAAGTGGGGTGAACACACATACAAAACATTCTATCCAAAAACAGTAAAGTATGTATTTCTGTCAAGCATACGTGGAATACTTTTTGAGATAGGTCATATGTTGGGCCACAAAAGAAGTCATAACAAATTTCAGAAGATATAAATTATGTTAAGTTTCTTCTTTGACTACGATGATATGAAACTAGGAATCAACAAGAAAAAAATACAGGAAAATTTGCAAATATATGGAAATTAAACAGCACGCTACCAAACAACCCATGGATCAAAGGAGAACTTAACAGAGAAATAAAAAATATCTTGAGAGAAAATAAAATAGAACCACAACATTTACAAACCATTTAGATGTAGCAAAAGTAGTTCTAAGAGAGAAGCTAATTGTAATAAATGAATGCATCAAAAAAGAAGAATGATCTCAAACAAACAACCTAACATAAGATCTCAAGGAGCTGAGTGAAGATGTGTAAACTAAGCCCAAAGTTAGTGTAAGAAGGCAGAAACAAAGATCAGAGCATAAATAAAATAGACTAGAAAAACAACAGGAAAGGTAAACAAGAGTTAGTTTTGTAAAAATGATAAACAGAATCAAGGAAACTTTTGCTACACTATAAAAGAAGAGAGATTTAAATATACAAAATTAGAAAAGTGAAAAGATGCATTATAACTGATACCTCAGAAATACAAAGGATACATTACAACTGATAGTACAGAAATAAAAAAAATCATAAGAAACCATTATGAGTAATCACATACTGCCAAATTGGATAATCTAGAAGAAATGAATAAATTCATACAATAATATAACCTATGAAAACTGAATCATGAAGAAATAAAGAATCTTATACCAATAATAAAAAGATCTAATTAGTATTCAAAACGCCCCAAAAGGAAAAACCCAGAATCAGATGGCTTTTTGACTACATCTTATCAAATATTTAAGAAAGAGCTAATACAAATCCTGCTAAAGTTCTTTTCTATAAATTAAAAATGAGGGAATGCTTTTAAAAACATGTACTAGGCAAGCAATGCCCTAACACCAGAGGCAGACACAAATAGTCTGAGAAAAATAATTACACGCCAATATCCCTGATGAACACAAATACAAAGAAAATCTTCAAAAAATACTAACACGACAAATTTAATACCAAATAAAAAGGGCCATTCATAATGACTAAGTAGGATTTTCCCTAAGATGCATAATTCAACATACACTAATCAATATATGTGATGCAACACTTTAACAGAATGAAGAATAAAAATTATAAGATTATTTAAATAGATGCACAAAGAACATTTAAAATTTTCAACATTCTTTCATGATAAAAACTCTTAGCCAATTAGGTATAAAAACAATGTACCTCAACAGAATAAAGGCCATGTATCACATGCCCACAGCTAACATCAAACTTGAGAGTGAAAAAGTAAAACCTTTTTCTCTATGGTAAGAAACAACACAAGGATATTCAGTCTCATTACTTCTACTCAACATATTACTAGAAGCTCTTAGCCAGAGCAATTAGGCAAGAAAAATAAATAAAAGCCATTCAAATTGGAAAGTAAGAAGTTAAATGGTCTGTGTTCTATTATTTGAAATATGAAAAACCGTGAAAAGTCCAGCAAAAAACTGTTAGAACAAATAAATTCATTAAAGCTTCAGGATACAAAATCAATGTAGAAAAGTTAGTTTCATGTGTATATGTTAAAAACAAACTATCTGAAAAATATCAAGAAAGCAATCCTATTTAAAATAGTTACAAAAATACTTTGGAATACATTTAATCAAAAAGTTAAAGAATCTGTACATTGATAACTATAAAACATTGATAAAGAAAATTAAAGAAGATGCAAATAAACAGAAAGGCTATTCCATGTTCATAGATTGAAAGAAATAATATTGTTAAAGTTTCATACTACTAAAGCCAATCTGAATTCAGTGTAATCTTTATCAAAATTCCAATGACCTTTTTCACAGAAATGAATAAAACAATCCTAAAACTCATATGGAACCACAAAATATCATAAATAACCAAAGCAATCTTGAGCAGAAAGAAAAAAGCTGAAAGCATCACACTACATGGTCACAAAATCAACTACAAAGCTGATTTGATAATGATCAAAACAGCATGGTATGGCAGAAAAATAGACATATAGATCAACAGAACTGAAAGAAGAGCCTAGAAATAAATCTACTCATCTCTGATTAATTAATCTTTGACAAAGATGCCAAGTACCTACAATGGGGAGAAGACAGTCTTCAATAAATAGTGCTGAAAATACTAGATATTCACAGGTAGAAGAATGAAACTGAACACTTGTCTCATTCCATATACAAAAATCAATTCAAAATAGAAAAAAGACTTAAACGTAAGACCAAAAACTATAAAACTATTAGAAAAATAAAAAGGAGAAAACCTTCATGAAATTGATCTTGACAAAGATTTCTTGGATTTGACCCCAAAAGCACGGGCAGCAAAAGCAAAAATAAACTTCACATGTTCTCACTCACTTGTGGGAGCTAAAAATTAAAACAACTGAACTAATGGAGATCGAGAATAGAATAATGGTTTCAAGAGGCTGAGAACTGTAGTGTGTGTGGGAGGGGAGTGGGGGTGGGTACAAAAATACAGTTAGATAGAATTAATAAGATCTAGTATTTGATAGCACATGAGAATAACTGCAGTCAACAATAATTGTACATTTTTAAACAACTTAAAAAATATGATTGGAATGTTTGTAATACAAAGAAGTAATAAATTATTGAGATGAGGGACACCCCATTTACCCTGATATGATTATTACACATTGTATTCTTGTATCAAAATATCTTGTACACCTGATAATTATATACACCTACTATATACTCATAAAAATAAAAAAAAAAAACTTAAAAACAAGATGAGGATGCCCCCTCTTGCCGCTTCTAGTCAACACAACACTGGAAGTCATAGCCAGAGGAATTAGGCAAGGAGAACAAATTTAAGAAATCCAAATATGAAAAAGAAGTTTCTATTTTTGCAGATGACATGATCTTATATATAGTCAACCCTAAGGACTCGACCAAGTAACTGTTAGAATTAATAAACAAATTCTGTAAATTTGTCAGTTACAAAATCAATACACAAAAAAACTATTGTGTTTTAAACAATAATAATAAACTATCTGAAAAGAAATCAAGACAATTCCATTTTTAATAGCTACAAAAATATTTAGAAATAATTTTTATGATTTCCTGAAGGATCTGTACACTGAAAACTATAAAACATTAATCAAATAAAGACAAAATAAATGAAAATGTAGCCCACATTTAAGAATTTTAAAAAATTATTGTTATTTTCCACACTATCCAAAGCTGTCTAAACATTTAATGCAATTTTTTCAAAATTCTAATGTCATTTTTCACAGAAATTTTAAAAAAACTCCTAGAAATTATGGAACCACAGAAGACCCAGTATAGCCAAAGAAATCTTTTGTAAATGAAAAATGTCAGAAAGCATCACATACTCTGATTTCAAAATATACCATAAGGTGATTGTAATCAGAGTAGCATAGTACTAATATAAAGACAGACACACCAATAAATAAAACAGGATAGAGAGCCAAGAAATAAATCCATGCTTTTATATTCAATTGATCTTTGACACAGATCCCAAAACACACAATGAAGAATGGACAGTCTCTTGAACAAATGGTGCTGGGAAAACCAGATATCCACATAAAGAGAATGAAATTAGATGCTCATCTCACTCCATATACAAAAATCAACTTAAACTAGATTAAGGGATTAATATGGAACCTGAAATTGTATAATTAATAGCAGAAAACATAAGTGAAAAACTCTTTCACATTGGTCTGGGCAACGATTTCCTGGATATGAACCCAAAAACACATGCAAAAGAAAAAAAAAAAAAACTAAGTGGAATTGCATCAAACTGAAAAGCTTCTGCAGAGAAGAGAAACCAATCAATGGGGTGAAGAGGCAACCCATAGATTGGAAGAATATATGTGCAAACCATACATCTGATATGGAACTAGTATTCAAAATATATAAGGAACTAAACTCAGCAAAAAAGTTTAAATTTTAATTTTAAATTAAATTAATTTTAATTTTAAATTTTAACCCAATTTAAAAATGAGCAAAGGACCTGAATAAACATTTCTCAAAAGCAGACCTACAAATGGTCATTAAATATATAAATAAATGCTCAACATCACTTAATACTAGGAAAATGCAAATTAAAACTACAATAAGATATGACTTCACATCTGTTAGAATAACTTATTAAAAAAAGATAAATTTTGGCAAGAATGTAGAGAAAAATAGCCCTTGTGCACTACTGGTGGGAATATAAATTAATATACTCCCTTTGGAAAGCAGTATGGATGTTCTTTGGAAAACTAGAACTAGAACTATCATATTATCTAGCAATCCCACTTCTGGCCACGTGTCCAGAGATTTGAAATCAGTATGTTAAGGAGATATCTGCACTCTAATGTTTATTGTAGCATCATTGCCAATAGCTAAGAAATGGAAGCAACTTAAGTTTCCATCAACAGAAGAATGATTTTAAAAATGTAATCTATAGACATGTATATGTGTATATAAATATGTGCAAGTATATATATATATATATATATATATATATGCACATACATATAATGGAATACTACACAGCCTTAAAAAAGAAGGAAATTCCATCATTTGCTACAATATACGTAAACCTGGAGGATATTATGCCGAGTGAAATAAACTAGGCACATAAATGAAAATACTGCATCATTTCATGTATATGTGGAATCTAAAACAGCAGAACTCACAGAAGTAGAGAGCAGAATAGTGGTTACCAGAGGCTTGGAGAGGGGGAAAATGGAGAAAAGGGGAGAAATTGATCAAAGGGTATGAAGTTTCAGCTAGACAGGAAAAATAAGCTTTAGTAATGTAGTGTACAAATTGATGACTATAATTGATAATAAAGCATTGTATATTTAAAAGTTGCTTAAAGATTTTACTTCAGATGTTCTCACCACAAAAAAGTGGATGAGTATGTGAGGTGATGGATGTGTTAATAAGCTTGATTTCATCATTTCATAATGTAAACATATATTAAAACATCACATCATACCACATAAATATATATAATTATTACTTTTCAATAAAAATACAATAAAATTGCAACTTTCTCCTTCAGAAAAGTATTTTTAAATACCCCATTACATATGTTACAGTTGGATAACCACTTATATTCCCTAAATTAACTCTGTTAATAACACAACTTATAAGTAATTTTTTTAAGACATCTATGAAACATGTGTCTACAAATACATCACTACATATATTACATCCATTCACTAAAATAATCTTATGACTTAGTACATTTTCTCTTTCTATAACTGAATACTTGAAATTGGGTAATCTATAAAGAAAATAAATTTATTTCTCACATTTCTGGAGGCTGGAAAGTCCAAGGTCGAGGAGCTATGTCTGGTGAGAGTTTCCTTGCTGATGGGAACTCTGCACAGTTCTGAGGTGCTGCAGGACATCACATGGTGAGAGGACACACTGAGAAGCAAACTGGCTTTTATAACAGATCCAATCTTGTGATAAGTTACTCACTCCTGTTATAATCCATTAACCCATTAATTCAGAGCAAAGGCCTCATAACCCATTCACCTCTTAAAGGCCCCACCTCAAATGAATTAAAGACTTAAATGTAAGATCAGAACCTGTAAAACCACTGAAAATACCTAGGGAAAATCTCATGACATTAGTCTGGGCAAAAATTTTTTAGATATGACACTAAAAGCACAGGCAAAAAAGAAGAAAACAAGTTGAATTTCATCAAGCTAAAAAGCTTCTGCAGAGCATAGAAACCAATAAACAGAGTAAAAACACAACCTACAGAATGAGAGAAAAAGTTTTCAATCCATACATCTGATGAGGTGTTAATATCAAAATACATAGAAAATTCAAATAACTCAGTAGTTAAAAAAAAAAAAAAAGAAATAACCAAATTCTAAAATGGGCAAAGGACCTTGACTTAGTCCATCTTGTTCTACTGTGAAAGCATATCACAGACTGGTAATTGATAAAGAACCGAAATGTATTTCTCACAGTTCTGGAAGCTGGAAGTCTAAGGCTAAGACACCAAGATTTGGTGTTTGGTGAGGCCTTCATTCTCCAGAGGAAAAAAAACTGTGTCCTCATATGGAGAAAGATGGAAGAGCAAGCAAGAAAAAATTCCCTCATATTTATAAAGTCACCTATATCCATTCACAAAAGAAAAGTCCTCTTGGTCTAATAAACACCTAATGCCTCTACTTAATACTATCATATTGGCAACAGCTAAATTGTGTAGGGAATATATTCTAACCATAATAAACCTGAACAGAAATTTCTTAAAAACAGACATACATTTGGCCAACAGGTATATTAACAAATATTTAATATCAAATATCAATAATAATATTTAAAGTAAATGGACTAAACTTTCCAATCACAAAACACAGAGTGGTTGAATGCATAAAAAAAAAGACTCAATAATCCGTTGCCTATAAGAAACATGCTTCACCTATAAAGACACATGTAGGTGAAAAGTAAAGGATGGAAAAAGATATTCCATGCTAATGGAAATTTTTTTAAAAAAGCAGGAGTAGCTATACTTGTATCAGAAAAAAATGCATTACCAAGGCAAAAACTATAAAAAGACACAAAAAAGTGACTATATAAAGATAAAGGGCTCAATTCAGCAAGAAGATATAACGAATTTAAATACATATGCACCCAACAGTGGAGCACCCTGACATATAAAGCTAATATTATTAAATATAAAAATAGAGATAGGCCCCAATACAATAATAGCTGGAGACTTCAACATCCCACTTTCAGCATTAGACAGATGGTAAATCAACAAAGAAACATCAAACTTAATCTTCACTATAGACCAAATGAATCTATTTAATATTTAAATAAATTTTCATCTAACAGCTGCTGAATAAACATTATTTTCCTCAGCATATGGAACATTCTCAAGGATAGACAATATGTTAAATCACAAGTCTTTAAACATTCAAAAATACTGAAATAATATCAACCATCTTTTCTAATTACAATGTAATAAAACTAGAAATCAATAACAAGAACAACTTTGGAAACTATGCAAATACATGGAAATTAAACAATATGCTTCTAAGTGACTAGTGGATCAATAAAGAAACCAAAAAAAATTGAAAAAAAATTGAAACAAATAATAATGGAAACACAATATATCAAAGACTATGGGATACAGCCAAAGCAGTCCTAACAGGGAAATTTATAGCTATAAGAGCCTACATTTTTTTAAAAAAAAGCTTCAAATAAACTAGCTAACAATTCATCTTTAAAAACTAGAAAAGTTAGAGCAAACCGAACTCAAAATTAGCAGAAGAAAATAAATAATACAGATCAAAGCAGAAATAACTAAAATTGAAATGAAAATGAAACAATACAAAAAATCAATGAAAAAAATGGTTTTTAAAGGTGAAACACAACTGGCAAGCCTTTAGCGAAACTCATAAAAAGAAGAGATAAGATCCAAATAAATGAAATAGAGATGAAAAAAGAGACATTACAACTGATACTGCAGAAATTCGA
Source organism: Homo sapiens (assembly GCF_000001405.40). Classification (NCBI taxonomy): domain Eukaryota; kingdom Metazoa; phylum Chordata; class Mammalia; order Primates; family Hominidae; genus Homo; species Homo sapiens. The sequence continues at coordinate 76,445,625 of NC_000023.11, read as the reverse complement.
GGGATCATTAGTGGCTACTATGAGCAACTATATGCCAATAAATTGGAAAATCTAGAGGTAATGAATAAATTCCTAGACACATACAACCTACCAAGATTAAACCAGGAAGAAATGGAAAACCTTAAAAGAGCAATAACAAGTAATGAGATTGAAGCCACAGTAAAAAGCCTCATAGGAAAAAAAATAAAAATAAAAAATTAAAAAAGCCTGGGACACAAAGCTGCCACTGCTGAATTCTGCCAAGCATTTAAAGAAGAACTAGTACCAATTATACTCAAACTATTCTGAAAAATAGAGGAGGAGGGACCACTTTCCAACTCAATCCATAAGTCCAGTATTATTTCGATACCAAGCCAGACAAAGACACATTAAGAAAAAACATAGACCAATATATCTGATAAATATTGATGCAAAAATCCTGAACAACATACTAGCAAACCAAATTCAACAATACATTAGAAAGATTATTCATCATGACCATAGAGGATTTACCCTGGGATGCAAGGATGGTTCCATATAGGAAAAACAACCAAGGTGACACATTGTATCATCAGAATAAAGGACAAAAATTATACAATCATTTCAATTGGTGCTAAAAAGAATTTGATAAATTTCAATATCCCTTCATAATAAAATCCTCAAAAAACTCGGTATAGAAGAAACACCTCAACATAAAAAATGCCATATATGACAGGCCCACTGTTAATATACTGAATTGGACAAAAACTTAAAAACTCTCCTCCTAGATTTGTAACATGACAAGGATGCCCACTTTTGACCACTGTTATTAAACATAGTACTGGAAGTCCTAGCTAGAGCAATCAGACAAGTGAAAGGAATAGAATGCATCCAAATTGGAAAGAAATAAGTCAATATTTTTTGTTTACAGATGATATAATCTTATATTTAGAATACTCCAAAGACTCTACCAAAAAAATTAGAACTTATAAACAAATTCAGCAAAGTCGGAGGATACAAAATTAACATACAAAAATCAGTAGCATTTCTATATGCCAAAAGTAAAAAATCTAAAAAAAGAAATTAAAAAGTAATCCCATTTACAATAGCCACAAATAAAATAAAATGCCTAGGAATTAAGCAAATAATTCAAAAATTGCTATAATGAAAACTATAAAACATTGATGAAAGAAGTCAAAGAAGACACCAAAAATAGATGAATATTCCATGTTCATTGATTGGAAGAATTAATATTGTTAAGATGTCCATACTACCCAAAGCAATCTACAGATACAATGCAATCTCTATCAAAATACCAATGACATTCCTCACAGAAATGGAAAACACAATTTTAAAATAGACGCAGAATAGCCAAAGCTATTCTAAGCAAAATGAACAAAACTTCAAGAATCACATTACCTGACTTAAAATTATACTACCAGCTATAATAACCCAAACAAGATGGTACCAGCATAAAAACAGAAACATAGACCAGTGGAGCAGAATAGAGAACCAACAAACAAATTCATACATCTACAGTGATCTCATTTTTGACAAAGGCTTCAAGAACATATACTGAGGAAAATACAGTATCTTCAATAAATGGTGCTAGGAAAACTGGATGTCCACATGCAGAAGAAGGAAACTAGACCCTTATTTCTCATCATATACAAAAATCAAACCAAAATGTATTAAAAACTTAAATCTAAGACCTCAAACTATAAAACTACTACAAGAACACATTGGAGAAAATCTCCATGATATTGGTCTGGGCAAACATTTCTTGAGTAATATCCCCCAAGCACAGGCAACCAAAGCAAAAATGGACAAATGAGATCACACCAAATTAAAAAGCTTCTGCACAGTAAAGGAAACAATCAGCAAAGTGAACACACAACCCAAAGATTGGGAAGAAATATTTGCAAACTACCCAACTGACAAGAGATTAATAACCTAAATATATAAGGAAATCAAACAACTCTATAGGAAAAAACCCTAATAATCTGATTAAGAAATGGGCAAAAGATTTGAATAGACATTTCTCAAAAGAAAACATACAAATGGCAAATAAATATATGTAAAAGTGCTCAAACTCATGGATCATCAGAGAAATGCAAATCACAACTACAATGTGTCATCTCACCCCAGTTAAAATGGCTTACATTTAAATGTCACACAATAACAAATGCTGGTGAGGATGTACAGAAATGGGAACTCTTGTACACTGTTGGTGGCAATGTAAATTAGTATACACCCTTCGACAGCTCAGCTGGTAGAGCAGAGGACCATCAGGGTTTGCAACTTCTATAAATTAGTACAACCACTATGAAGAGAAGTTTGAATGTTCCTCAAAAAATTAAAAATAAGGCTACAATATGATCCAGCTATCCCACTGCTGGGTATATATTCACAGGAAAGAAAATCAGTATACCAAAAAGATATCTGGACTCTTCTCATCTTTGTTGCAGCACTGTTCACAATAGCCAAGATTTGGAAGCAACCTAAGTATCCATCGAAAGATGAATGGATAAACAAAATATGATATTTATACACAATAGAGTATTATCCAGTCACAAAAAAAGAATGGGATCCTATCATTTGCAACAACATGGATGGAACTGCAGGTCATTATGTTAAGTGGAATTACCCAGGTACAGAAAGAAAGACATCATATGTTCTCACTTATTTGTGGGATCTAAAAATCAAAACAACTGAACTCATGGAGATAGACAATAGAAGGATGGTTACTAGACACTGAGAAAGGTAGCACGGGGCTGAAGTGGGGTGGGGATGGCTAATGAGTACAAAAAAAATTAGTTGAAAAGAGTGAATAATACCTAGTATTTGATAGCACGATAGGGTAACTATAGTAAATAATAATTTAATTGTACATTTTTAAATAGCTGAAAGAGTATAATTGGATTGTTTGTAACACAAAGAATACATGCTTGAGGTGATGGATATTTTTTCTATGGTCTGATTATTATGCATTGCATGCCTGTATCAAAACATCTCATGGACCCCATAAATACATATACCTACTATGTACCCTGCACCTAATACACAGATATCAACAAAAGGACACAAGGACATGAAAAGTGAAGAAATATGATGCATTCAACAGAATACAATAATTGTCCAATAACAGATTTTAGCATAAAATAAATTTATTAATTGCGTGAAGAGAATTCAAAATTATGATACTAAATAAACTCATTGAGATACAAGAGAAAACAGATAACCCATACCAAAAAAATCAGAAAAGCAATTCAGAATATAAATAAGAAATTCACTAGAGAGATAGATATCATTAGAAAAGAACGGTTTGGTTCTATTGAACAATAAATAATGCACTAAACATAAATCTCAGAACTGAAGAATTCAATGAATGAAATAAAAAATACAACTGAGAGCTTCAAAGATAACCAAAATCAAGCAGAAGAATTTCAGAATTTGAAGACAGGTCTTTCAAAATAATCCAGTCTGACCAAAAAAAGAAGAAAAGAAATACAAAAAGCCTGCAAGACATATGGTACACCACAAAGTGACCAAATATCTGAATTTCTCTACACCAGAAGGTGTAGAGAAGTTTAAAGCATGAAAACCTATTAAATGACATAATGGCTGAAACTTCTCAAGTCTAGCAAGAAATTTAGACATCCACGTACATGAAGTTCAGAGATCCCCAACTAGATACAATTCAAAAAGCTTTTCTCCCCCAGCACATTATAGTGAAACTGTCCAAAGTCAAAGAAAATGAAAGAATTCTTTAAACAGCAAGAGAAAACCATCTAGTCACATGTTAGGGAACCTCTATCAGAATAATAGTGAATTTTACAACAGAAATCTTGCAGGCCAGAAGAGAACGAGATGATATATTCAAAGTGCTTAAAGGAAAACAGCTCTCTACTAACAATAGTATAACTAGCAAAGTTATTCTTTATAAATAAAAAAGACATACTTTCCCGGACAATCAAAAACTGAGGGAATTCATCAACACAATACCAGCCCTATAAGAACTACTAAAGAAGTCCCACACCTAGAATCAAAAGGATGCTATCTACCCTCATGAAAACAGAAGAAAGGATAAAACTAACTGGTAGAGCAGACACACCAATGAGGACCAGAAAGAACTCAAATGTTACCACTGTAGAAAACCACCAAACCATAAAGAAACAAAAAGAGAGAAAGAAAGGAAAAAAGGATACACAAAACAACCAGAAAACAATTAACAAAAGGAAAGGAATAAATCTTCACATATGAATAGTAACCTTGAATGTAAACAGATTATATTTTCCACTTAAAAGATACAGACTGGCTGAAGGGATAAGAAACTATCACTCAAATACATTATGCCTACAAGAAACTTACTTCACCTTTAAGAACACACATAGAATAAAATAAATAAATAAATTTTTCATGCAAACAGAAAACAAAAACAAGTAGAAGAAGCTATAATTATGTCAGATGAAATAGACTCTAAGTCAGTAACAGTAAAAAAAAGACAAAGAAAGTCTCTATATAATGATAAAAACATCAATTCAATAGGAAGATATAACAATCACAAATATATATGCACCCAACACCAGAGCACTCAGATATATAAAGCAAATAATATTAGATCTAAAGGGAGAGACAGACTCCAATACAGTTATAGCTGAGGACATCAACACCCCACTCTTAGCATTAGAGAGATCATCTAGGCATAAAAGCAACAAAGAAACATTGGATTTACATTGTACAATAGATCAAATATACCTAACAGACATTTACAGAACATTTTGTCCAACAGTTGCAGAAAACACATTCCTCTCATAAGCACATGGAACATTCGCCAGGATAGACCATATGTTAGACTACAAAACAAGTCAACAAATTTTTAAAAATAGCAATCATATCAAGTATTTTCTCAGATCACAATGAAATAAAACTAGAAATCAACAGCAAGAAAAACTTTAGAAATTGTATAAATACATGGAAATTAAGCATGGTCCTGAATAACCATTGGGTCAATGAAGAAATTAAGAAGGAAATGATAAAAATTCTTGAAACAAATGAAAGTGAAAACATAGCATACAAAAACCTATGAGATACAGTAAAATCAGTACTAAGAGGGGAATTTTATAGCAATAAATGCCTACATCAAAAAGAAGAAAGATTTTTAAATAAACAATCTAACAATCCACCTCAAGAACTATAAATTAAGAACAAATGAAACACAAAATTAATAGAAATAAATGCATAAGAAAAATCAGAGCAGAGCTAAATGAAATGGACTAAAAAAAGAAAGAACAAAATAAAAAGTAGATATTTTAAAAAGATAAAATCAATAAACCACTAGCTAGACTAACCAAGAAAAAAAGATGCAATAAAATCAGAATAAAAAATAAATCATTACAACTGATACCACAGAAATACAAAAGATTGTCAGATGTTACCATGAACAACTATACATTAAGAAACTAGAAAGCCTTGAGGAAACAAATAAATTTCTGGAACCATACAATCTACCAAGATTGAATCAGGAAGAAGTAAAAACACTAAGCAGACAATAATCAGTAATGAGACTGAATCAGTAATAAAAAGTCTCCCAACAAAAAAATGTCCAGGACCTTTTGACTTTGCTGCCAAATTCCACCAAACCTCTAAAGAAGAACTAAAACCAATTCTCCCAAACCATTCCAAAAATAGAAAAGGGAGGAAATTCTTTCTAATTTGTTGTTTAAAGCCAGCATTACCCTAATACCAAAACCAAACAGGAGCACAACAAAAAAAGAAAACTACAGGCCACTACCCCTGATTAACGTAGATGCAAAAATTCTCAAAAAAATACTAGCAAACTGAATCCAACAGCACATGCAAAAGATAATACACCACAAACAAGTGGGATTTATCCCAGGGATGCAAGGATGGTTCTACATATAGAACACAATAAACATGATGCATCAAATCAACAGAATGAAGGATTAAAAATGTATGGTCATCTCAATAGATGCAGATAAGTTCTTTGATGAAATTTAATATCCCTTCATGATAATAAGTGCTAAACAAATGAGGCATAGAATGAACATACCTTAACATAATAAAGGTCATATATGACAAACCCACAGCTAACATAATACTGAACAGGGAAAAGCTGAAGACCTTTCCTCTAAGAACTGAAACTAGACAAAGATGCCCACCCCATTGTCATTAGTCTTATTCAACATAGTTCTAGAAGTCTTAGTGAGAGCAACTAGGCTATGGAAAGACATAAAAGGCATCCAAATTGAAAAAGAGGAAGTCAAATAATCTCTCTTTGCACATGACATGATCTCATATTTAGCAAAACCTAAAGGCTCCATCAAAAAAAAAACCTCTTAGATCTGATCTGATAAGCAAGTTCAATAAAGTTGGAGAATACAAAATCAACATATAAAATCAGTAGCTATTCTACATACCAGTAATGAGCTAGCTGAAAAATAAATTGGAAAGCATCCAATTTACAAAATCTATAAAAAAATAAAATTCCTAGGAATAAATTTAACTAAGAAGGGGAAAGATCTCTACAAGGAAAACTGCAAAACACTGAAGAAAGAAATTGACAAGGTCACAAGCAAATAGAAGGACATCTTGTTTTAGTTTGTTTGTGTTTCCATAAAGAAACACCTGAGTCTGTGCAAGTTAAAAAGAGAAAAGATTTATTTGGCTCATGGTTCTATAGGCTTTACAAGAAGCATGCCACTAGTATCTGCATCAGCTGAGGGCCTTGAGATGCTTCCATTCATGGAGAAAGGGGAAAGAGAAGGAGAGCTGGCTTGTGTAGATATCACATGGCATGAAAGGAAGCATGAGAGAGGGGGAAGGTGCCATGTTTTTTTTAACAACCAGCTCTCCCAGGAACTAATAGGGTGAAAACTCACACTCCCTCTCCTGGGAGACCATTAATCTATTCATAAGAGATCCACCTTCATGATCAAAACACTTTCCATTAGGCCCGTCTCCAATATTGAGGATTAAATTTCAACATGAGATATGGAGGAGACAAACATCCAAAATATAGAACACCCCATGCTCATAAATCAGAAGAATTGATATTGTTAAGATTACCATACTACCTAAAGGAATGTACAGATTTAATGCAATCCCTATCAAAATACCAGTGACATTTCTTACAAATATAGAAAAAAAATCCTAAAATTTGTATGGAACCAAGAAAGAGCCTGAATAACCAAAGCAACCCTGAACAAAGCAAAGCTGAAGGCATCACACTACCTGACTTCAAAATATAAGTCTATAGTAACCAAATCAGCATGGTATTAGGATTAAAGCAGACACATAGACCAATGAAAGAGTATACGTAACCCAAAAATAATTCCATGTGTTTATAGACAACTGATTTTTGACAAAGGCACCAAGAATATACTTTAAGAGGAGTACCCAATACTTCCCCCTTGGGAAGAGGGAAGTATACCCTCTTCAATAAGCCGTTCTGGAAAAATAGGATATTCATATGCAGAAGAATGAAAGGACCCTGATCTCTTACCTTATAAAAAATTAACTCAATATGAATTGAAGACTTAAATGTAAGATTCAAAACTATAAAACTATTATAAGAAAATATAGGAGAAACCCACTAGGATATTGTTCTATGCAAAGAGTTGATGGCTAAGACCCCAAAAGCACAGATAACCAAATAAAAAATAGACAACTGGAAAAATATTAAGCTAAAAATCTTCTGCACAGCAAAGGAAACAATCAGCAAAGTGAAGAAATAACCTGCTGAATAGGAGAACATATTTCCAAAATATTCATCTGACAAGGGACTAATGTCCAGAATATACAAGGAATTCAAACAACTCAAAAATCAAAAACAATCTATCCTATTGGAAAGTGGGCAAAGGATCTAAATAGACATTATTTAAACATACATGCAAATAGCCAAACAGTATGTAAAAAATGCTCAACATCACTAATCATGAAGGGGTGCATATGAAAACCACAGTGAGATATCACCTTCCCCCAGTTGGAATTGCTATTATCAAAGAGACAAAAAATAACAGATGCTGGGGAAGATGCAGAGAAAATGGAACTCTTACACACTCTGGGAATGTAAATTAGTATAGTCATTATAAAAAATGGTATGGAGATTTCTCAAAAAAAAAAACAACTAAAAATAGAACTGCCATAGGATCCACCCATTTCACTACTGGGTGTTTATCCAAAGGAAAGGAAATAAATATATCAAAGGGACTCATGTTTATTGCACCTCCGTGTTTATTTCAGCAGTATTCACAACAGCAATGGTATGGAATAAAACTAAGTGTCCTTCAATGGATGAATGTATGAAAAAAATGTATATTTGCACAATGGAATGCTATTTGGCCACAAAAAAATTTAAAAATATCCTTTGTAGCAATTGGATGAAAATAAAGGTGATTATGTTAAGTGAAATAAGCCAGACACAGAAATACAGATATCTCATGTACTCATATGTGGGAGTTTTAAAAGGTGATCTCATGGAGGTAGAGAGTAGAATGATATTTAACGGAGGTTGGGAAAGATGTGGGGGTGTGTGTGAGGGAGTGAACAGATGTCGGTTAATGGGTACAAACATACATTTGGATAGAAGGACGAAGTTCTAATGTTCAATAGTAAAGTAGTGTGACTGTGATTAACAACAATATATTGTATATTCCAATGTAGCTAGATGTGAGAACTTGAAATGTTCTCAACACATAGAAATAATAAATGATTGTTGTAATGGATATCCTAAATATCCTGACTTGATCATTATACATCCTATGTATGTAACAAAATACCATATGCATCCCATAAGTATGTACAAATATTATGTATCAGTGAAAAAGAACAGATGCCTTTGCAATTCAGTATCAGGAGTATATTTTCCCATTGAAATACTTGTGTGTGTGTGTGTGTGTGTGTGTGTATATATATATCATATAGAAGTAATATATAGATAATTTTATGTGTTTTTATTCATACATAAGTTTATATTCGTAGTTTATATTCATGAGAATAAATGTTAAGATGGATAAGTAAAGAGACAAAATATTTTATGGGATGGTACAAGAAGCAGTGAGAGAAAGAAATTTCTATCTTTAAATGCACATATTGTAAACAAAGATAGGTTGAAAATCTGTCATCCAAGCCTTAATCTACAGAAGGTAGAAAAAATCAAGGTGAAACCATATAAAGTGGAAAGACGGAAATAATACTTAGCAGAAGTTAATGAAGTAGCTTGCAAAATATCGGCAAAGGCAAAAATTGATTCTTTAAAATAGATTATTGATAATGATATGTGCTAGAAAAAGTAAAGCAAGAAGGAAGGTTATATAGTTAATTTTGGATACAGTGTACTTACTAAGTAGTGTATTTTTAGCAAAAACATAAAAGACATGAATAAGTAATGCATTTATTTGAGGCATTCCAAGCAATGAGAACAGAAAGTTTAAAAACCCTGAGGTAGTAGCTTGTCAGACCTGCTCAAAAAACAAATCGTATAACAGTAGCGGAGAGCATAATAAGAAATAAAGTTAGAAAAGAAATTGCAGGCTAGATCATATCACTCAGGTGTATACTATAAGCAAAATAAGTCACACCTACAAGTTAAATGGATTCTTACAGAATTCCTCTGGCTACTGTGCTAAGAAAATATACTAGGTCAGAAGTAGAAGGACAAATTCTAACCCCACTGCAATAGTATAGGTGAGATACAATCATAGTAGTAATGCTGGAGTTGACAAGATATTAGTTTCTGAACTTATTTTGGGAGCAGAGCTATCAGAATTTGTTGACATATTAAATTTTTTCTAATATCCAGAAAATGAAAAAAAAAAAAAAACAGTCAAGTACGTGCCCAACCTTTTATGCTGAGCAATTGTAAGAATGAACTGGCCATTGATTAAGGTGAGAAAATCTGTAGAAGGAACAGGTTTGTAAATAAATACCAGGAGCTCAGATTTGGGCATGTTAGAATTTAGTGCATACTGGACATCCAAGTGGAAAACCTGAGAAAATAATTGAATGTGAGAGGAATTCACAATAGGGGTACATACCCTGAGGCTTGAGTTACAAATTCTGGGCTCTCCAGCATATAGAATATTTTTTAAATATAAGAAATAAATGGGTGAGATTAAGGAGAGCATATAAACATAAAAAAAAGTGAATAAGTTCAAGGACTTATTATCCCGGAGCATTCTTAGAATTCTGGGAGACGAGGAACCTGTAAAGGAGGTGAGAAAGCAGTAGGAAGAAAGGCAGGAGGAAAACCAGAAGAGTATCTCACATGTTCAAAATGTTTTGAAGAGGAAAAAATAAATTAACTATGTCAAAATCCACTGATGAAGATAATGTCTGAGAAAAGATCAGTGGATTTATCAATTTTTATATAGGTCACTGTACATATTGAGAGAAGCAGCTGCAGTTGATTGGTGTAAGAAAAACCTAATTGTGTTGAGTTCAGAAATAAATAGTAGAAGAGAAATAGGAGATATCAAAAATAAACATTCTTTCAAGGAGTTTGGCTTCTGCTGGAAAGGATATTCTTCTGATTTCTGCCAGCAAAAGTAATCTTTTAAATCTGAGCACACTTAGAAAATAATTTCAGTTAAACATTGAATGTTAATAATAACATTTCCAAGAAAGAAAGCAGTAGAAACAATAACTCTTCTTCAATTTTAGCAAATGCACTGAAAAAAAACCTTGGCATTTTCTAATTTCCTTCCTTTCATACTTTAGCTACTGTGTTTTTCTTCTTGTTAGCCTTTTAAAGTAGTTTTTACACTTTATATGATTATCTGAGAACTGGGTATTTTACTGCCTCACATATTTTCATCAAAATATGATGACTTCCATTTACCTACCTGATTTCTATCACTGTTACTACTTGAAATAGTCTAATCCAGGAAGACAGAGCAAAGTTATCTCACTCATCAAAAAACAAAACAAAACAAAACAATCAAACCCCACATTCATCTCAAAATGACTGCTTTTCCGCTATCCACTCTACCAACAAAGGATCACAGTTGTGAATTTCCATAATCATCCTTTCTGTTCAATCTACCAATTTTTAAGGCTGTATCTCAAATTCAATTTTGGGGAAATAATTGTTTTTAATCAATTTTGATGAGTCATCATCTGAGATATGTGGATAACCTAGAGAACTTTAGCAGTTACTTAGATTAGATTAAGTGGCTACATAACTTCTTAGGCAAAAGGGGAAATCTTACAGAACCATTCATTGGCAAGATTGAATAACAATGTGAAGACAATCACCAGAGTCCCACCCATGATTTCTCTCTACATAAAGAGAAGAGACTTCTCCTGTGAAGTTTAGAAGCTTTTCCATTCCACCACAGATGAGTACAGCAATTAGTCAGTCACATTGACTGTAGCTCTTTGCAGGGTTTGACACAAGTCAATGATCATTACCTTAACGCAGAATGACAAGATCCTTTTTTAAAAAATAGTACACATTCATGTAATCATGAGAGCACGACCCTCCACTGAACACATGGAATCTTGAAACAAAAGCTTGCATCCTAATCTAACAGGTGCATTTGAACAAAGACATTTAATCAGACATTTTCTGAGACCAAAATGGTTACTTTTGAGAGAAATGCATGAAAAAAAACGTATTTTCTTCCTTGGTTGTCTTTAGTGGGATATTCTGAATGTTTGTGCATGTTGGTCAAGTTTATCTGAGAGAAAAATAGTTCGCAATATTTAAATGACAAACAACCAAGAAACTTGCTTAGGTAACATCTTCTGGCAACAATTGGATAACACACAAGTCTACTAAGAAACATGAAAAGAATAGAGAACTAATACAGAACTTAAGAAGTAAATGAAGCTCTATTATCAGAGCCTCTCTCTCAGGAAGGTTGTGCGAAGAGTAAAACGATTCAGTGATGTGGGTGTTATATCCCAGGCAGAACAATAAGAATATATGTAATCTTTACAGATTTTTTAAAAAAAATATTAGTAATGATATAAGAAGATATGTAATTCTTTTAGATTATAACAATAGTAATAGTGATAATAACAAGGAGGAGAAGGTGGGAAGAGGAAAGGGGAAAGAGATGAGGATGATGAAGAAGAGAAAGAAGAAGAAGAGGAAGAATTATTATTAAAGAGTAGGAGGGGAGGGGAAGGAAACCAATAAAAACAGCAACAACTGTAGTGGAGATTGTGATGTATCACCCAGATGCTCCTACTCTTCAGGATCACATTACTCATTCCTCCAGCTCTTGAGGGTGATGACAGCTGCTGTGTTTACAGCTGAGTACCTTTCTCAGGGATTACTCTCAGCTGAAAAGAACTGACTCTCAAAAAGTCATAGCCCCTTACCAGGAGGCAGTTTGCATCCAACGACTGGTGAGTATGGTGGGATAAAACTTTGGCCTCTTTTTCCTAATTTGGGACAACTCTGCAGGACCACACCAACTCCAGAGCTCCCTGTGGAATCAGTTAATTTATTTGCTGTGACTGAATCACTGCTCGACTTCTCTTTCTACACAATTCTGCTTCTCTTGCTCCCCACACCTGTTGAACCCAAAACAACTCCCCAGTAAAATTTCTGCAAGGAAATCACTCACAGTCTCATTCCTGGAAAAAATCAACATGCAACAATATCACTTATATATTGCTAACTACATGTCAAGTGCTCTTGTGTTTTACATGTTAACACATTTAATCCCCAACATTATGGCGTAGGTGAAATTATTATGCCCATTTTACAGATGAAAAAATGGAGGCACAAAGGAGTTAAGTAACTTGCCTGAGTTCTCATCTCTAGTATCAGAGAGAGCCAGGGTTTGTACCCAGGCACTTTGACTCTAGACTACATGCTCTTACTACTATGTTCTAATGCCTTTTAACCTTGATACCACGGAGTTTGATTTCCAAGGTGTTTTTTAAAAGATAACAGGCTTTCTGACTTCAATTTCTTTAAATTTGATTTTGTTCAGAAAATAACACCTCTTTTCATAGGTACATTAAGAAGAAATTACTATGCTAAAATTAGAGTTTCTGCCCTCCCCACCCCCTTTAGTTTTTCAATATGAGAGCCAAAAGAATCCTGTCAAAACTAAGTGGTTTCCTGCCATCGCTCAGATCAAAAGCCTTAAATAGTTTTCCATCTCACTCACAACTAAAGCCAAATTCTTATATGGTAGACTAATTTTTTATTCAAAAATATATGTTCTTCCTCTCTACTGGGCCCATTCCTATATGTTCTTCCCTGTAGAAGGAGTACACTTCCCAGCTCATTGACATCAAGCTTGCCCATGTGACTTGCTTTTGCCAATGGATTATGACTACAATATGCCATATATGAGCATAGGCTTTGAAAACTATCACATGGTTCCACTATGGCTCTTTTACTTCTGCCACAAGAACAGGTGTCCCATATATGATTTACTCCTTTAGCCTGGTTACCTGAAGGAAGACAATATAAACAGAATCACAGACAGCCCATGAAAGGGATGTAAAATGAGCCCAAAATTTTGTTGTTGTAAGCCTCTGAGATTTGGGTATTTTTTAAAAACCCACAGCATAACTTAGAGAAAGCTGGCTCATGTATCTTATTGAAACCATTGATGACACAATATATCCTGCTCTCTGGCCTTACATCTTTGACTTTTTTTCCTACCAGCACACATAAAGACTGAAATCCAGCCTTGAATCAGTTTAATTCATGATTGTATTAGGGACCCCATCTTGGCTGGGCACGGTGGCTCACGCCTGTAATCTCAGCACTTTGGGAGGCTGAGGTGGACAGATCACGAGGTCAGGAGTTTGAGACCAGCCTGGCCAAAATAGTGAAACCCCGTCTCTACTAAAAATACAAAAATTAGCTGGGTGTGATGGCACTTGCCTGTAGTCCCAGCTACTCTGGAGGCTGAGGCAGGAGAATTTCTTGAACCCAGGAGGCAGAGGTTGCAGTGAGCCGAGATCATGCCACTGCACTCTAGCCTGGGCAACAGAGCGAGACTCTGTCTCAAAAAAAAAAAAAAAAAAAAAGACCCCATCTTGTCCCCACCCCACATACCCAACAGCTTCCTTAAGGACCACCCTGAACACCCCAGGAATTGGTCAGTTGTGCCTCTTTTTAACTACCATAGCACTCTCTATTTTTCTATTGTAGCACATAGTACACCATAATAAATTGGTGATTTAAATGACCTCCCCCTGTACCCTATCCAGCCTCTGAATTCTTGGGCAGGTACTATATCTTGTAAACTTTTATACTTCTATAACTAGGGCACACCACTGTGCTCACTGTATGAAAGCAGTTGAATAAGTCAGTGTATTAGCATTATGTTTCATTTATTAATCTTTTATTTTTCATTACATTTTAGTACAGCAAAGCAAATACAGGTAAACATCAGTATTCTTCATACAATAGCAGACAGAAAGGGAAGCCAGCCACAATTTAGAGTGCCTTTTCAGTTGTTGTTATATTTGTTTGTTAGTTTATCACTTTAAGCTAGATTATTTTACTGGCGAATTTTTTTCAAGCTTTCAAGGAAAAGCCTATATCTATAGCTATATGCTATATTCTTTTCTAGATAATGCAACAAGATGGAAAGATTTCCAAAACATTTTATAGAGCTATCAAAACTCATACCAAAATACAACAGAGACAGCAAGTGGTCAATCACATTTACCCAATCAGACAATATATTAAAACAGTTGAAACATTTCCAGACACCACACCAGAACTAAATATGAAAAGACATAAATATAACTGGAACACAAATACCAAATACAATATGTACCCACCCCCACCCCCCAATACATGAGAACTGAGGCTCAAAGGCCCCTCCTTGCAAGGCCCCTCTGACTGCCATGCATTCCTCTACCTGAAGTTGTGAACAAAGATTTGCCTGTGCCCAACATCAGCTCTATTGGCCTCATCTTCCATTGCCTCCCTGTACTGCTGTGGCCAGTCCTGTGGTTCCTTTCTGTGGATTCTGGCCACATATCGCAAGGCTTTCATCTTAGAGGTTTCCAAACGGGCTCTAGGACCCCATACAAACTCATATTGCACTGGATCACTGTCAGGAACCCGTAAACTGTCTATATAGCGCTGACTCAAGTATCTGCAGGTAATCACATGCTTTCTCCCAGCTTGAACCCCTAAGCCCCGCAGAAAGGCCCAGACTGCAGACTCCCTGGCATGGTTGCCCATAATAAAGATGAAGCTTAGGACCTGCATCAAAAAGTTGTTGCCAGGCCTGTTTGGACTGTCTACGATCTCCTCAGTTTCTTCCATCTCCCTTCGGTTGTACAGAGTATAGGAGTGATTCCTGGGATCAAGTACCACTAGTTCTGTCCCATAGACATGGTTCAGGGTGCGGGCAGCACGATTCAGGAGGTCAGGGAACACTTTGCTGCACTCTCGGCCAATGTAGTACAGAATTCCTTTCTTTGGTATAGGCAGCTTAGTTGAATCCATAAGCAGAAATAACTGCACCAGCTTCCTTGCCTTGCTCTCCAATCTTGACTCAGGCCATGAATGTGGGGCATATTTTGAGGAATAGCTGGAAACCTCTGAATCAGGGGATGGTACCTCTGCAGCAGCTTCCTCAAAAAAGGGCCTCCTAAAGTGAGGGAGAGCCTGCCAACCCTCAGCAAAGGCTCTGGCAGCATCTTCTTCCAGAGCTTCGTTGTATTTCTCTGGCCAATCCATAGGATCTTTGTTATATATTTTCGCCATGAACTTCAGAATTTTCATCTTGGTGGTTTCTAGGTGGGATCTTGGGCCCCAGAAAAACTCATACTCCACTGGTTTACAGTCAGTTACTGGCCTGTAGTCTAAGTAACGCTGCCATACAAACTCCACAGACAGAAGTCTCTTTGGGTTCCCAAAAATGGAAAGCCTCCTTTCCCGCTGCACCCCCATCCTCCAGAGCATTTCCCAAATCTCAGCCTCCTTGGCTTGGTTGCCATTCAGGAATATTTGGCCTAGAATCATCATCAGGAGGCCCATCTTTGGCCCATTTGGGCTCTCTTCTAACCCTTCAAAGGGCACAGGTCCCAGTTTGTTTAACAGAATGTAGGTGTGTGCCTCAGGGTCAAGTTCTCTCAATTCAAACCTAAAAATGCACTCCAGGTGGGCTGCTGCTCGCCTGAGTATCTCAGGAAACTGGTTGCGATATTCTTTAACAATATATTCCCGCATTTCAGACTCCCGGATAGGGTACTTGCTCTGATCCTTCACCAGCAGGAACTGCAACAGCTCAGCTACGTTCTGTTCCATAGGGTCTTGGGGCTTCAGGGTAATTGCAACCCGGGAAGTATTGAGGCCCATAATACTAATGGAGTTGGGGCTCTCACAGTCTCTCAGGACCTCGAATTCTATAGGGCCTTCTGCACCCTTAGGACCCTCAGAATCTGAGTCCACGGAGGCCTTGGTTACCCTAGGGCTTGGCAAAACAAGGGAACACTTGGAGGGGTTCCGGTCCACAGAAGCACTAGAGCTAAACAATGTGCTCGGGCCCTCACCAGGGTTAGGCAGCACGGAGCTTCCCGGTCCGTCAGGGGCGGTGGGCTGCACTAAGGTGCTTGCGCCCTCACCAGGAGTGGGCGGCACGGAGGTGTCCGATCCATCAGAGGCGGTGGGCGGCACAGAGGTGCTCAGTCCCTCACCGGGGATTGGCAGTACGGAAGTGCTTGGTCCCTCACCGGGAGTGGGCGGCACGGAGGTGCTCAACTCCTCAGTGGCGGTGGGCGGCACGGAGGTGCTCAGTCCCCCACCAGGGGTGGGCGGCACGGAGGTGCTCGATCCCTCACCAGCAGTGGGCTGCACGGAGGTGCTCAGGCCCTCGGTGGCGGTGGGGGGCACGGAGGTGCTTGATCCCTTACCGCGGGTGGGCACCAAGGAGATGCTTTGTCCGTCAGAGGCGGCGGGCAGCACGGAGGTGCTCGGTCCCTCACCAGGAGTGGCCGGCACGGAGGTGCTCGGTCCCTCATCACGGGTGGGTGGCACGGGGGTGCTTAGGCCCTCAGTGGCGGTGGGCGGCACGGAGGTGCTCGGTCCCTCATCAGGAGTGGCCTGCACGGAGGTGCTCAGGCCCTCAGTGGCGGCGAGCGGCACGGAGGTGCCTGGTCCCTCACCAGGTGTAGGCAGCACGGAGGTGCTTGGTCCCTCATCAGGGGTGGGCACCACGGAGGTGCTTGGTCCCTCATAGGCTGTGGGCGGCACGGAGGTGCTCGTTCCCTCACCAGGGGTGGGCGGCAGGGAGGTGCTCGGTACCTCAGAGGCGGTGGGCGGCACGGAGGTGCTAGGTTCCTCAGAGGAAGTGGGCGGCCTGGAGGTGTTCCGGCCCTCAGAGGCGGCAAGCGTCACAGAGGTGCACAGCCCCTTAGAGATGGTGGGAGGCCCGGAGGTGCTTAGGCCCTCACTGGGGGTGGGCAGCACGGAGGTGCCAGGTCCCTCAGAGATGGTGGGCTGCCCGGAGGCGCTTGAGGCCTCAGAGATGGTGGGCGGCACAAAGGTGCTTGGGCCCTCAGCGGAGGTGGGCAGAACGGAGGTGCTTGGGCCCTCAGAGGCGCAGAGGCCCTGGAGGATCTGGGAATCGCTGGGACCCTGGGGGACGTCTGAGCCTGGCACATCAGCGGGGAGACCGGGGGCATTAGGGGCCTGCATTTCGCCCCAGCTGCTGTTGTGCGCAGTAGCCTTTGCAACGCGGCGGCGGCGGCGGCGCGAATTCTGGCTTACCAGAGACATGGTCCTGCCCACCGGCGTTGGCGTGTAGGAGCAGACACCGACAGGCCCGCGATCTGGCAGAGAGGACGGGAGGTGTGTAGGTGCCTCGGCACAAAACTGCCGCTAGCGGTAATGATGTTGCTGCTGCTGCCAGAACCAAAGTTCCAAGCAACTGCTGAAGCTGAAATTAGAGGTGGTGAAAAAGGCAGGCACTGGCCAGCAGTGAATGCTAGTCTCACTGTACTCTGCTTCTCACACCCCGCCCTCTGCCGCAGTCCGCGCAGGCGCAGACTGGCTCTGCGGCAAGGCGAAATCGCCCCGCCCCGCCCCTCCCCTGGGCCTGAGAAAGTGGATGCGGTGGTTCTGCACCAAAGGAGAGCACTAGCAGAAGGGAAACTTTGGTAGGGTGAAGCAAGGAGCTTAGAGTAGATGCATTAGGGAGTAAAAATGGAAATAATAATAAATACTTCTCAGATTTAGGGTACGATTGGAGGGCTTCTACACAGAGTGCCAGGCACTTAATAGATTCTCAAAATTGGTAAATATCATTGAGATTTGCAGTTTTCCCGAAGCTGTTTCAAAGAAAATGTGCATTGTCTCTGGAAGGGTAGAACCCCCATCCCTGACCATGTCTCTTCTATCACTTTCTCCATTTATGTGTCTAACTCCTCCCCTAATGTTGTGAGCTAGAAAGAACTCTTTCCTAGAGGGTCTGAATGCCTGAAATTTAGTACCAATTAGGGAGCTTCGAACACGCTTGAAAAGCCCAACATTCCCAGCCCAAACTTTCCCAGTCACCCAGGCTTTAGTGGGAAAGCCACTAAAACTCTTGAAAATTTGTTTAATTCTTTCACTCCACAATCACCTGCTCATTTAATAGAGCTTTTGTGAAAGTCAGTTGAGATACCGAGTGTTAAGGGATGTGTTACCTGCTCTGTTTTGCTCTATTACTCTAGCACTTTTGAGCAGATCCAACCCTGATCCCTTTATTCATTCACTCAACAAACACTGGTCATCTATCCCGAAGTTACAGTTAATCTCTTTGTCATCAAGGAGCACCCGATGTAAAAATGGGAGTCAGAGAAAAAGTAAAGCTAAATTTTCTAGAAGTTTGTAAAGAATGCAGGGGATGGCAGGGTCAGTTCTACCTGTAGATGCAGAAAAGGCTTCATAAAAGAGGAGATGTTTAAAAAGATGAGTGGGTAGATATTTACCAAAAGGACAAGGATGAGAAAATCATTCCAACTGAGAGTAGCACGGCAGCAGTGAGTAAGAAAGAAAACACTGAAGAGGACGGGCAGGCTGTTTTTAGAAGTAGGGGAGAGAGAGAGAGGAAGAGAGATAGAGGGAAAACACTAACTTTCTGACACTCACACAACCACTACAATTCAGCTTACCACTATTGACCCTTTATTGATATGTTTATATCTTGCTGCAAACATTTATTATATGTTGTCTTTCTTTATATCTTCTCAAAAATCTGGGAGTATACTTTTGTCTTTTTTTCTTTTTTTTTATACTTTAAGTTTTGGGGTACATGTGCAGAATGTGCAGATTTGTTACCTAGGTATACACGTGCCATGGTGGTTTGCTGCACCCATCAACCCATCATCTACATTAGGTATTTCTCCTAATGCTATCCCTCCCCTATCTCCCCACCTCTTGACAGGCCCTGGTGTGTGATGTTCCCCTCCCTGTGTCCATGTGTTGTAATTGTTCAATTCCCACTTATGAGTGAGAACGTGTGGTGTTTGGTTTCCTGTTCTTGTGTTAATTTTCTGAGAATGATGGTTTCCAGCTTCATCCATGCCCCTGCAAAGGACATGAACTCATCCTTTTTTATTGCATAGTATTCCATGGTGTATATGTGCCATGTTTTCTTTATCCAGTCTGTCATTGATGGGCATTTGGGTTGGTTCCAATACTTTTTTTTAATACGTCTTTAGGAAAGGGAAAATAACTGGCTACAGTCACAATGTGTCACCATCTCTGTCTCCAATTGGAGAAGCAATCCCTTATATGAATAACCAGTTTCGGTTCTGTGAAGTCCAATGCAGTTTTTATGCCTGGGGCCTATTCAGAATGGGAGGCACAAAAAAACCTAAGATATTTCTAAGCTTTAGCAACAGATATTCCTAACCTAGGGTACAGTGATTTTTAAAGACCCTGAAGTTGTTCAAACCTATAAACTAAAAATTTTTACCTCTAGAAATATATTCTAAAGAAATAATAAGATATATGTGCAAATATTTAGCTAAAATAACTTTTATTATATAATTTGTTCTAGTATAACAGAGCTGAAAACTAAATGAATGTTAAATAACTAAAGAGTATTTGAAGAAATTATGGTACTAAAAATGGAATACCAGTAAGTCATTATAATGATATCAAAGAATTCCATTTCTAATAATGTATAGTTGATTGCAGCAGCCCTGCGGAAAAAAAACCCCAGAAATTTAGGTAAAGAAACCCTTTTATGGCAACAAAGGCTACCAATATAGCATCAGAAACCTATAAAGGCAATGAGGACTTCAAGAGTAATGATCTCAGAAAAAAGGGAAGTGCAAAGAGGTGAGTCTTACATTGTATACAAGTTTGTCACTTAAGGAATTTAATGATTTGTAAGCTGATAATTTGGAATTCTGAACTTACTGAAATAGTACATCAAAAATGAAGGCAAAATAAATACATGTTCAGAAATCAGTGCTGAGTAAATTGATCACCAGTACACCCACACTGAGGAAATACTGAAAGGTTCTCCTCTGAAACTGAAGAGATGCAAGAAGCGAACAGTAATAGAAAGGATAAATATGTGGGTAAACAGACATATTGACAATGTAAAACAATAATAATAATATGTTTTGTGTAATTTATATGTAGAATTAAAATATAGGAAACAAGTGAGTGCAAGAGATTTGGGGACTGATCAAGAAAAATATATACTACCACACGTTTTCAGTAACACACAATGAGTTTTTGTTGTTTGTCTGTTTTAGAATTTCAACTTTTATTTTAGATTCTGGGGATACATACACAGGTTTGTTATATGGGTATATTGCATGATGCTGAGGTTTGGAAAACAGATGATCTCATCACCCAGGTAGTGAGCATAATACTCAACAGTTTTTCAACCCATGACCCCCTTTCTTCTTCCCCCTTCTAATAGTCCTCCAGTGTCTGTTTTTGCCACCTTTATGTTGATGAGTACCCAATCTTTAGCTCCAACTTATAAATGAGAACATATGGTATTTGGTTTTCTGTTTCTGTGTAAATTCGCTTAGGATAATGGCCTTCAGCTGCATCCATGTTGCTGCAAAGGACATTATTTCATTAGTTTTTATGGCTGTGTTGTATTCCATGGTATATATGTACCACATTTTCTTTAGCAAATATCAGTGATAGACACCTAAGTTGACTCCATGTCATTGCTCTTGTTAATAAGGCTGCAAACAACTATGAGTGTATGTGTCTTTTTGGTTGAATGATTTCTTTTCTTCTGGATATATGCCCGATAATGTGATTACTGAATTGAATGGTAGTTGTGTTTTATGTTCTTTGAGAAATCTCCAAACTGCTTTCTATAGTGGTTGAACTATATATAGTGTTTATTATTACTAATTTACATTCCCACCAACAGTGTATAAGCATACGAGTTTCATTTGGTCAACCCTTTGACAGGTTTGCAAGGGCATGGGGTTAATCAAAGTCTGAGATCTTCCAGAGGCTGGTGGGAGGTCACAACCTAGAAAATGAGAGGACAAGCTAACTGGAGAGAGGGAGGGGAATCAAAGAGATGGCTTATACATGTAGCGATGTCTCTCAGCAGCAAGACAGGGAGTTGCTGGGTCAGAGATCTCTGAAGGGCAGCAGTAGGTTAGGGTTTTTATCTCCTGGAGTTTATCCTATCTATAGCTAACAGATGATTGTAGTTTCACAGGGACATGCAAAGAAGGCAGCCTCTAAATGGCTAACAATCTACTTATTGGTCTATATTTAAAACAATTGATGTGTAAAAAATTGAGTTTGGTACTGGCAGAATCAATATATAGAGACTATCTTTGGCTCATGCATATAACAGTCCATCCCCTGGCCCAATGTTGTCTTATAATTAAAATTGTATGTTATTTTGCAGTGCCTAAGTTTCTTGCCAGAAATAAAGGAGACAGAATCCTATAAGGGTACAAACAAGGATTTCAAAACCCTTTCATAGCCAATCTGCCCACGTAATGGAGGAAAGCCAGGGGAATCGATTAGAAAAAGGAGCAGATTTTAATTTGTTCAATTGTTCAGTCAGTAGAGTGACATTATAACCCCTTTGCTACATGTTCCTGTCTATCCATAATGCTAGAATCAGATTGGCAGAAGCAAGTCCAACATGCAGTTAAATTTGTCATTATATGTGTTTCTGTGACTTAAGATATCTGCAGGTTTAGGCAAATGAATGTTCCTCCTTATTTGGATTGGTGTGCCTTGCTTGAGTTTCCGGGTGATTGCCAGTAGTAAATAGCATCAGAATGTTTGCATGGGTCTAGAGTAAGCTTCACAGTATCTCTTGGCAGTTTTTAAAAAGTTATTAATTTATACATGCACCAAATTTGATTCTGAACTGTGGAGTACTCACATATGTGATCCTCAAAGGTAGGGCAAATTATTTCAAAAATAACCATCAATCATATTATAAATTTGGCCTATTTATTTCCCTGTTTATGATGATGTTGTTCTAATTTTAGTGGGAGGCCACCTGTTCCATCATTTTTATTCCAGGGAAACTTTTCTAGGGAGTCCATTTGTATAGCTCGAATAAGTTCAAGGGTGACCTCTTTAGAGGTGGCAATGTGATGTCACCAATAAGTTTCTTCCCAGGTTAGCTTTGATATCAGGCTTCTCATTATTGTTTCTATCTCCTGTATGGTGGGATGTATACTGAAAGATTGAATGTACAAATGGACAATGGTTGGACCATATATAAAAAGTAGAACAGTGACCCGCAACCTTCAACAACTTGCCTAGGAAACCAACCCACTTAACTACAGTAAGCAGCCCAGAGCATTAGCCTGCTATAAGTCAGACTTGTAGGATGTCAAATTTTTATCTTTAGTAACAATTCAAGGAAATAAACAATAATTTCTATAACAATCAGCCCAAAATGGCCAGGACTTGATTAATAACTGACTACCTTCTTAATTCTTGTCTCTGCATCCAACTTAGATCCAACCAGAAAAAGCCAAGTATGCACCTCTAACTAATCGCATAGGATGATCCACTTCTAGTTAGCCTGCCTACATCTTCCCCATGCCAATAATCTCTATTCAGTGTGTAGCTGTAGCCTTTCTTTTTCGCGCTACAAACTTTCTCACTGTTTTGCTCACCATTGAGTCTCTGCCAAAACACAGATGACAATAGTTGACTCCCTTACTATAGCAAGCTCTGAATAGCCTTTGCTTTTCACATTTGGGTGGTCTTTGTTGTTCCCACAGTATACTATTTGGGATACTCCAGAAAAGTAACATTGGTCATAAATCTTCCTCAAATATTTCCCAAGACTTTATTAATGGCAGTTTTGGCAGACCCTGCAAAATTTCTAATAAATACAAGCAAGTAGTTATCAATTTGTGTAGAGAAACTACCATGCAGAGAGCAGTTGGAGTTCTCCATGGGATCAAACATGTTTTTAGTAGGAATTGTCTTTGCTGTAACCCTCAAGAGCTACGATTATTTACCATGGACAGCCAGTCTTGCAATTGTTGTAGAGCCAGCTTCCATTGAGTGTTATGTAAAACTTGCAGTTGGTATTGTAAGAAGGTTACTATAGAAGAATTCTTAAGCTGATTATAGTCCCTGATTTATCAGATGTGCCTTGGCCCAGGTAATATTACATAGTAAATATTGCTTTACTTGTTTAAATTAATCGGCCACCAGAGAGGAAATCCATAGTAAGATGCCCCTGGCCACTTAGTACAATATTTTCATAGCTCTTGAGGGTAACAGCAAAGACAATTCCTACTAAAAACATATTTGATCCCATGAAGAACTCTAACTGCTCTCTAAATAGGAGTTTCTCTACCCAAATTGACAACTACTTGCTTATATTTATTAGAAATTTTGCAAATATTTAAAAAATACCAAAATTGCCATGAATAAACGCTTGAGAAATATTTGGGAAAAATTTCTGCCCAATGTTATTTTTCTGGGGTATCCCAAATAATATACTGTTGGAATAACAAAAACCACCCAAATGTGGAAAGCAAAGGCTATTTATTAATAAGTTGTACACAGAGTCTCAATAAATGGGGTTTGTACTAGAGGGGAGCAAGAACATCATAATTAATAAGAAAAGACACCAATAGTTGTAAGGACTTATATTGTTTACATTTATCATCATCCCAGGGATTATTACAAAGTATAATTTTGTTTTGGCAATCCTTTAGTGTTTGTTGTTATTGTCTTGAAATACAGCATTTCTAATTTGATTACATAAATCACAAGTATCTTGGTTATAATAATGGGTACATACTGTCTCTGGGCATTCCTTAAATGGAACTCAAAAGGTCATGGCCCATTGATCTATTTACTCAATGGCAGTAGTTAATAATAGTGAGTTTTGTCTAATTTGAAGAAAATGATGGTACATAGGGCTTAGAAAGCATTTGTACGGGTCACAAGTGGTATCTTAGAGTCTGGCTTAGCCATACTGAGTGCTGCTAAGAGTAGCAGAGAAAAAATGGGGAGTGCTAACTTCAGAGGTGATGTCTGTGGTTATGTTAGTAGGATTGGACAACCTAAATAGTTAATTGTGTGGTTCCCATTGTTCCCAAACTGACCCATGTTGTGTGTCTCCCTGTGATGAACCTGTGGCATGTTGTTTCCAAACATACCTTGTCAGCAGTAGGGTATAGATTATCAGAGATAGGGTGATCCAGCAATTGATGTGTAGCCAACACTGGTGAGCATAGTAACTTCTTAAGCAAGGACAGCACCGCAAAAATGGAGTAAAATTAGAGGTTATCTCCAACCAGAAGTATGAGATCTGGTTGTTCCCTGGGTATCACCAATGATGTTACCCAGTCCATGGAGATTAGTTCCACCTTCTGGGTGTTGGGAGTAGTTCCAGGTTTGTTTCACAGTGCCTTTAGTGGGGCAAAGTACATGGATGACAGATAAGGGCACCTCTAACTCCAGATAGTTGTGGATGGTTTGCTCAACTTATTTGAAGAGATGAGTGAATGCAGACTGAGGATGATTCCAGAGTAAGTGGTCCACAGTGAGGGGAAAGTGGCTAGGGTCTGGTTTTCTATGAGGAAGAAGTGCAAGGTAAAAGTACCATATGGGTGTTTCTTTGTTGTAGGTGGCAATTTATGGGCTCTCATGTTTATGAAAACTGGTAATAGGTTGTGTTTGGTGTGAGTATGTACACCAACAGAGGTCACAACATCTCTGTTGGCGGTCTCCTCATTTGTTGTAAATTTCAGTGTAGTGTAGTTAAGCCATATAATCAGGGCTACAGGTACTATTTTTGACCACTGGGGGGACCATTGTTCTCCAGGTTGTTTCATTTTTTTTCTTTTTATTATACTTTAAGTTCTAGGTACATGTGCACAATGTGCAGGTTAGTTACATATGTATACATGTGCCATGTTGGGGTGCTGCACCCATTAACTCATCATTTAACATTAGGTGTACCTCCAAATGCTATCCCTCCACCCTCCCCCCACCCCACAACAGGCCCCGGTGTGTCATGTTCCCCTTCCTGTGTCCATGTCTTCTCATTGTGGTTTTGATTTGCATTTCTCTGATGGCCAGTGATGATGAACATTTTTTCATGTCTTTTGACTGCATAAATGTCTTCTTTTGAGAAGTGTCTGTTCATATCCTTCACCCACTTTTTGATGGGGTTGTTTGTTTTTTTCTTGTAAATGTGTTTGAGTTCATTGCAGATTCTGGATGTTAGCCCTTTGTCAGATGAGTAGATTGCAAAAATTTTCTCCCATTTTGTAGGTTGCCTGTTCACTCTGATGGTAATTTCTTTTGCAGTGCAGAAGCTCTTTAGTTTATTTAGATCCCATTTGTAAATTTTGGCTTTTGTTGCTACTGCTTTTGGTGTTTTAGACATGAAGTTCTTACCCATGCCTATGTCCTGAATGGTATTGCCTAGGTTTTCTTCTAAGGTTTTTATGGTTGTAGGTCTAATATTTAAGTCTTTAATCCATCTAGAATTAATTTTTGTGTAAGGTGTAAGGAAGGGATCCAGTTTCAGCTTTCTCCATATGGCTAGCCAGTTTTCCCAGCACCATTTATTAAATAGGGAATCCTTTCCACATTTCTTGTTTTTGTCAGGTTTGTCAAAGATCAGATAGTTGTAGATATGCAGCATTATTTCTGAGGGCTCTGTTCTGTTCCATTGGTCTGTACCTCTGTTTTGGTACCAGTACCATGCTGTTTTGGTTACTGTAGTCTTGTAGTATAGCTTGAAGTCAGGTAGCGTGATGCCTCCAGCTTTGTTCTTTTGGCTTAGGATTGACTTGGCAATGTGAGCTCTTTTTTGGTTCCATATGAGCTTTAAAGTAGTTTTTTCCAATTCTGTGAAGAAAGTAATTTGTAGCTTGATGGTGATGGCATTGAATCTATAAATTACCTTGGGCAGTATGGCCATTTTCACGATATTGACTCTTTCTACACATGAGCATGGAATATTCTTCCATTTGTTTGTATCTTCTTTTATTTCATTGAGCAGTGGTTTGTAGTTCTCCTTGAAGAGTTCCTTCACATCCCTTGTAAGTTGGATTCCTAGGTATTTTATTCTTTTGAAGCAATTGTGAATGGGAGTTCACTCATGATTTGGCTCTCTGTTTGTCTGTTATTGGTGTATAAGAATGCTTGTGATTTTTACACATTGATTTTGTGTCCTGAGACTTTGCTGAAGTTGCCTATCAGCTTAAGGAGATTTTGGGCTCAAATGATGGGGGTTTCTAGATATACAATCATGTCATCTGCAAACAGGGACAATTTGACTTCCTCTTTTCCTAATTGAATACATTTTATTTCCTTCTCCTGCCTGACTGCCCTGGCCAGAACATCCAACACTATGTTGAATAGGAGTGGTGAGAGAGGGCATCCCTGTCTTGTGCCAGTTTTCAAAGGGAATGCTTCCAGTTTTTGTCCATTCAGTACGATATTGGCTGTGGGTTTGTCATAGATAGCTCTTATTATTTTGAGATATGTCCCATCAATACCTTATTTATTGAGAGTTTTTAGCATGAAGGGGTGTTGAATTTTGTCAAAGGCCTTTTCTGCATCTATTGAGATAATTATGTGGTTTTTGTCATTGGTTCTATTTATATGCTGGATTATGTTTATTGATTTGCATATGTTGAACCAGCCTTGCATCCCAGGGATGAAGCCCACTTGATCATGGTGGATAAGCTTTTTGATGTGCTGCTGGATTCGGTTTGCCAGTATTTTATTGAGGATTTTTGCATCAATGTTCATCAGGGATATTGGTCTAAAATTCTCTTTTTTTGTTGTGTCTCTTCCAGGCTTTGATATCAGGATGATGCTGGCCTCATAAAGTGAGTTAGGGAGGATTCCCTCTTTTTCTATTGATTGAAATAGTTTCAGAAGGAATGGTGCCAGCTCCTCCTTGTACCTCTGGTAGAATTCGGCTGTGAATCCATCTGGTCCTGGACTTTTTTTGGTTGGTAAGCTATTAATTATTGCCTCAATTTCAGAGCCTGTTATTGGTCTATTCAGAGATCCAACTTCTTCCTAGTTTAGTCTTAGGAGGGTGTATGTGTCGAGGAATTTATCCATTTCTTCTAGATTTTCTAGTTTATTTGCATAGAGGTGTTTGTAGTATTCTCTGATGGTAGTTTTTATTTCTGTGGGATCGGTGGTGATATCCCCTTGTCATTTTTTATTGTGTCTCTTTGATTCTTCTCTCTTTTCTTCTTTATTAGTCTTGCTAGCGGTCTATCAATGTTGTTGATCTTTTCAAAAAACTAGCTCCTGGATTCATTAATTTTTTGAAGGGTTTTTTACATCTCTATTTCCTTCGGTTCTGCTCTGATCTTAGTTATTTCTTGCCTTCTGCTAGCTTTTGAATGTGTTTGCTCTTGCTTCTCTGGTTCATTTAATTGTGATGTTAGGGTGTCAACTTTAGATCTTTCCTGCTTTCTCTTGTGGGCATTTACTGCTACAAATTTCCCTCTACACACTGCTTTGAATGTGTCCCAGAGATTCTGTTATGTTGTGTCTTTTTTCTCGTTGGTTTCAAAGGACATCTTTATTTCTGCCTTCATTTCGTTATGTACCCAGTAGTCAATCAGGAGCAGGTTGTTCAGTTTCCATGTAATTGAGCAGTTTTGAGTGAGTTTCTTAATCCTGAGTTCTAGTTTGATTTCAGTGTGGTCTGAAATACAGTTTGTTATAATTTCTGTTCTTTTACATTTGCTGAGGAGTGCTTTACTTCCAACTATGTGGTCAATTTTGGAATAGGTGTGGTGTGGTGCTGTAAAGAATGTATATTCTGTTGATTTGGGGTGGCGAGCTCTGTAGGTGTCTATTAGGTCTGCTTGGTGCAGAGCTGAGTTCAGTTTCTGGATATCCTTGTTAACTTTCTGTCTCGTTGATCTGTCTAATATTGACAGTGGGGTGTTAAAGTCTCCCATTATTATTGTGTGGGAGTCTAAGTCTCTTTTGTAGGTCTCCAAGGACTTGCTTTATGAATCTGGGTGCTCCTGTATTGGGTGCATATAGATTTAGGATAGTTAGCTCTTCTTGTTGAATTGATCCCTTTACCATTATGTAATGGCCTTCTTTGTCTCTTTTGATCTTTGTTGGTTTAAAGTCTGTTTTATCAGAGACTAGGATTGCAACCCCTGCCTTTTTTTGTTTTCCATTTGCTTGGTAGATCTTCCTCCATCACTTTATTTTCAGCCTATGTGTGTCTCCGCACGTGAGATGGGTTTCCTGAATACAGCACACTGATGAGTCTTGACTCTTTATCCAATTTGCCAGTCTGTGTCTTTTAAATGGAGCATTTACCCCATTTACCTTTAAGGTTAATATTGTTATGTGTGAATTTGATCCTGTCATTATGATGTTAGCTGGTTATTTTGCTCGTTAGTTGATGCGGTTTCTTCCTAGCCTCAATGGTCTTTACAATTTGTCATGTTTTTGCAGTGGCTGGTACCGGTTGTTCCTTTCCATGTTTAGTGCTTCCTTCAAGAGCTCTTTTAGGGCAGGCCTGGTGGTGACAAAATCTCTCAGCATTTGCTTGTCTGTAAAGTATTTGATTTCTCCTTCACTTATGAAGCTTAGTTTGGCTGGATATGAAATTCTGGGTTGAAAATTCTTTTCTTTAAGAATGTTGAATATTGGCCCCCACTCTCTTCTGGCTTGTAGAGTTTCTGCCGAGAGATCCACTGTTAGTCTCATGGGCTTCCCTTTGTGGGTAACCCGACCTTTCTCTTTGGCTGCCCTTAACATTTTTTTCCTTCGTTTCAACTTTGGTGAAACTGACAATTATGTGTCTCGGAGTTGCTCTTCTTGAGGAGAGTCTTTGTGGCCTTCTGCGTATTTCCTGAATCTGAATGTTGGTCTGCCTTGCTAGATTGAGGAAGTTCTCCTGGGTAATATCCTGTAGAGTGCTTTCCAACTTGGTTCCATTCTCCCCGTCACTTTCAGGTACACCAATCAGATGTAGATTTGGTCTTTTCACATAGTCCTATATTTCTTGGAGGTTTTGTTCATTTCTTTTTATTCTTTTTTCTCTAAAGTTCTCTTCTCACTTCATTTCACTCATTTGATCTTCCATCACTGATACCCTTTCTTCCAGTTGATCAAATCGTCTACTGAGGCTTGTGCATTCATCATGTAGTTCTCGTGCCGTGGTTTTCAGCTCCATCAGGTCCTTTAAGGACTTCTCTGCATTGGTTATTCTAGTGAGCCTTTTGTCTAAACTTTTTCAAGGTTTTTAACTTCTTTGCCATGGGTTTGAACTTCCTCCTTTAGCTTGGAGTAGTTTGATCATCGGAAGCCTTCTTTTCTCAACTCGTCAAAGTCATTCTCCATCCAGCTTTGTTCCATTGCTGGTGAAGAGCTGCATTCTTTTGGAGGAGGAGAGGTGCTCTGATTTTTGGAGTTTCCAATTTTTCTGCTCTGTTTTTTCCCCATCTTTGTGGTTTTATCTACCTTTGTTCTTTGATGATGGTGATGTACAGATGGGGTATGGTTGTGGATGTCCTTTCTGTTTGTTAGTTTTCCTTCTAACAGTCAGAACCCTCAGCTGCAGACGTGTTGGAGTTTGCCGGAGGTCCACTCCAGACCCTGTTTGCCTGGGTATCAGCAGCAGAGGCTGCAGAACAGCTGATATTGGTGAACAGCAAATGTTGCTGCCTGATCGTTCCTCTGGAATTGGGGTCAGGGACCCATTTGAGGAGGCAGTCTGTCCGTTCTCAGATCTCCAGCTGCGTCCTGGGAGAACAACTATTCTCTTCACCGCTGTCAGACAGGGACATTTAAGTCTGCAGAGGTTTCTGCTGCCTTTTGTTTGGCTATGCCCTGCCCCCAGAGGTGGAGTCTACAGAGGCAGGCAGGCCTCCTTGAGCTGCAGTGGGGTCCACCAAGTTCGAGCTTCCTGGCCAATTTGTTTACCTACTGAAGCCTCGGCAATGGCGGGCACCCCTCCCCCAGCCTCGCTGCCGCCTTGCAGTTTGATCTCAGACTGCTTTGCTAACAATGAGTGAGTCTCTGTGGGCGTAGGACCCTCCAAGCCATGCGTGGGATATAATCTCCTGGTGTGCCATTTGCTAAGACCATTGGAAAAGCACAGTATTAGTGTGGGAGTGACCCGATTTTCCAGGTGCCCTCTGTCACCCCTTTCTTTGACTAGGAAAGGGAATTCCCTGATTCCTTGCACTTCCTGGTTAAGGTGATGCCTTGCCCTGCTTCGGCTCATGCTCAGTGCACTGCACCCACTGTTCTGCACCCACTGTCTGACACTCACCAGTGAGATGACCCCGGTACCTCAGTTGGAAATGCAGAAATCACCCATCTTCTCTGTTGTTCATGCTGGGAGCTGTAGACTGGAGCTGTTTCTATTTGGCCATCTTGGCTCCACCCTCCCGTTGTATCATTCTTATGCTTTTGCATCATCATAGCTTTGCTCCCACTTATGAGAGAGAACATTTAATGTTTGGTTTTTCATTCCTGAGTTACTTCACTTAGAATAATAGTCTCCAATTCCATCCAGGTTGCTGCAAATGCCATTAATTCATTCTTTTTTATGGCTGTGTAGTATTCAATTGTATATATATATATATATATATATATATATATATATATATATATATATGACAGTTTCTTTATCCACTCATTGATTGGTGGGCATTTGGGCTGGTTCCATGTTTTTTCAATTGCAAATTGTACTGCTATAAACATGCATGTGGAAGTATCTTTCTTGTATAATGGCTGATTTTCCTGTGGGTAGATACCTAGTAGGGGGATTGCTGTATCAAATGGTACTTCTACTTTTAGTTCTTTAAGGAATCTTCACACTGTATCCCATAGTGTTTGTACTAGTTTACATTCCCAGCAGCAATGTAGAAGTGTTCCCTTTCCACTGCATCTATGCCAATATCTATTATTTTTTTATTTTTTCATTATGGCCATTCTTGTTGGAGTAAGGTGGTATCACATTATGGTTTTAATTTGCATTTCCCTGATCATTAGTGATGTTTTTAAGCCAATGTCTAGAAGGGTCCTTCTGATGTTGTCTTCTAGAATTTTTATATTTTCAAGTCATAGATTTAAGTCCTTGATCCGTCTTCAGATGATTTTTGTATAGCATTTGCTTTTGGGTCCCTGGTCATGAAATCTTTTTCTAAGCCAATGTCTACAAGGGTCTTTCTGATGTTATCTTCCATAATTTTTATATTTTCAAGTCATAGATTTAAGTTCTTGATTCATCTTGAGTTGATTTTTGTATAAGGTGAGAGATGAGGATCCAGTTTTATTCTTCTATATGTGGCTTGCTAATTATCTTGGAATAATTTTTTAAATAGGGTGTCTTTTTTCCACTTAGCTTTTTTTTTTCTTTTTTTTTTGGTTTCCTGAAGATCAGTTTGGCTGTAAGTATTTAGGTTTATTTCTGGGTTCTCTATTCTGTTTCAGTGATCTATGTGCTTATTTTTATACCAGTCCCATTTTGTTTCATTGGTCTATGTGCTTATTTTTATGCCAGTCCCATGCTGTTTGGGTGACTATGGACTAATAGTGTAGTTTGAAGTCAGGTAGTGTGATGCCTGCAGATTTGTTCTTTTTGCTTAGTCTTCCCTTTGCTATGCAGGCTCTTTTTCTGGTTCCATGTGATTTTTAGGATTGTTTTTTCTAGTTCTGTGAAGAATGATGGTGGTATTTTGATGGGAATTACATTGAATTCATAGACTGCTTTTGGCAGTATGGTCATTTTCACAATATTGATTCTACCTATCCATGGGCATAGGATGTGTTTCCATTTATTTGTGTCATCTATTATTTCTTTCAGCAGTGTTTTGTAGTTTTTCTTGTAGAGGACTTTCACCTCCTTCGTTAGGTGAATTCTTAAGTATTTTATTCTTTGGCAGCTACTGTAAAAGGGGTTGAGTTCTTGATTTGATTCTCAGCTTCATCGCTGTTGTATATAGCAGAGCTACTGATTTTTATACATTAATTTTCTGTCCTGAAACTTTGATGAATTCATTTATCAGTTCTAGGAGCTTTTTGATGAGTCTTTAGAGTTTTCTAGGTATACAATTATGTCATCAGTAAACAGCAACAGTTTGACTTTCTCTTTACCTATTTGGATGTCCTTTATTTCTTTTTCTTGTTTGATTGTTCTGGCTAGGACTTCCAGTACTATGTTGAATAGAAGTGGTGAGAGTGGGCATCCTTGTCTTGTTCCGTTTCTGAAAGGGAATGCTTTCTACTTTTCCCCATTCAATATTATGTTGGCTGTGGGTTTGTCATAGATGACTTTTATTACACTGAAGTATGTCCTTTGTATGCCGACTTTTTTGAGGATTTTAACCGCAAATGTATGCTAAGATTTGTCAAATGCTTTTTCTCCATCTATGGAGATGATTATGTAATTTTTTAAATTCTGTTTATGTGGTGTATCACATTTATTGACTTGCATATGTTAAACCATCCCTGCATCCCTGGTGTGAAACTCTCTTGATCATGGTGGATTATATTTTTGATATGCTGTTAGATTCGTTTAGCTAGTGTTTTGTTAAGGATTTTTGCATCTGTGTTTATCAGGGGTACTGGTTTGTCATTTTTTTTTGTTATGTCCTTCACTGCTTTTGGTATTAGGGTGATGCTGGCTTCATAGAATGATTTAGGGAGGATTTCCTCTTTCTCTATCATGTGGAATAGTGTCAATAGGATTGGTACCACTCCTTCTTTGAGTCTCTGGAAGAATTCAGCTGTGAATTCATCTGGTTCTGGACCTTTTTTTGTTGGTAATTTTTAAAAAAATGTTCTTGAGACAGAGTTTCACTCTTTTATTTTTTATTTTATTATTGTTATCATTATTTTGAGATGGAGCCTCAATCTGTCACCCAGGCTGGAGTGCAGTGGTGTGATCTTGGCTCACTGCAACCTCTGCCTCCTGGGTTCAAATGATTATCCTGCCTCAGCCTCCCAAGTGGCTGGGATGACAGGTGCACACCACCATGCCCAGCTAATTTTTGTATTTTTAGTAGAGACGGGGTTTCTCCATGTTGCTCAGGCTGATTTTGAACTCCCGACATCAGGTGATCTGCCCACCTCGGCCTCCCAAAGTGCTGGGATTACAGGTGTGAGCCACTGCACCTGGCCCAGAGTTTCACTCTTGTTGTCCAGGCTGGAGTGCAGTGGTGTGATCTGGGTTCACTGCAACCTCCACCTCCCGAATTCAAGCAATTCTTCTGCCTCAGTCTTCCAAGTAGCTGGGATTACAGGCATGCACCACCACACCTGGCTAATTTTGTATTATCCTTGAGATGGGGTTTCAACATGTTGGCCAGGCTGGTCTCGAACTCCTGACCTCAGGTTATCCACTCAACTATGCCTCCCAAAGTGCTGAGGTTACAGATGTGAGCCACCATACCCAGCCTCTTGGTAATTTCTTAATTACCAGTTCAATCTGGCTGCTTGTTATTGGTCTGTTCAGGATTTCTAATTCTTCCTGATTTAAGCTAGAAGGATTGTATTTTTTCAGGAATTTATTCATCTCCTCTAGGTATTCTAGTTTATGCACATAAAGGTGTTCATAGTAGCCTTTAGTGATCTTTTGTATTTCTGTGGTGTTGGTTGTAATATCTCCCATTTTGTTTCTAATTGAGCTTATTTTAATCCTCTCTCTTCTTTTCTCGGTTAATTTTTCTAATGGTCTATCAATTTTATGTATTATTTCAAAAAACAGCTTTTTGTTTTATTTATTTTTTCTATTTTTTTTGTTTCAATTTCATTTAGTTCTGCTCTAATCTTGGTTCTTTTCTTTCTTCTGCTGGATTCAGGTTTTGGTTTGTTCTTGTTTCTCTAGTTCCTTAAGGTGTGACCTTAGATTCTGTATTTGTTCTTTTTCAGACTTTTTGAGATAGGCATTTAGGACTATGAACTTTCCCCTTAGGACCGCCTTTGCTGTATCCCAGCAATTTTGATAGGTTTTGTCACTATTCTTGTTAAGCTCGAAGAATTTTTTAATTTCCATCTTGATTTCATTGTGGACCCAATGATCATTCAGAAACAGGTCATTTAATTTCCATGTATTTGCATGGGTTTGAAGGTTCCTTTTGGAGTTTATTTCCAGTTTTATTCCACTTCGGTCTGAGAGAGCACTGGATATAATTTCAATTTTAAAAAATTTATTGAGATTTGTTTTGTGGGCTATCATATGGTCTATTTCAGAGAAAGCTCCATGCGCTGATCAATAGAATGTATATTCTGTGGTTGTTGGGTAGAATGTTCTGTAAATATCTGTTAAGTCCATTTGTTCCAGGGTATAGTTTAAATCCATTGTTTCTTTGTTTACTTCCTGCTTTCATGACCTGTCTAGCACTGTCAGTGGAGTATTGAAGTCCCCCACTATTATTGTGTTGCTATCTCATTTCTTAGGTTAAGTAGTAATTGTTTTATAAATTTGGGATCTCTAGTATTAGGTGAATATATATTTAGGATTGTGATATTTTCCTGTTGGACAAGGCCTCTTATTATTATATAATGTCCTTCTTTGTCTTTTTTTTAAACTGCTTTTGCTTTAAAGTTTGTTTCATCTAATATATGAATAGCTACTCCTGACTGTCTTTGGTGTTTATTTGCATGGAATTTTTTTTCTACCTTTTTACCTTAAGTTTATGTGAGTCCTTATGTGTTAGGTGAGTCTGTTGAAAGCAGCAGATACTTGGTTGATAAATTCTTATCCATTCTGCCATTCTGTATCTTTTAAATGGGACATTTAGGCCATTTACATTCAATGTTAGTATTGAGATGTGAAGTACTAATACATTCATCGTGCTGTTGGTTGCTGTATACCTTGGGGATTTTTAAATTGTATTTTTATAGGTCCTGTGAGATTTATGTGTTAAAGAGGTTCTGTTTTAATTTGTTTCCAGGATTTGTTTCAAGAGTTAGAGCTCCTTTTAGCACTACAAGAACTGCTTATTGACTAATTTCAATTGGTACTTTCACCATGTCCTAGATATTGCAAGGATCTTAGAACATTTAAACTACATTTTTTCCACATCTTAATGCTATTGTATCTTTTATATAAATAAGCCAAAGATGTCCTCTGTGTTTTGCTCCTGTTGTGTACCTCTTCAGAGCAGGTCAGGTTCCATTAGCTCAAAACCCCATTGGTGAAAAAAATCAAAGTTTTATATATCCAGTTATTTCAAATATAACTCAAATAAGCATATCTTAACCATTTAGAGGCTAGATGCTTTACAGGCCCTATGAAACTACACCAAACATCTGCTAGTCATAAGTAAGAAAAACCCTAGTGCAAGAAGACTCCAAGCCACTGCTGCCCTTCAGAGCTCTGTAACCCAGAGATTTCCCATCACGTTTCTGAGTAACATCACCTAGGGACATAAGCGGCCTTTTAAATTCCCATCTTCCCCAGGACTTCCCTTGCCCTTTCCCCTTCTAGTTGGTTCCCTTCCTCTTCCTTCACTGACAGCCTCTAGAACAGGCTTGTCTAACCTGTGGCCCATGGGCTGCCTGCAGCCCAAGATGGCTTTGAATGAAGCCCAATACAAATTCATAAACTTTCTTAAAACATTATGAGTTTTTTTTAGATCATCAGCTATCATTAATGTTAGTGTATTTTATGTGTGGCCCAAGACAATTCTTCTGTTTCCAATGTTGCCCAAGGAAGTGAAAAGATTGGACACCCCTGCTTAGAAGATCTCATGGTATAACAAACATTTCCTTTTACCCCTCTAATCTTTGCACTTCCTGCATAAAAACTTGGCAAAGTTTGCCCAAATAAAGCTTATTATGTGCTACTACCATCTCATGTTCATTTTTTTCTTGATATCTCTAATATTCCCTGAATCTCACTATAAGTGATGGAGAGAAAAGGGGAGGATTTGGTGATGAGGTTCAGTCAGTAGAACAATTATTTGGCAAAATGATCTTGGAAAGACTTAAGTAGTTGGGACTGAAATTTGAGAATGAGTTGGATGTGGTGGCTCATGCCTGTAGTCCTCACTACTTGGGAGGCTGAAGCAGAAGGATCGCTTGAGCCCAGGAGTTGGAAGCTGCAATGATCCATGATCATGCCACTACATAATTCAGCCTGAGCAGCAAAGTGACACCCTGTTTCAAAAGAAAACTCAGAATGCCTCAATATTAATTTGACATAGCATCCTCAGTGCTGTACTGCTTTCTATATTTTTATGGTCTTTCCATTAGCCTAGCCAAGTTGTAGCACCAGAATATGTATTAACCCACACTGTTGGAACTGATTTTGGGGGATCAGAGACACGTAGATTCCTGGGAAGGTCAGCCTGCCTGTCTGAATCTCCCACTAGGCAGGCACTGGACATTATAAAACCTGTAGGCCTAAATAAAAAAGGGATGGAGTACACACCTCTGAATAATGGGCTATGGGTGAAGAAACTCTCTGCATTAGGGATGGTCATTTGAGGTACTACAAGGTGAGAGGATCCTTATTCCTGTGGACTTCTGTGGTAGGTAAACAAGACAATAAGTCTGAGATGTAAGGCTGAGGCTAGCCTCCTAAGTGCAATTGGGAAAAAAAAATTTTGTAAATAGTTAGCTTGCCTCTGCTACTGTTGTACTTGGACCTTCTGTCCCAGATAGCATCATTCTAGTCCTATATCCCCAAGGGATATTGAGCCCCCAGTGCTAGGGCTCGGCCAGCTAAAATGTTACTTATAATAACAAAAGAAATGGAAGTTTTTATTGCAGTCCCTCCCAGGTCTCCAAAGAGGTAGATATCTAACTGAACAGATGATCCAAAGGACCAGATATATAGTGAAATCTGCTAGAGGCTCCTTCTTACCAGGACACTCCCTGGAGATGAGGTAGAATCTTGAATTCCTATGAGAGACCAGATGAAGAACAGGACTCCAGAGAAAAAGAATTTTATTCTCTAGAGCAAAATGCAGCACGTTATCACCATGATAGTGATGAGAATAATTTACTTTCTGTTCTGTTGTAATCAACAGCAGAGTAAGAAAGATAGAAAAGGCAAAAAAGGCACAAGGAGAGATTGGTTCTCAGTTGGAGAAATAGGACATTATCTCTCTCACTGTGAGGCCCAATCTTTCCTTAATAACTTTGGAGTCAAGTTAAAAAGTGGCTGCCTGGTTATAGGGAATGTATCCGGTGAGGAGCAAGCTTCACCAATGGGAGCTTAAATTTAATGATTCATTGCCATAGTAAAGAATGGAAAAGTGGTTTCCTTACTAATAAATCCTGCACAGTTATTGTGAGAAGTGGAAATGACTCACAGAGATTTTTAACCCCAATCTGCATACAACTTGTTGATGTGGATTTTTTTCTTTTTTCGTGTGTGTGTGTGTGTGTGTGTGTGTGTGTGTTTGTGTGTGTGTGTGGTAAGAACACAATCTATTTTCTCAGCAATTTTTAAGAATACAATACATTGTTATTAACTATAGTCACCACATTGTACAGTAGATTTCACAAACTTATTCCTCCTGACTGAATTTTATATCCATAGAGCAACGTCTCCCCAATCTCCCTCCCCGCTTCAGCCCCTGGCAATCACCATTCTACTTTCTACTTCTATGCATTCAACTGATGAAAAATTTAAGGCTTATAGGGCTGTTCATCTTGCCTTAGTCCTCATACCATTAGGCTGGTCAAACTGTCAATATAAATCATTAGCTAAGGCAAAAGATTTCCTCCACCAGCTGGGTTTAAATGGGCTTATCAGATAACAGATGGCATGAAGCATGAGGTCATGGCAAATCTGGAGGAGGCTGAATTGAGTCCTGAGTCCATTCAGTTGTTTTTTTGTTTGTTTGTTTTTTGGTGAGGGTGCTTCTGACAAGTATAAGCTCTCTTTACTGGCAATCATGGCTAATACTGAAACAATTCAACAGGCAATGGATGCCCTGAATTTGATAGAAACTCATGAAAGGCAAACTCAGAGTCAACTGTTGCCTGTTAATTCTCCAAACAGTACCCCAATTGGCCTAAATCAAAATTTCTGTAAACAGTGTGGTTATCTCACTCTTAGGTCAAACAAAACAACTGTAGTCAGGCCTCCACTTAAGCATGAACCTCGAGATGAATAAAAGAGGTTATAGAGATCCTTAAGGAACAAAGGGGGACCCAAATTGGAAGAACTCTGATAAATGAACAATTACAGTACCTGTTAGGGTTAGTGGACAATCTTCAGCAGGCTTCTCCTTCAGATGCAGTCTTAACTTTCAGGCCTGCCTCTAATTTCCACCTGTGGCAGGGTTCTGCCCACATGAAAATTCAGTGGTAGATGAAGTAGGACTTTTCCAACACAAAGTAGTTTGAGTGCCAGAAAATATAAAATATCAGAGGTGCTTCCTGGAGCCTTGGACCCAATGGACTGGTAAATATACACCCATAGGTTTTTGGTATAAGTGGCTAGATCTGTTGGACAGGGGTACGCAAATCTCCCTAATCCCAGAAAGTATCCATGCTTTAAAGGAACGCCCTCACGGGATGACTGGCTTTGGAGGAGGATAATAAATTGGGTAATTACCTGCTTAACTATTAAAATTGGAATGGACATCCTCAGGAAGCAGGTAACCTCATGGAAAAATGATTTTTGCTATTGATGGACACTGACTGATAGAATTCAGCTAACCTTGCCCTATTGGTATTGGTGGTAAACATGCCACAGTACTGGATAAGGCAAGACACTGAAGCATAGAATCCCTCATAGACAACTTAACTAAAAAAAGGAGTATTAATTCCTACTACCTCACTTGTCAAGTTTTCATGATGGCCTGTGCTTAAAGTCACTACATGGTGGTGGGTAACTGTAGACTATAGAGATTTAACAAGGCTGTTTCCTTTATTAGAGTACTTCTACCAGATATTGTCACCTTAATGAATGCCATTCAAAAGAACACGTGTAAATAGTTTGGAGTTATAGACTTGACTTACATGTTCTATTTAGTAAAAATTTCAAAGAGTCAACCACAGCTTCTCTTCAAATTTGAAGGTCAACAGTACACATTTTCCTAATTTCTTATGGAAAACTCAAGTAACCTAGGAATTGCGTGTAAGCTTTGCCAACAGGGCCTAAATGCCTGCCCCACACCCCTATCAGAAGCTTAGTTTTGCCATTATATTAATGGCAACTTAGTCGCTGAACCTGGCCAAAAATCTGTCTCACAGGACATCACAACCCTGAAGAAATACTGAGAAGACATGGGCAATTGTTCTGCAGGATGTAGAAGACTCTTCCCTTGGGTATCCCTGTCCAACAGATCTAGCCACTTATACCAAAAACCCATGGGTGTACATTTACCAGTCCATTGGGTCCAAGGCTCCAGAAAGCACCTCTGATATTTTATATTTTCTGGCACTCAAACTACTTTGTGTTGGAAAAGTCCTACTTCATCTACCACTGAATTTTCATGTGGGCAGAACCCTGCCACAGGTGGAAATTAGAGGCAGGCCTGAAAGTTAAGGCTGTGCAGTAGATAAATTATGGGGCTACTCTTAAAACTCGGAAATGTGAATTTTTCTCAATCTGGCAAAACACAAGCTCCCAGCATTTCTACCTCCCACATTGATAAAATAGCGCCAATATTTGGTAGAAATGTTTGGATTCAAGCACCAAGCTGTTCCTCACCTCTGATGTTTGTTGGTTCCATTCTATTGAGTCATCTGTAAGTCTTCTACTATTTAGTGGTTTCTTGAACAAAAACAGGCATTAGATAAACTAAAAGAAGCCATAGCTTTTGTTTTCACACTAGTTCCCTGAGGGCAAGACTTACAATTAGAAGTTTCAACCACCCAAACATTTGCTCTCTGGAGCCTTTGGACTGAATGGACTGGTAAATGTACACCAATGGATTTTTGGTATAAGTGGCTACCAGACTCAGCCCAAAAGTATTCACCACTGAAGAAGTGACTCTTGGTGTCACACTGAGCACTTATCAAAATTAAAGACAGAGCCAATTATCCTAGTAATTGAGATTTTTATTATACCCTGGGTAATGGAAAATGTCTCTTATAATAAATAAAAGCATCATTTTGGGGGGTGTGGGGTGGGACTTCAAAGTTTTTAAAAAATTAATATAGATGGTCCCCAACTTATGATGGTTTGACTTATGATTTTTCAACTTTATGATGGTGCAAAATTGATATGCATTCAGCAGAAAGCATACAAAATTTTTAAGTTTGACATTTTCCTGGGTTAGTGATATGCAGTACAATACTCTTTTATGATGCTTGGCAGCAGCAGTGAGCCACACCTCCCAGTCAGCCATGTAATCATGAGGCTAAACAACCAATACTATACAGAGTACTGTACTCAATAAATTACAGGAGATAATCAACACTTTATGACAAAACAGGCTTTGGAGTAGATGCTTTTGCTCAATAGTAGGCTACTGTAAGTGTTCTGAGAGTGTTTAAATTACACTAGACAAGCTATGATGTTCAGTACACTAGCTGAAATGCATTTTTGACTTGGATGTTTTCAGCTTATGATGGGTTTATCAGGACATAACCCCATGATAAGTCAAGAAGCATCTGTATTATTTTAATTGACAAATAATAATTGTATACATTTTTGGGGTACAAAGTGATGTTTTGATACTTGCATACATTGTGGAATAATTAAATCAAAGTAATTAACACACCCATTACATCACTTATTTTTTGTGATGAGCCATTTAAAATTTACTCTTTTAGTTATTTTGAAATATATGGTACATTATTGTTGACTATAATCATTCGGCTGTGCAACAGATATCAGAACTTATTCTTTCTATCTGAAACTTCGTATCCTATGACCAACAACTTCCTTATTCATTCCCCCATCCTCAGCCTCTAATAACCACCATTCTGCTTTCTACTTTTTTAGATTTTTTAGATTTTTCATATAAGTAAAATAATGAAGTCTTTCTATGTCTGGCTTATTTCCCTTAGCATAATGTTCTCCAGGTTCATCAATATTGTCACAAATGATTAGGATTTCATTATTTTTTATGGATGAATAGTATTTCATTTTGTATGTGTACCATATTTTCTTTATCAATTTATCTGCTAATAGACACAGATTGATTCCTTGTCTTGACTATAGTAAATAATGCTGCAATTAACATAGGAGTGCAGATATCTGACACACTGATTTCAATTCCTTTGTATATATACACAGAAGTGGATCAGCTGGAATATATGGTAATTTTATTTTTAGTTTTTTTTTTGAAGAAACTCCATACCATTTTTGACAATGGCTGTATTAATTTCCATTCCCACCAAAAATGAACAAGAATTACCCTTGCTTTGAACCCTTGCCAACACTTATTTTCTTTCATGTTTTTTATAAAAGACATTCTAACAGGTGTGAAGGTGATGCCTCACTGTGGTTTTACTTCTTATTTTTCTAATATTTAATTATGTTGAGCTTTTTTCATGTACCTGTTGGTAATTTGTATGTCTTCTTT
This sequence comes from Homo sapiens, assembly GCF_000001405.40. Taxonomy (NCBI): domain Eukaryota; kingdom Metazoa; phylum Chordata; class Mammalia; order Primates; family Hominidae; genus Homo; species Homo sapiens. Next base: position 76,403,775 of record NC_000023.11, on the reverse strand, counting down.
TGAGAAATGTCTATTCTGTTTCTTTACCCACATTTTAATTGGTTTATTTATTTTTTTTCACTATTGAGTTGTTTGAATTTCTTAAATGTTTTGGATTTTAACCCCTTATTGGATGTATGGTTTGCAAATATTTTTTGTCTCATTCTGTTGGTTGTCTATTCACTCAGTTTTTTCCTTTGCTATGCAGAAGACTTAGTTTGACGCAATCCTATTTGTTTATTTTTGCTTTTGTTGCTTGTGCCTTTGCAATTATATCCAAGAATTTACTGCACAGACCAATGTCATGTAGCTTTTCACCTATGCTTTCTTCTTTCTTCTGGTACTTTTATTGTTTTAAGTCTTATATTTAAGTCTTTAATCAATCTTGATTTGACATTTTTATATTGTGGGAGATAATGATCCAATTTCATTCTTCTGCATTTGGATAACCAGATTTGCTAGCATCATTTATTGAAGAGACAGTCCTTTTCCCATATTGTGTTCTTTGGACTGTTGTCAAACATTAATTAAGCATAAATGCATGGGTTATTTTCTGGGATTTATATCTTTGTATCTTTTTGCATTGTATGGTGTGTCTGTTTTTGTGCTAGCACCATGCTATTTTTCTTACAATCTCTGTCTAGTATATTTGGTCTTGGGCTTTTCATTGTTGGGAGAATTTTTATTGCTGATTCAATCTTCTTTTTCATTATTGCTCTGTTCAAGTTTTCTATTTCTTCAAGATTCAGTCTTGGTAGGTTGTATGTGTCTAGAAATGCATCCATTTATTCTATATTATTCAATTTATTGACATGATTTTTCATAGTAGATTCTTAGGATCTTTTGTATTTCTTTGGTTGGTTGTAATATCTACTTTCTTATTTCTGATTTTATTTATTTCAATCTTTCCCATTTTTAAATTTAGACTAGCTTAGGCTTTGTTGATTTCGTTTGTCTTTTCAAAAAAGAAAACCCAACTCTTACATTCACTTTTTTCACATATATTTTTCTGTATCTATTCTACTTATTTCTTCTCTGATAGTTATTTTATTCCATCTGCTAAATTTGGGCTTAGCTTGCTCTTCTATTCTCTAGTTCCTTGAGGTATAATGTGTTGTTCATTTGAGGTCTTTCTCCTTTTTGATATAGGCAATTATTTCTATAAATTTATCTCTATTTTGGTTTGTCTTGAAGTATTTTTTATTTCCTTTTTTATTTCTTCTGTGACCCATTAGCTGTTTAGGAGCATGTTGTTTAATTTCCACATATTTTAGTATTTTCCAGTTATTGATTGCTAGTTTCATGCTATTGTAATCCAAGAAGATACTTTATATGATTTCAATCGTTTTTTCCCTGAAGAATGTTCCATGTAAACTTGAGAAGAATGTGTATTCTGCTGCGGTTGGATGGAATGTTTTGCATATGTCTGTTAGGTTCACTTGGTCTAATGTGTAATTCATATCTAATGATTCCTTATTGGTTTTATGTCTAGATCATCTGTTCACTTTCAAAAGTGTATTGAGGTTTCCCACTATTATTGTATTGTATTGCAGTCTCTCACTTCAGATCTATTTTTTTTTTTTTTTTTTTGAGAAGGAGTCTTGCACTGTCGCCCAGGCTGGAGTGCAGTGACACGATCTCCGCTCACTGCAAGCTCTGCCTCCTGGGTTCACGCCATTCTCCTGCCTCAGCCTCCCGGGTAGCTGGGACTACAGGCACCCACCACCACGCCCGGCTAATTTTTTGTATTTTTAGTAGAGACGGGGTTTCACCGTGTTAGCCAGGATGGTCTCGATCTCCTGAACCCGTGATCTTGTGATCTACCCCCCTCGGCCTCCCAAATTGCTGGGATTACAGGCGT